>NC_000003.12:123402543-123705574 GCF_000001405.40 Homo sapiens | reverse complement strand
GTCATTTAATAACGGGGGACACTGAGGTCTCAGGGTCGTGGACTTGCTTGTGGCCATCCAAAGGCAAGTAACAGAGCCCAAGTTCAAGCCCTCATCTTTTGACTTAAATCAGATGCTCTTCCATTCCTTATGGCTCTGCTTGGGGAGTTTCTCCCAAGTGCACAGGGAACTGGAAGGACCTGGGAAACCACACTGGAGCCTCCAGCCTGCAGCCTTTGCCTCTTTTTCTTCCCCAAAGTCCAGCCTCTTCATTCCTTTCGGAGGCCACTGCCCTGGCCTTGGCTTTTTCCCCACCTGAGAAGAAGCAAGTCAGTGGAGAGTTTCCTGAGGGTACGTGGCAGGCCTGCCAGAGACCTCACTCCTCCAGCAACCTAGACGTAGAGCAGGGTGCCTTTCGAGGGGAATGACTGGATGGCTGGGAGGAAGCCGGGGGTCCGGTGTGCAGGGGGTAGAGGGGTGGGCAGATCCTGCCTGTCCCTGCTAGGATTGTGAGGCAGGTATGGGTGGGTAGTTTCTGCCTCTCTTCCCTTCCTAGCTCTTGTCTACTGTACCAAAAGGGGAAATGACAAAAAGTCAGCTCAAAATTCCAGCTGGAATACTTGAAACACTTGACACTTGCCAGGAAATTAGTTCTTTTTTATTTATTTTTTATTTTTTGACAGAATCTCACTCTGTCGCCCAGGCTGGAGTGCAGTGGCACGATCTTGGCTCACTGCAAGCTCCACCTCCCGGGTTCACGCCATTCTCCTGCCTCAGCCTCCTGAGTAGCTGGGACTACAGGTGCCTACCACCACGCCCGGCTAATTTTTTTTTTTTTTTTTTTTTTTGTATTTTTAGTAGAGACGGGGTTTCACTGTGTTAGCCAGGATGGTCTCAATCTCCTGACCTCATGATTCGCCCACCTCAGCCTCCCAAAGTGCTGGGATTACAGGTGTGAGCCACCATGCCCGGCCGAAATTAGTTCTTTAAAGTAATTTTTCCATATAGAACCCATCCAAGAGGTAGATGATTCAGGGTGGGACAGGATCCAAGGCTTTGTAACCAGAGTGGAACTCTTATTCAGAGCTTAGTAAGCCAAGGCAAAAGGACTCTTTGTGAAAGGTTCAGTTTATAGGATGATAGCCCCATATGCTCTGTGGCAGCTCCTGGGATGGGGCCTCATCTTCAGCCCCGGCCCTGATTTTGTAACTGGTTATGTGCAGATGTCAAAGATGGCCCCAAGACCCTGTTCCAGCAGCTTAGGTGATCTGACATGTGGGTCCCAGGCAGGAGGCCACTATGAACTTTATAGGCTGCAAATGAACCCATGGTTTGCTTTAAAGGCCCAGCAGAGATTTAAGGGTATGGCTGTAGGAATAGTTACTGCTATTGCCCTGCCACCAGGTGATCCACTTAATGCGTCAGCCTTTGTATCCCAAGTCCTCCACCTTTCTCTGACCCCTTAGACTGCTGGGGGCCACAGGGTAAGGCCTGGGGCTGGATTGGACAGGAGCCCTTGAGAGGCTTGTCTGAGTCTGTGCTCCCCACCTTGAGCACAGGTCATGGAAAGTGACAGAAGCCCTTACCTGCTTCCCCCATGGGGAGAATCGGCTTACTCCAGCTTGCGGCACAGGGCTGTCCACCACCAAAGCCTCAGAGGAGTCCAGCTGGGGTAAAGCCGCCATCTGGGCAGTGTCTGCTCCTGATGTTTGCATCTGGGCTGTGTTCTACTGGTGACAGGAGGAAACTCTGCTGAGGAGATGCTGAAAGGGCTGCCAGGCAAACACAGCCCTTGGGCATCTCATCTTCCTGCTCCATGTCAACCCAGGCACCACAAGGCTGTGCTTAAAGGTAGGAAAAGAGTGGCCTGACACTGGCCAGCAGCCTGGCAGAAGCAGGGTGACCTCACACAGTTATTCTACAAGCTCACCCAAAGTCCATAAGCCTTTTTAAGTGTTGAGAACTCGGGGCACACTGAGGACCTCTTCGTTCTCCCAGGGCCTGGCACCCATGAGGTTTCTAATTGCTGTTTGTTGAGCAAAGGAACAACCTGAACTCAAAATTCTCCAGACTTGAGACTCCCTGCACCTTGAATCTGTGCCCTCTGACAGTCTGAGCATTGAGGAGGGTGGCTGGGAGGGGACAGGCTATGGGATACATGGCCAGGGAGGAGAGAGGAGTGAAAGAGCTAAGGCAGTCAGGAAGGCACCTGCACCAGCACAGCCTGGGACAGCACGAGGGCACTGGAGAGAAGGACAAAGGAGAGGAGCCCAGCAGGCGGGAGGAGGGCTGGAGGACAGCAACGATTGGCTTCTCCTTGCTTCAAATGGGTGCCAGCACCCAAGGGTGAGCAGCGCCCCAGAGCCCCTGAGAATCCTGGGCCAGGCCATGGGCTACCAGTGTCTGTCCACTGGGAGGGAGGCCAGGCAGAGTGAGGTGGAGACCCACACACGCCAGCAGAATACACAAGAACGCATGCTCAGATGCCTGTCCAGGTGGATGTAACTCATATGTGCACATATTCCCAAACACAGACCTCCAGGTGCAGGTGCCTGCCAGCTAGACCAGTATATGTGTACATCATGTGTATGGTTGATAACTACATATGTGCATGAACACACACATGTCCCAGACCAGATTTGTACTGATAAGCACAGTAGGGTAGAGTGCAAAGGTCATAGGGTCACAGGTCCCAACCCCTCCCTCCACTAGCAAGCTCTGTGTGTTTAGGCAAATTACTTAACCTTGACCTTCAGTATTATATTTTTTAATAGAGGTAAGGTCTTGCTATGTTGCCCAAGCTGGTGTCAAACGTGCGAGCTCAAGCAATCCTCCCACTTCAGCCTCCCAAAGTGCTGGGATTACAGGCATGAACCACTGCGCCTGGACTACTTTACCTTTATAAGCCTCATATTTCTTACCTTATAAAAACAGTGGTGACTCTAATCTCACAGAGCTGTTCTAAGATTAAATGAGATGGCTCATGTAAAGAATCTGTCACAGAGCTTGGCACATCTGCTATTGGGTCTGAGTGCTAGTGAGACGGCCACATCCAGGGGCATGAGTGGGAGCACTGTTGTCAGAGACCCTGAGGGTCCCACCCCAGAGCCCCCTTTCCTTATCTTTAAATTGGGCATGGCAGTACTCTATACCTCTCTGGCATGCTGTGGATATCAAGAAAGAACTGCGTGTGGGTGTCATGAAAGCTGGAGGGTGCTGTATGAAATGCAGTTGTTACAACCATCACTAGTCACCTCTGGCTCGCAGACCTGCCCCCACCCCTTCCCCTAGCCTGAGCAGAACCTTCTTGTCTGGTCAGAGCTCAGAAATGCCAGCAGGTGGCAGCCTTATGGGGTTGGAGGGACAATCTGCTGCAAATCCACTGCACTGTAGCCAGACAGGGTACAGCCCCTCCCCTGAGCAGAGGGCCTGAGCCTCTGTGCACCAGCAGGAGACTGACCAGGTTTATGGACATGAAGAATCCAGAGCCCTCCCCACCTGAAGGAAGAAGAGAAAGGGCCACTCATGTAGGAAAACACTTGTTGGGTTTTTAACACAAAAAGTTCTGATCTGAGAGCATTATCAATGAGTGGGGGTTAAGGGTGCTTCCATTCCCGAGCAAGAGAGGGAAAGGAACTACTTCTGTGTTAAGGGATCATGGAGTCAGAGTCAAGGTCACTGGGCAGGCCCACCACCAGGGCCTATCTGTCTAGACCAACCTGCTACATCACAGTTCCCAGCAGGGTTAGCCTTTCTCCTTCCCCTTTTATTGGTTGAGTGAGTGAGTGATTGATTGAATGATTATATTATATACTTACAGAAAAGTGTTCCTATTTCTGGATGCCTGCCTTAGCTGTTGTCCAGACATTCTTTTTTTCTTCTTCTTTTTAAATAAGAGCTGAGAAAATAAAGGGTGACCACACAGTGAGAGGGTCCTGCCCTAAATCTAAGGCTGGGGTGAATGTCTCAGTCAAGCCGGCGACTTCCATCTTCCCCGCTGGCCAGCAGCCTGTGATCAAGTCCACACTGAACAGGCCCTTTGCCCAGAGGGCCTCTTGATCTTTATTGATCTTTGGAATTCTTCAGGAACCGGGTTGGCGAATGCAGTTGCCAGGTGTCACTGATGCTACAGAACAGCTCTGCCAGAGCCCTTCCACGGTGAGTGCCCCCAGGAGCTGCCCCTCCAGGCCATGCCCCCATCCCCACCTTCCTCCTGGCCCCGGCAGCTCCAGCCCAGCAGCCCTAGATTGTTTGTGTCCTGCAGCTGAGGCTGCCAAAGCCAGAAGGGAGAGCCTGGAAGGGGAATGAGGGAGGGAGAGCAGGGGAAGGAGGGGGTGATTTTTTTTTTTTTTTTTTTTGCACACACCCTTATAAGGCTACTGAAGTCATTACCGATGTAATAAACCAACTAAGCAAGCGAGCGCCTCTCACCAATGTTCCCATCTATAAACACAGCCTGGCCGGCCTCCCCCATCCCCTCCCGCTCCCCTCTACCCTCCCACCCTCAGGGATTTGCTCTCCCCTGAAGTTTCTTTCTTACCCAGCCCCTTTTCCTCCTGCTACTTTCCTTTTTCCCTACACTGGTTGCAGGGGGAGGGAGCCTGCCAGCTGCGAGGACCTCTGTGGTGGAGGAGTTGGTGCTGATGGTGGTGGTAGTGACCGCTATGGGTCCCTGAGGCCTGGCTGGCCAGCAAGAGGGCAGGGTTGGCTAGAGGAGGAAGACGGCGAGGACGTGCGAGGGGTGCTGAAGAGGCGCGTGGAGACGAGGCAGCACACTGAGGAGGCGATCCGCCAGCAGGAGGTGGAGCAGCTGGACTTCCGAGACCTCCTGGGGAAGAAGGTGAGTACAAAGACCCTATCGGAAGACGACCTGAAGGAGATCCCAGCCGAGCAGATGGATTTCCGTGCCAACCTGCAGCGGCAAGTGAAGCCAAAGACTGTGTCTGAGGAAGAGAGGAAGGTGCACAGCCCCCAGCAGGTCGATTTTCGCTCTGTCCTGGCCAAGAAGGGGACTTCCAAGACCCCCGTGCCTGAGAAGGTGCCACCGCCAAAACCTGCCACCCCGGATTTTCGCTCAGTGCTGGGTGGCAAGAAGAAATTACCAGCAGAGAATGGCAGCAGCAGTGCCGAGACCCTGAATGCCAAGGCAGTGGAGAGTTCCAAGCCCCTGAGCAATGCACAGCCTTCAGGGCCCTTGAAACCCGTGGGCAACGCCAAGCCTGCTGAGACCCTGAAGCCAATGGGCAACGCCAAGCCTGCCGAGACCCTGAAGCCCATGGGCAATGCCAAGCCTGATGAGAACCTGAAATCCGCTAGCAAAGAAGAACTCAAGAAAGACGTTAAGAATGATGTGAACTGCAAGAGAGGCCATGCAGGGACCACAGATAATGAAAAGAGATCAGAGAGCCAGGGGACAGCCCCAGCCTTCAAGCAGAAGCTGCAAGATGTTCATGTGGCAGAGGGCAAGAAGCTGCTGCTCCAGTGCCAGGTGTCTTCTGACCCCCCAGCCACCATCATCTGGACGCTGAACGGAAAGACCCTCAAGACCACCAAGTTCATCATCCTCTCCCAGGAAGGTAAATGAGCATGGGGGTTGGGGAAGAAGGGGCCTCTGTACCAGGGCCACTCCTAGCTCATGGAGCGTTGGTCTCGCTGACCCCTGTTAGCAGCCCATAGGTAGGCTGCTAACCTGGTTTAGCAGGTAGGAGGGCCTGCTGGGTAGGAGGGCCGCGTCCCTGTTTCCTGCTAACTCAAGGATAGGTCCCGGCTCAGGGGCCTTGGGTACATGCACCAAGGCTGGGGCTAAGGGCTGGGATCCTGGTCCTTGTGGCACATGCCCACATCTCGGCACCCATCTGGCAGAGCCCTCTCATGGCACCGCCACCTGTGGCTCCCCAGAGGAGACCTGAGCCTGAGTTAATTCCAAGCTCCGGCATGGAGAGGGCTCTGTCTACAGGCTTGGAGGTGGGGGACACAGAGGCTGGAGCCAGGGAGAAGCTCTGAGTAAAGAGCTGTTTAGAGAAGCATCTTAGGTTTGGGGAACGGTGTGCAGTGACCAGATGGCACGGAGCTCTGAGTTGGGGTCAACAATAACTTCAGTCTTGATAGCACTGTGGGTTTGAAGGGATCTGTCGGGAAACCCAAAATCCCAAAACAGCCCCTACAGCACACACTCACGGGCAGACAGAGCTACTCGCTTCCTAATTTGGATGAGACTTTTGTTTGCTGGTATTTCACATTCTTGGATGGTGGGGAGAGGAGGGGGGCCCCAAATCCTTCCATCTGTGTGGACTTTTGGGGTCTGGAGTTTTCAGAGGAGCCAGTTTATACTTGGAGAAGAGATGGGGGTGACACAGGAGTATTTTCTCTGGACCCTCAATTTGGTTTGAAGTGCTTTTGTAAATCCCAAGTCTGGGTGGGAGCTCTGAGGCCGGCCGACCTCCACACCCCATTCTGGCAGCCAGCGGAGGGATAGGTTGCCAGCACAGAACAGAGTCCTGCCTGAGCTGATGCTGGTGGCTCCAGACAGGGTAGGGTACAAAGAAGCTCCCAGGAAGTGACATTTCACCCTTGAGGGGCAGAGGGCAGCCACAGAAGAAGCCGGAGTGGACAGGTCCTGTCAAATCTGAGTCAGCTGAGGTGTCAGAGTGCTCTTCCTGTGGGCTGCTCCCCTCCCTGGCCCCTGGCAGCACCCTCCCCACTCCCTCCCTCACCTTTTATCGTGCCTGCCTTCCCCTCACAAGCAGAATGGAGCATTTGAAGATCACAGAATCCCTCTCAGCCCCCGGTAAGGGTCTGTCTTCCCTCTACATCTGGGACAGCACACCTGGAGCAGCTGAGTATATTGAATCTCAGCGCTGAAAGAGTGAAGGGGACACTGGCTGGCAGAGAGAAACATGTTATTTTCTGCTAATGTGTTGACGCAGTAACTTTTCCATGTGGATGTCCTCAGATTGGCAGGGTCCTCCAGAAGTCGTCTCCTCCATCCCCCACCTCTGCTGGCTCAGCCCCCCTCCCCTGAGGCATGGGGGATTATTGGGCTGGGGTGAGACTTCAGAGGAGCAGACGCCACAACCTGTCCTGCCGCCCCTGTGGGGCTCTCCCACTTGGAAAGTCCTTGGTAAAACTGATTGGAAACCCTGACTGGGAACATTTCCCAGGTCACCCTACGGTGATCTCTCCAGGCAGGATGCAGGGTGGCATCCACCATCCTCAGGACAAGGTTGGGGCTGTCCCCTGGCTCTCTGATCTCTTTTCATTATCTGTGGTCCCTGCATGGCCTCTCTTGCAGTTCGCATCATTCTTAATATCTTTCTTGAGTTCTTCTTTGCTAGTGGATTTCAGGTTCTCATCAGGCTTGGCGCTGCCCATGGGCTTCAGGGTCTCAGCAGGTTTGGCGTTGGGAGGTCTGTGGCTGCTCCAGCCTCAGGGAAACTGAGGTTAAGTCAGTTGGGGGCAGCTGTTCTTGGGCTTGCATGGGGTTTAAACCCAGAGCCATCAACAGCCACTTACAAACAATTCACTCAACTAAGCGATGTAAGGCAGACCCCAGGCCTGGTCTCAGAAACTCTTCTGAGCCATTAGCCACTGTCTTCTCGTGCCCTGAGTGCCTGCAGTATGTTTTCCCTGCTGGTCCCTTAGTGGTAAAGAGCCTAGAGATCCTAGCCACTCCAGCCTCCCTTCCCATGGAAACCGTCCCAGAGGGAACAGTTCAGATCCAGAGCAGCAGCAGAAGAAATGATCCAAGGAAGGCTGCACACGAAGGGGAGAGAGAGACCAGGAGAGGTGGAAAGGGATTCCAGAGAGAGCCCCAAATCAAACTGTAAGACATCTTCTAAATATTTTTAAATTGTGTTTAAAGAATAGCTGACATATGTTGAACACTATGTGTTAGACACTATCTTAGGCCTCTTACACTTTTCACCCATTTAATCCTCCCAACAATGACTGTACTGTCCACCTAACAGAGAAGTTAAGTACCTTGCCAAATGCAAGGTGCTGGGGGTAACAGAGCTGGGATTTGAACTCAGGTGGCTGAGTTCCCGTGCCTAGACCACCGTGCTATATGACCTCTTAGTTAATTCCTATTATTTTATCAGGGTACTGGTGGCAGCTGAGAATTTGTCTATCAACAGAAAACACTAATGACTATTTACTCCTCGATTTTGTTAAGAGTTGTCCAAAGGTTGAAACACTGATGGTGCCCCTAGCCTTGCCAGGTTTCTGGTATTTTCCCTGCAGTGGTGGAAGCAGACCTTGCAATGGGCCTGTCTTGCTTCAGTACAGGAGAGTGCGTTGTCTCAAAAAATCGGCCCCACCTTCTGTCCCTTCACTCGCCAAGACTTCAAGAGCCCAGTGTTTTGTTAAGGAAAAAACTTATCTTAAGGCTTCATCTATCAGTCACCATTTAAGCAGGTCCCTCCTCAGGCAGTAGGGCATTCTGAGAGGTGGAGGGAGTCTTTTCTCAATAGATGTGGAAGGAGAAGACACACTCACAGTGATAAAATTGTTACAGCCAAGTGCTGACAAGTGCTATGAGTGTGTCGGGAGGAGCTGCTGGAAGTGGGAAGAGAGGGAGCTGAGTGCTGGACTTTGATCTAAGCCCCGAAGACAGGCCAGAGGGGACGGGCTTCCAGGCGGGGGCCCCGCAGCAGCAGAGGCGTCCTGCTAACAGCTTGTTCTGGGCTGGAGAGGATGACATGGCCCCAGTTTCATCCTATATTCTGCCAAGGAATTCCAGTCTAAAGGCAGTAGGGAATCATGCAAGATTTTGGGATGAAGAACACTGTACATGAAGCTCAGTTTAGGGGTTTTGGTGGACTCTGTGCCCAAAAGACAAATACAGAGCCTACTGAAGAGGTCGAGAGGAAGATGGTGAGGCCTAGACTAGCGTAGTAGCCACAACCACAGTCAGGGAATGACCAGTTCAAGAAGCAAGGATAGAAGTAATGGCACCTGTTGCCTGGCTTGGAAGGGCAGGATGGGGGTGGGGGTAGGTAAAGAAGATGAAGGAATGGAAGACCACTAAGTGTGGGTGCCTGAGTGGCTGGGGTCTCAGTGGTCGTGTCAGTGGGAATAAGGAAGCCGGTGGTTGGAGGAGGCTTCTAGGGGAAGGTGAGGGAATGGCTCCGCTGGCCTCCCGTCCTGCATCCTTCACACTCAGCTCAGCACTGGCCCTGCCCCCGGCTTCCTGACTTGGAGCCCTTTTTGCTCCACTGCACTGATCCCCACCCTGTCAGCTCTGCTACAAACAAGATTCACTTCCTCCAGGATGCCTTCCTGTTGTCACCCACCTTTGGCCACGAGAGACTCTTGCACTGTCCCCTCCCCATCAACCTGTGTATCTGCGTGCACCAACTGCTAGTGGACGTGCTGTTTATAGGTTTCAGGGGACTTCTCTGATGTCTGTAGCTTAGATAGGGCTCATAGCCCACAGACCCCCACCCAAACAGGATTACATCACCCCATTTAGTTCACCCCCTTTCGTGCTGAGGAAAGCAGAAGAGGTTTGACAGCCATGGGCTAGAGTTCACCACTAGTTGATTTGTGGCAGGACACAGACACGTGGAGGTGTCCTTCCTCTTCCTGTACCCCTAGAGCTGCAGGGCTGATGGGATTCAGAGTTACCACCAACTGGGCCTGCCCTCTGCCCCCAAGTCTTTTCCTAGCCCTTCCGGGACCTGCCTCTGCTGAGGGGTGGTGGGAGGCCGATGGTCCCGTGAGCTGAGGGGAGCTCTGTGGTGGCCTGAGAAGAGCTTTATCTTTATGCTTTGTTTCCTGTCTCCAGGCCAGGCTCCTCCTCCTGGCAAAACACTTTTCCGAGTCTAACAATGAGGATTCATTTTTGTTGCTGTTGTGAATAGGTAATTCATTTTTAATTGCCTTCAGGGTAGAATTTTGCAAAGGCTTTTTAAAAACCCATGTAAGTTCATCCTACGAAAAATGGATTTATGCAGCATCTACTATGAGCAAGGCATTATTCTAATGCCCTTTGTTGTGTGCATAATCCACTCAAAGAACTCTGAATTTTCTTTTTTCAGAAACTATATATTATCTTTTTCAATAGTAAGTTATATTTAACTGTTTGTGACCTTTTCTTACATAGATCCTACCAGATCACCTGCTACAGAAATATGCCTTCATCCTTCTCAGAATGACAAATATGTTTTACTGTGACTGCATTCCAGGCTTAGGAAAAACAGTGGTGTTAGACAGGGTCACTGCCCTCTGAGAGCTGGTGTGGGAGACAGGCATGCAGGTCAGCAATGGCCTTGTGAGCCGTGCTTTGACATGGGTGAGCTCAGAGTTGGGAGCACAGAAGAGGTCCGCCTAGGCCTGGGGGATTAGGGGGAACAAGGAGGACACCATGCCTGCAGGGGTGACCTGGAGATGAGTCTTACTGTCTGGGCTTGCCAGGTGGGCTGGGTAGGCTGACTGAGGCAGCCCTATAGCAGAGCCTCCAGGAAGCTCCCTCCCTCCATCCACATCCCCTTCCTCCCCTCTGCCCCCAACTCAGAAAAGGAGAGAGCTGGGGGAGCTTCAGACCCAGGAGCGCTTACTCCACCACAGCCCTGAGGGGCTCTCCCAGGCGGAGCTCTGCAGTGATGCTGACCTCTCCCATCCCCCTCATCTCCCTCTCAGAATTCCCCACCAGGCTGAGGCTTCTCAAAAAAAAACCTCTGGGAAACAGCTTTTCTTCTAGAGGTCAAGAATGAACTGTCCCACAGGAAATACCAGATTCTTCATCTGGGGTAGCCAAGCCTGCAAGCCTGCTAGGGGGGCCTCCCCAAGCCCATGCACATGGCCAGGGGTCCAGGCTCTGGGCAGGTTGGAAAAGCTGCCTGCCCCATGCCTTGCCCTGGGAGAGGAGGCAGGGGCCGGGTCCACATGCCCCTCTACTCTCTGTGTACTGTCTTTGCAGCTTGTATCATTTTGACTTAAGACTCAAGGCAGCTGAGGGACTGAAACTGAAAGAAAATCAAGGATTTGAACAGGATGTGCGTTGGGGGTGGGATATCTGTTCCCAAAGCCTTAGCCCCACCCTGACTTGAGGGAAAATTTCCAGATGGGATTGGTCTCTGCTAAGCCTCTGAGCCCCTCTAGTTGGGGCCAGAGGTCATCTTGGCATCCTCCCGCCCACCCAGATGAATGGAAAGTTCTCTCTCCAGGACATGGTTATCCTCATTCCCCACTCCTGTGCCTCACGATTCTTACTCTTATGACAGACTTCCTAAAATTCCAGCCTAAATCCTCTCCATTACAGTTTCTACAAATTCTGACTCCTAACTACAAAGGGAAGAGAACAGAGTGAAGCCTTCCCGAGGTTTGGGGTCTGTATAAGGGTATAGGAAGTGGGGAGTGGGGTGCAGATCAGCCCTCTTGCCCCAGGTGGTTTATAGGATGAAGGTTTCTCTGTTTAAAACAGTACCCTGGTGGCAAGGAGTAAAGGGGAATATTACACCCTTCCTTCCTCTTCCAGCCTTAGTGAGGTTTTCTGGGCAGAACTGATATCCTTACTCTTTCTAATCTCCTTGTATTTGCTGGTCAAGGCTGTGCATTTGTGTAATGGGGGGCAGGGACAGTAGTTGGTGTCCACTCAGAATGCACCCAGCTCTTCCCTCCCAATGCCAGTGGCTTGTGGGACATGAGATGGGAGCTCCAGGCAGCAAAGTGCATGTGGCCCTGGCTCTGTCCTCCTGTGTGACGGTTGCTTCCCTGACAACAGGGGCAGCTTTGAGCAGGATGCCCTGCTATTTACTTGTTTGTGCATCTGAAAGCAAGAATAAGGAACTGCTGCCCTTCTGCCTGGCCCAGCAGGCCTCTTTCCACACCCTGAGGGAACCTCCCCAAGGGGTGGCCCAGAGGAGAAGTAACCAGTTCTGGGATGAGAGAGCTGGCAGGGGCCAGGACGAGACCCTAGATTCCTGTGTGTGCCTAGCTGACACCTCCTTCCCCAAACCAGGCCAGAAGATGGTGCTGGGAGTGAAGGCAGGCCCAGGGGAGAGTCCATGGAGAAGAAAGGCCATCCCCACTTCTCTCTGGGGCAACCAGAAGACCCAACTCCGAAGGGAGGCAGCCCCAGAGGGCCCCTCTGCAGGTCCAGTCCCCCTCATTGGCCGTGGTTCTCCAGCTCAGACACCTTTCCTAAAAAGTCAGCTCCTGGGTGTAGTCACCACCTCCCAACAGATCTTCCCACAGGCCGGTGCCCCTCCTGGACAAGGGCTCCTAGCCTCCTCCACCCACTTCTTTGCTCAAAGCTTCAAAGCTCCCTTTTCCAGAATGCAGTCACAGCATCACTGCTGTAAACAAAGTGGGACCTCCTCACCTGTCACTGTTCCTAACACAGGTCTGTAACCCTGTGTCGGACTCCTTTTCTCTCTTGGTGACGTCCAGGGGGCAGGGCCTGTGTGCATCTCCTTGTATTGTATTGGATGGTCTCCAAAGGCAGAGGCTATTTCTCTCCCTTCTTTTGCAGCTTTCTATTATGTCCCCACAAGAGGACTCTTTGGAGTGGGGGAGGAGGTATCAGGAAGGAACGTATTTAGGGATCAGTTATTTTGGACATGGGTTATAAGCAGAAAGTTCCCTGGCTTTGGTGAGGAGTGGGGGATTGGTTCCCACAAGGCCTCTGGCTTCTGGGCTCCCAGAGGCTGCCCGTGCGAGTAACACTCACCTGCTGCGCTCCAGATGCCAGGGCAGGTACTACGACCACACCTGGTTCACTCCACAATTCTTCCTCCCCAGGCTCACTCTGCTCCGTCTCCATCGAGAAGGCACTGCCTGAGGACAGAGGCTTATACAAGTGTGTAGCCAAGAATGACGCTGGCCAGGCGGAGTGCTCCTGCCAAGTCACCGTGGATGGTAGGTCGTGCCCACCCATCGCCGCCACCCATACACAGGGGTCCCATTTCTCAGCCCCTCCCTTCCTTACCATACCTTGCCTGTCAGACAGAACTGCCTCCAACACTGCCCTCCCTACCCAAAGGCATTCATTTTGGATGAATGAATATCTTTTGCCAAAAGAAAAAGAGACAGGAAGGAAAGTGGCAGCTCTACTTGATCACCTACATGGCTTCACCCCTCCCCTGGCTGTCCTGTCCCCCTCCCAGTCCTGATCCCCACACCCAGAACCTTCTGAGCTGGGAAGCTGGGGCACTGGGCAGTAGAAAAGACACACCCACAGGAAAATGACTACAGAGTATTTTACAAAAGCCACAACAAACAAGTGTCCGAGCTGGCAGGACGACCCAGCAGGGTCAGCCGTGAGGAGGAGGGAGCAGAGCGAGGTCCGTGTGGGAGACTTCCTAGAGGAGGTGAGTCGGGGCTGAGTCTCTGGACAGAGAGGACAGGGCAGCCTCTGCCAAAACAAAATGGTAGTAGTAATAATAATACTGCAGAGGGAGGTGGGAGGACACATCGGGGAGAAAGCAGGCCTGCCAGGTCTTAGCGGAGTTTCTGTGTTAGGAAGAGGCAGTGCCAAGCTGCGAGGAACTGGGCTTTGTCCTAAGGAAATGCAGGAAGTGCATTCATGACTCTTTTTTCTCTCCTTCCTGGGGAGTATAGAATTGGAACCTGAGAAGTAGGATGAACCTCGTGATGATTTAGATGAACACCCTCATTTTACAGATAAGAAACTGAGGGCATCCAGAGAGGAAATGCATTTTGGAGGGGGGCTCTCTGGCCCATTTAGGGCCAAGCTGGGGCCAGAACCCCATCCCAGGACTCACAACCCAGGATCATTTCTTTGTATTTGGCACTTACCTGGAAATGTCTCAAAAGGTAGTTTTGGGGAAATAGTTTCTTGCCCTTGAAATGTCTGGTTAATAACCATCAGAGACACATCAAAAACTAGTGTCCAAATAAGGCATCTTGAAGCCCAGCTTGGTTGTTCTTCTCCCTCCTGTGTGTGATCAGTTGAGTTCTGAAGTCCTAGCCCGTCTCACTGCCATTCCACACCATGTAGAGCCCGTGTCCTCATTCTGGACTTTACAATTGGTTTCCTGATCACAGAGCTGAGCTCTATGGAACATGATGAATGGGAGAGAGGTGGAAAAGAAAGTCTTTTTTATAAAAACACAATGGCAGCACGAATTAATTGTTAATAGCCGAAAGGTAAGCTGAACTCATCTAATACTGTGTACTTCTCCTTGGAGATCGTGCGTATATGTGCTATAGGGGCTCTGAGTCTAAGGAAGCGGACTTGATGTGTCCAAGTTTATGCTCAATTCAGAGGGGGCATGGGACACATTTTGAGGTTCTGCACAGTGGATGCTGTGGCTGATGACTCCTGTGTGGGAGTCTCTCCTCACCCAGGCTGTCACCCACCCAGATCACAGTCCTGCTTCTTTCTATACAGGTGCTGCACTGTAAAGTATAGCGTTTCTGAAAACATGATCCTTGAAGCCCACGTCTAACACCCCTCTGCTCGTTTGGGACTCACACTGGTTCCCGAGCTAGTGAAGGAGGTTATCGGCTTTCGGAGCCTCTTTAGGTCCTGTTTACATGGCTAGCTGAAGGCAGGAGAGCAATTCATTCTCCCTATCTGTAAAATGTCAGCACCTTTTCTAGATTTGTTTTCAAGATGAAATTTCCTTTTCCCCTACTGAATACACTTGGGGATTTTTTTTTTAAGGTTTGGGGAATTCATTCTGCAACTTAAAAGGCTTTGTTTGCCCAGAGTCTGCTGGCAGATTCCCTTGTCCTCTCCACTAATCTTGATGACCATCATTATTTATCCCTAATTCCTTCAAATGCAGAGTTAGGCCTCCAGCTGCAAATTGGGAGCTGGGTCTTGGAAGAAGAGCTAGAAAAGTGATAGGAGGGAGCCCAGCTGAGATAACAGGACTGACTCTCAGTCCATTGGGTTTGGTTTTGTTGACAGAAAGGATAAGGGTGGCCTCTTCCCCCTGCTTTTCTTTCCCTGTTGCTATACTTACAGATATATTAGCATCCTGTTTGCCCACATTTAGCTTTATTTTTTCATCAAGAGCCTCTCTAGGAAAGTAGTAAAGGACTGTTGTCACTTTGACAGCTCCCCTGTCGCCTTTCTATCGTCTGGTGCTCCACCCCACTGGCTAGGCTACATCTCCTGCCCTCATTCTGTCCCCTCATCCCCTCAGCTCTCCCTACTCCCCAAGGCATCATACTTGACTTGGGGATCCCAGTGGGTTTGTGCCTCCCCTGAAATTACAGGCAAAATGTTGCATTATGTGGGTTGGAGCATCTTTCTGAAGAGAGGGGTCCATAGTTTTTAGTCAAATTCTCAAAAGGAGTCATGAATCAGAATACGTTGAAGAACTACTTGCCGTAAGCAGCAACAATGACTGAATTTTCAAGCCCAGCCATTGTGTGGGCTCTTCCAGCCTGTCTCCAGCTGCAACTGCCCACCCAACCTCTGCATAGAACCAGGCCTTCATCCCTCTTATGGGGCAATGAGGTCCATCTCCACTAGGCGATGGGACTACAGCTGGTGCTGACTTCAGACTGGCTTCCCCAGCCACTCAGCAGGGCTGGCCTGGCCCCTGAAAGTCGCTATCATTCACTCATCCTGTGCCAAACACCATCGAGACCATACATCTGAGGCCAACATATCTTTCAAAATCTCATAAAAATGAGGCAAATGGGGCTAAAATAGCATTACCCACACTACTGATTCCCTCATATCATAAAGATAAGGGATGTAACCTTTATAACACAGCACAGCTGGCTATTTTAATCATGTGTTTGGGTCTTTTTCCTAAGAAAAGGGGTGTTTATGAACTTGCTTGATTATGGTCATATCACCCTTCCTTCTGAACTCAGCAGAAGACAAGGGTTAACTTGTGCCACATAGAAGGGAGCTAAAACCTAGAGTAAACGTGGACTTGCCCGAAAACTCACCCAGGAGGAGAACAAGCTGACCTTCAATGCCTGTCCTGGCCAGAGACTCTTGTGCACTTTGCATTTTCAGTCTATGCAACAGTTGGGCAGGGTGTCTTTCTCAGTGAGCAAACTGAGGCTCACCAAGGGTCAGCTGCCTTCCAGGCCCCACAGACAGTAGGTGTAGATCTGGTGTTGGGGCTCCACCCTGCACAGTGAATTACAACATGAAATATCCTGGCAGGACTCAGTGGTCTGGCTCTGAAACCTGTTCCTTTCCACAGCCTGACACAGCCTCCCCGGGCAGTGAATTACCATGGTGGGGCCCGCTCCCAGAGTGATCCAGACCTCCCTGAGTAACAGTCCTCCCTGTGGGGAGGTCCTTCTGCACGTGGGACTCAGTAACCCCTTTCCTCTCATTCCAACCCAGATGAGCAGTGAGGAAACTAAGTCCTTCCTAGGCCAGAATCCCATGAGAGGACTCAAAAAACACCTTAGCCCCTCACTGGCTCATCCAGTCATTCTCAACTCAGGCCTCCTGTCCCCAGCCACCCTGGCCAGGGCATCCAGCTTTTGGTACCAGTGAGACCAGGGCTTTGTGACCACAGAGGGTCATGCATGATTGTGATGGGAAGGGACACTCCAGTGGGTACTCATGCCATCACTCAGTCATTCAACTAATATCTGAGTGCCCACTCTGTGCCAGGCACTGCCATAGGAGCTGGTTTTAAAACAGTAAATGAAGTAGGAAAAGTTCCAGCTTTTGGGACTTTTCTAGTGGGAAAGAGGCAGTAATGCAGGTGAACAGCTGTGTCATATCCTCAGGTAATGTCACCAGCTATGAAGAAAGCAAAGCAGGGTAATGGGGGAGAGAATACCATTTTTGGAGGGGGTGGTCACTGAGGCCCCTCTGAGGAAGGAACATTTGAACAGAGACTGAAGGAAGCAGGGAAGGAAGAGGGACAAGGTGACAACAAGAGCATAGCCCTGAGCTGAGGACACTGTGCTTAAGGCGTTTCAGGAGGCAGGAGGCCAGGGTGGTGGAGCCATGAGCAAGGGGCAGGATGGTAGGAAGTGAGGTTGAGGAGGACCGTGGACCAGATCCAGGCAGTGTTGGCTAGGACAAAAAAAATGAGATTTTATTCTAAGTGTTATGGGCCAACACTGGACATTTATGAAGGATCACTCATGTCCATGTGATGACCAGACCCAGGATGAGTCAGAGGGAAAGCAGGGAGCACAATGGGGGGTTGCCACAATAGGGACAGGAAGTGATCAGATTCATAACCTCTTTGGCTGTAGAGCTGATATGAGTTGCTGGTGAGCTGGGTATGGAGAGAGAGAGAAGTTAAAGATGACTCAGTTTTCATGGGGGAGTGAAGACCAATGGTGGGGCTGGGGGGCACGATCAAGAGTTTAGTGCATGTGAAGTTTAAGATTGCTATTTGACCTCTCAAGCGGTCCTGTCACATAGGCAGGTGTTTAGGTGAACCTGGAGTTGAGGGGGAGGTCAGAGTTGGAGGTGGGATACAGGGAGCCATCCACACACAGAGGCCATTCACTGCCCTGGGGTTGAATGAGGTCCCTGGAGAGTACAGAGGTGGCTATAAGAAGAGGGAGAGAGAGAGAGGCAGGGGCAGGACAGGGGCCTGCGAAGAAGACTAAGAAGGAAGTACTCCAGTGAGATGGGAAGAAACCCAGGAGATGGGGGTGTCCCAGAAACCAAATGCTAAGAACTTCAAAAAGGAAGGAATGATCAAGATTAGTGTGCCAGGCCAGGTGTGGTGGCTCACACCTGTAATACCAACACTTTGAGAAGCAGGTGAATTGCTTGAGCCAGGAGTTCAATATCAGCCTGGGCTACATGGTGAAACCCTGTCTCTACAAAAAATACAAAAGTTGCCTGGATGCTGTGGGGCATGCCTGTAGTCCCAGCTACTCAGGAGGATGAGCCAGGAGGACAGCTTGAGCATGGGAGGTTGAGGCTACAGTGAGCCAAGATTGTACCACGGTACTCCAGCCTGTGGGACAGAGGGAGACCCTGTCAAAAAAAAAGAAGAAAGGAAGAAAAGGAAGAAAGGGAAGGAAGGAAGGAGGGAAGGAAGGAAAGGAAGGAAGGAATGAAGGTAGGAAGGAAGGAAGGAAGGAAGAAAGGAAGGAAGGAAGGGTCAGGTGCTGCTGCCAAATAAAGATGAGCCTGAGCACTGGCTATTGGGTTTGCCAACATTGAGGTCATTGGTGACCTTGCAAGAGGGCTTCAGGGGAGTGATAGTAACAATAGCCTCATCTCAGGCAAACAGAGACTGAGTCACCTGCTCAAGGTCACCCTAACTAGCAGAGTGGGAAGTTAAACCCAAGCCTTGGTGCCTAACCACTGTGATCCACTGTTATCTTGGCCCCTGGGCACTTCTGATTATTGCTGAGCTGATTTTGATCCACCCCTCCTTTCTTGGCCTCAGCCCTGCCATATTACTAAGTCTGCTCCCACCCCCACATTTATTTATTTATTTATTTTGAGACAGAGTTTCACTCTTTTTGCCCAGGCTGGAGTGCAGTGGCATGATCTCGGCTCACTGCAACCTCTGTCTCCTGGATTCAAGCCATTCTGCTGCCTCAGCCTCCCAAGTAGCTGAGGTTACAGGCACCCGCCAACACGCCCAGCTAATTTTTGTATTTTTAGTAGAGAAGGGGTTTCACCATGTTGGCCAGTCTGGTCTCAAACTCCTGACCTCAGGTGATCCACCCGCCTCAGCCTCCCAAAGTGCTGGGATTACAGGCGTGAGCTACCGCGCCTGGCCCACATTTATTCTTTAAATCATCACAGACAACTAACGGGTATTATGTGAAACTAAATAAAATTGCTGTTTTTGTAGGTCAAAAACACTTCAATACTGGCGAATGGTGTAGTTCAACCTGATCTGAGCATACAAAGTACTTAGCACCGTGCATACATGGAGTCAATACCCAGTAAATGTCAGCCATCACCTTACGACTTGGCCACACCTCCCTCACTCTTCTATTGAGGTGATGTTATTTCGGTTTTCCTTGTGAGGAAGCTCAGACTCAGAAAAGTTCAGGAACTTGCCCAGGGACTCACAACTCCTAAGCAGCAGAGCCAGAAAGCGCAAGCATCCTGATCTCTCTTCCTTACTACGCTAGCACACTGCTTGCACTCAGTCAGAGAGAGAGGCCAGCAAGGAGGGATGAGCCAACCCAGGGAGAGGCTGGAGCCCAGCCCCTCTGCCCTGCCCCACTGGGGGCCCCTAGAAGCTGGACCCCTCCCAGAAGCTTCCCAAGACCTCATGCCCCCTGCGTGGGGTCAGAGTTCAGGGAACCAGCCTCTTGGGGGAGATTAAAAAAAAAAAAACGCTGCCCAGAGAGCTTGAGTCCAGAGCCCAGGAGTGGGAGGGGTGAGGCATTGTCTATATAAGGACACATTTTCCTCTCAATGTAGAGGCCCCCCACTTCCTCACACCTCCATCTTCCTCCCCCACACTTCTTTGGGGACACAAGCAAAGGACTTCAGCCTTGGGGGCCTAGATCTAGAAATGGAGTTTAATTTCATCACAAAATGATTAAAATAGAAAATACAAGCTGCTCTTAAACTTATATTACTATTATTTTTATCCCCTGGGCAGCCATGTGAGCACAAAGCTGGTTTTGATTAGGCACATGGCCCTTCGAGCCCACTCCTTGCTGCAGTTCGCATGGAGGTCTGCTGGCTCCGCATCCCTGGCAGGGCCCCGTGGTGCATGCACAGCCCCACCGTGCTGACACTTCAAGTGGAGCGCGGCCACCCCCTGGGGCTCCGAGTCTGGGGTGTGCCTAGTTTGAAAGGGGGACTTCAGCCCCTTTCCTCATGGCCAGATGGAAAGATAAAGTGCTGCAGAAACTTCTAAAAATAAGACTCAAAGCACATTACAGGGTAGTGTACTGACACGTCCAGTGAAAACCCAGCACCCTAGGGCCGAGGACGGAGGCAGAGGCAGATGGGGCAGGGCAGGGAGTGTTTTCTGAAGGTGGAAAATTTTAAAGCTGATTCAGAAGGAGGTAAGGGAATGTGGCTATCAAGAGGAATTAATTCATAAGTGATCATTTTCATTTTCTTTTTTTTTTTTTTTTTTTCATTTTTTGGAGACAGGGTCTCACTCTGTCATCCATGCTGGAGTTAAGTGGCATGATCACTGCAGCGGCACGATCATTGCAGCCTCAAGCTCTGTGGGCTCAGGTGATCCTCCCACCTCAGCCTCCAAAGCAGCTGGGACTACAAGCACATGCCACAGTGCCTGGCTAATTTTTGTAAATTTTGTAGAGACGGGGTTTCACCATGTTGCCCACGCTGGTCTTGAACTTCTGGGTCCAAGTGATCCAACTGCCTTGGCCTCCCAAAGTCCTGGGATTACAGGCGTGAGCCACCACGCTGGGCTGATAAATGATCATTTCCTGCTTTCCAAAACACCGTTGCATGTGTTCTCTCCTTTGGGCGTCAAAACACCATGAGGTAGAGAAAATAAGTGATTCCCTTGTACAGATGTGGAAACAGAGATGGGACAGTTTAAATTATTTGCCCAAGTTCCCAAGGTTGCTGATGACAAAGCCAAAGCTAGAGCTGTACTCTCTTGGCCTCTACTGTGGTGATGCTTGGAAGTAAAGCCCAACACAACCCCATGAGGACGAAAGGAGTCTCAGTACCTGCTGCCCTTCTTTCAGGAGCCCAGGAAAACTGGGCCTCTCATACTTTGCTTTCTTGTGCCTCAGCTTACTCATCAGTTAAAAAAGCAAACCTGATCCTTCTTCTTCTCCCTCCTCTATGCTCCAAGACTCACCAGGAGAATGAGTGCTGAAGCCAAGGAGTGCAGAACTGCATACATAGTCTGCCCTGTACTCCTCTTCCTTAAGAAGGGCCGGGTGCCGTGGCTCACGCCAGTAATCCCAGTACTTTGGGAGGCTGACGCAGGCAGATCACCTGAGGCCAGGAATTCAAGACCAGCCTGGCCAACATGGCGAAACCCCATCTCTACTGAAAATACGAAAAATTAGTCAGGCGTGTACTCAGGAGGCTACTCAGGAGGCTGAGGCATGAGAATCACTTGAACCTGGGAGGCAGAGGTTGCAGTGAGCCGAGATCATGTCACTGCAGTCCAGCCTGGGTGACAGAGTGAGATTCCATTTCAAAAAAAAAAAGGGGCCAAACAAAACAATTACTGGGTACACCTTTCTTTACATTGTCATTGGTGACTGTTAGAAATGCTGGTCTTCAAGGAAGGGAAGAAGGGAGAGGCCCGGACAAGGGAAGCTTAGACTGACTCCATGCCCCTGGTTTATGGCACCCTCATCCCCAGATATCAAGGGGAGGCTCTGCTAGGTTTTTCTGCCTCTTGGAATAGTCCTGGAGCCACTCCCTGCGCACTCCCTGTGCTTGAGGAGAGACGAGGAGTTTTCTGTTGGCCAAATATCAGTCATCCATGGAGCTTCTGGATCATATCGTGCCCAGACCCCAACCCAGACCAATGAAACCAGGACCTGTGGGGTGTGATACCCTGGCACACGTGCTTCTAACATACAGCTGAGGCTGAGATCCACCGAGGCTGACAAATAACTATGTCCAGAGGATTTTTCTGTAGCTGAGAATGACCACGATCCTTGGGGAAAATGTCCAGTGTAAGAAAATGAAATCATCCCTGCCCCATGGCTTTCTGCTTCTCTGTGTCCTCATGGAACTGGCATGCTGGGTTACAGGCAGCCTCCTGAGGAGCTTAAGAGTGTCCACTCCAGATAGCAGGGACCCCTGATGTGCCATCTGGGGCTCCTTTGCCCGTATGGGAGGTGGCAGGAGTTCAGCTTGCAGTGGGGAGTGGAGGCAAGGGAGCGTTTTGGTGTCAAGTGCTACTTGAAAGGGTTGCTTTGGCTGTCTGCTCCCCCCAACACCCCGTCACATACTGCTAAGTAGTCCTACTTAAGGCCCACAATGGTGCATGCAGGGCTTTCGGCTGTCTTTGGTGGGGGATTGCCCCCACAGCCCCCGGAGGCCTGTCTGCTTCTGAGCTGCCATGAGCCTGCAACACCCGCACAGGGCCTCCTCCCTGGATTACCCATAGCAGAGAGGAGGCAGGCACTAGGTTGGGAAGAAAGCCTATCGGGGTGATGATGAGCAGAGGGACTCATGCAGGCAGATCCATGTTCTGGAGAAGGCGAGGGGCCTAAATGCCTCCCAGAAGGAGAAATGCATCCAGAGGCAGCTCAGAGTCCACTTGCTGGGAGAAGTATGTTCCCAGCCCCCAGTTCTGCTCCCTGCGCCCACCCCTCAGAGCCCCAGGAGCCCAGTCTAGGCAAGATCAGCCCTGACTGCCAGTCCTGGAGGCGGACCATGAGAGGGCACTTCCTCCCCAGCCAAGCCTCAGGAATGTGGCGGAGCCTCTGCTGGAAAGTCCCCCCACCCACCCCCACCCCCACTTAGCTTCCTCTCCTCAGGAGCAGGAAAAGGATGCCCAGGGAGGGGGCTTCAAGGGGGAGACTCTCTCAGCGCCGTCCCCAAAGAGTGCTCCTTGTGGGGAAAGGAAGGCCAGTGAAAGTGCTGGGGCCCAGTGATAGCCACTCAACCAGCTCCTCCTTATCCCAGTTCCTGGATGGTTTCCCCATAGTGTCCTGGGGGCCAGTGAGGGCCTTTCCACCCAGCCCAGCCCAGCCCAGCCAAGTGATGTCGCCCTGCTTGCCCTCCATGAGGAAGGGTTTCCTCTGGCAGAGGGAGTGTGGAACAGAGCCTGAGGGCAGGCACCGCCCAGCATCTTTAGGTCCGCCCAGCAGGCAGCTGTGCCCAGCTTCACTGGGCCTGTTGGGGGAGGTCTAGCAGAAGCCCCACAGTGGGGCCTAGACCCCGTCTCAGAGGTGGGAGGCATGCTGGCTGTGTGCTCAGAGGCCTCCGTTTGGTTTGTCACTGCAAAGTTTGGTCTGCAGAAGAAAGTCAGAGAAATCAGAAGCTGTGCGCCACCTCTAGTCCATGATCCCAAGGGCGGGGACCCTGTCCCCTCCCGCCCCTGTTGGAGAGGAGACCCAAGATTTCTAGCATGAGGGAGACAAGGCCTGATGGAGGAGAAAGCCAGGGAAGGTGAGCAAGGGGTGACTCTGCCAGCAATGGCATTCCGGGGGAGCATCCCAAGCTCCCTGGGCAGCCTGTGCGCTCATCTTGCCAAGGTGACGGTGCTGTCCCCACTGGATTAATCAGGCCCAGGGTAGTGGACGGTCCTTCTTTGATGCTCTCATGGAGAGTGAAATAGGTTGCCTGGACACAGGCGCTGTTCTGCCCAGCGGGCACAAAGGGCCCTCAGAGTTGGGGAGGAGTTTGGCTGAGGTGGGATTTTGACTGAGAGACCCCCTTTGCTCATTTCCTCAGCAGCTGCTAACATTTATTGTTACCTGTTTCATTCCAGATGCTCCAGCCAGTGAGAACACCAAGGCCCCAGAGATGAAATCCCGGAGGCCCAAGAGCTCTCTTCCTCCCGTGCTAGGAACTGAGAGTGAGTACTCGCCCAGCTTCACCAGGCAGAGGCAGAGGCAGGGGCAGGCACCCCGGGGACTGAGGGCAGCCTCAGAGCCCCCACTTTCTGGTCACTCACTCTTGCCTGAATCCCTGGAAGTCTGATGTCTGCCCACACCCTGAAGTGCCCAGTGAACTCCCAATAACAGAGCCAGTGGCCTTTTCTCACCCCATCCCAGTGCTCTCTCCAGCCTGTCTCCAGCCTGGGTGGTGTTGCACATCTCATCTGAGCTCCTATCTACCTCCCCTGCCCAACCTCCTTCATGCCCTTTCACTTCCCACCAAGACTCTAGGAGAGCTCCTCCTAATTTCTCCCCAGTTGATCCTGCCCTCCCAGGGGCTCTTTCTGGATTGTAACTCTGATCTCATCACTCCTGGTTGAAATATGCAGTGGCCCCCAGAGCCTGCAAAACCCACAAGCAAAGCTCCACATGTTAGTGCCGAGGACATACCTAGCTCGCATGTGCACACGTGGTCCCACATGTGGCCTGCCCCCCGCCTGTCTTTCCCGGTGCTGCCCCCAGCTCCTTTACTTCTATTTTATACTCAGGCCAAACTGAGCTCTTCACTGCACACTACACAGCCCCCAAGTTCCTTCCTTCATGCCTTCTCTGGCACCTCTCTCCATGGGACACCTTTCTGCCAAACTCCTCTGAAAAGTCTCTCATCCCTGAGTTCTTCCTCACCTCAGCTCCCACAGTGTCAGCACCTGGCTCCTCCACTACCTCCTTCCCAATGTCACGGAGATGTGTCTGGGTCTCATCCTCCCTCCTCCATTGTACAGGGTCTGTTCAAGCAATTACCTTTCAGAATGACACATGCTGCGCCTTGCTCGTGGAAGGCCCTTCCCAGTTTCTCTTAGAGTCAAATCGCAGTGTGGTATAAAAAGCCAAGAGAGAAAGGAGCCTCTCCGTGACCATAGGCAGCTACCTCCCTCTTTTTGGATCTCAGCTTCCCCGTAGCCCACACATCCATTAGGCACCATGCGTAGGGTCCACAGTGCTTTTACAGGCCTGCCAAATGCTGTAATATCTTATAAAATTAGAAGAAAAAAGGGAACTCTTAAGTCAAAGAAAAGGTTTTAATTCATGACATGAATATATTCATCTTTATACCCATGCAGTTAAAAGTGTAGTTTACATAATTCAAATATAATACTTGATATGTAATTAAATCTATTTACTTTTTTTTGGTGGAGGAGGGGGCTATAAAGGCAGAAGTGCCTCAGAAGTCACAATGTCACCCTGGCTTCCCTTATAATTTTTAATCTAACTTTGACAGCAGAACTACCCTTTGAAAACTACAATTTCAACAGAGGGTGCAGAGTTGCTTGAACATCCCCAGCACATGCTGTGTTTTAAAACAAACAAACAAAAAACAAGATGAGCTCCTAATTGCCCGTACTGATAGGGGAAAATAATTGAGCCGGGTTAACTCAGACTACAATCTTTTTCCATTACAATGCAGTGTTTTGTGACTTTATTTTATTCTTACCTTCCTAATGATGAACTTGGGTTCCTCAAACATACCCCAGCCAGGCTGTTGGGGGAACTCAGCCTTCAGTATGTTGGGGCAGAGAAATTGGAATTAATTTCTCATTGATACTTAACCAAGGTAGATAGCCTGAGAATATCAAGAATGGACATTTAATAAGTTGTTGGAAATGCATACATAATACCAAGAAAAATCTGGTGAGAATGGGTTAATAATTTTATCTTCCAAAAATATTCCTTGGACCTGTGCTATACTTGGTATGGAAAACCGTGAGCAGAAGAGATAGAGAATGTAGGAAGGGCACCAGGGGCTGTGAATTGGGGCTATGGCATGGCTGTCCCCGACTCCTGGGTGCAGAAGCTACAGGGCAGGTATTGATCTGGTGGGCAGCCTCCAGCCCTCAGCTCCAGCACACCCACTCCAGTGAGCCCCTGAGGAGGTGAGATGGGGTCAGAGCCGAGCTGTGGAGGAGGAAAACAAGCTTGAGATGATGAGCAGAGCAGGAGCTGGGCTCTCTGCCCTGAGAACAGAAGGCTGTGGAAACCCCATGCAAGCTGTCACTGTCCGAGTCTGGAGCAGCAGCTCGCACCCCTGGCTGTGTGTTATATTCACCTGGGGAGCATTTAAACCACTGCCGCACAGGCTTCCCCTGCCCCCAGACCAATTACATCAGAATCTCAGGGGTGGGTGCCAGGCCTCAGTATTTGTTCAAGCTCCAGGTCACGTCATGTGCAGTCAAGCTGGAAACCAGCTGTTCCAGGGAGAAACCTGGTGCCCACACTGTGGGTCTTGAGAAGCAGAAGGGGGTCTCCCCTGCTGCCTCTGTTAAGTGTGGAACTGCCTCGGGGACCCTCACATCAACATCCTTAGGGTATCATGTTGCCCAGAGAGCCGAACAAGGCACCTTGTGGTGGAGAAGCTGGAAGCAGGGAATGAAGCTCAGTCTGAGTTAGTGGGGGAGCAGCAGGCTAGTAGCAAGTGCTTCATCTTTACAGAAAACACACATTCATGACTGGATTAACTCCAGTAGACCCCACTTGGATTTCACTCTGTGTGCAGAGCCCCCATGTTGGAATTTCAGACATCTTGCTCCTGAAAGAATGGGAGTGTGTGTCTCTACACACTCCAAAGTC
This sequence comes from Homo sapiens, assembly GCF_000001405.40. Taxonomy (NCBI): domain Eukaryota; kingdom Metazoa; phylum Chordata; class Mammalia; order Primates; family Hominidae; genus Homo; species Homo sapiens. The sequence goes on along the minus strand of NC_000003.12, from coordinate 123,679,576 downwards.
ATGGCCACTTTGTACCCTTTTGCTGGCCCACCCTCCAATCTCTGTTACTCCAAACCTGCTACCCCAACACTGAGAGCGGTGCCAGGCTGGCTCTAGCTGCCCTCCACCTGCTTGCACCCCTGCACTCTTGTCCTTCAGAAGCCTGTACCCTGGGGGCCTGAGAGATACCCTGGGATTTGTTTCTGGAGCCTCCTGAGAAGCTCCTGAGAAGGCAGCTGCCCAGAGATGGGAAGTGAAGGAGATGTCTTGTTTTGTTTTTTTTTTTTTTTTTGAGACAGAGTCTCGCTCTGTCACCAGGCTGGAGTGCAGTGGCGCGATCTCCGCTCACTACAACCTCCGCCTCCTGGTTTCAAGCGATTCTCCTGCCTCAGCCTGCCTAGTAGCTGGGACTACAGCTGCGCACCACCACGCCCAACTAATTTTTGTATTTTTAGTAGAGATGGGGTTTCGCCATGTGGGCCAGGATGGTCTCGATCTCTTGACCTCGTGATCCGCCCGCCTCAGCCTCCCAAAGTGCTGGGATTACAGGCGTGAGCCACCGCGCCCGGCCGAAGATGTCTTTTAGATTTGCACCCATTCTTTTCTCCCTTTGGAGGATAATTGTTAGTTTATTGATTATATACATTATATATGCACACATTCTTATTTAACCATTTTAAACAATATAGAAATATACTATGTACAACATGAAAGTCCTCTTTCATCTCACCCCAATTCTACTCACGCCCCAAAAATACTCAGTGACTTTTTTCTATGCATTTTTATATACAGGCACAAGTACATCAATTGGATTTTTGTCCCACAGAGATGGAATTGCACAGTCTGTATACCTCTGCAACTTGCCTTTTTTTCTTAGCTTTGCCATCCCCAGTCCCAGACACCTCTGATTCCATGAGTGATCTGGCTGTGTGTGTGTGTGTGTTTGTGTGTGTGTTCCTCTGTGTCAAGGGCTGAGAAGTACCTAGTCTAAGAGGGAAATCCATCTTTCCTGAGGTGAGCCTGAGTGATTTTTTCATCAAATAGATCATGACCAGTTCCCTCTTCTGCACACCCCCCTCCCTGCTGAGCACTGACAAGCATGAGGGAAAAGCCAAGGGCATCCACCCCAACCCAAGCAAGGACGGGGTGAGAGAAAGCGGACAGAAGTACAAGTTAACCGGCCAGACACTGACTCACAAGTGCAGGAGGGAGGTGGGAGCAGCTTGGGAAGATTTCGGGATGAGGAAAACGGGGTCAGGTTATGGAGGAGGAGAGGAATGTGGTTTATGTGGTTTGGCTGGAGAGAAAATGATAACATCAGTTGGGGAGAAGGCAGACAGGGAGGAGCCACACAGATGCTGGAGTGAAGATTGTGAGGGCACCTGTCTCAGGACAGCTGCAGGCTGAACAAAATCAGAGTCTACCGAGTGCCTGTGCACTGGGAGCACCTTAGGAGCTCGATCTATGTCACTTCAGCCGAGTCTCACTCAACTGCGCTATAAATAGCTGTTCCCATTTTAGGGATGAACAAAACAGAGCCTCAGAGAACTAAACTGCCCTGTCCAGGGTCTCACAGCTAGTAAGATGTGGAACTGTGGTGCCAACCCTGACCTGCATTCTGGCCACTACACCCTGGCCTGGCTGCAGTCTCAGGATGTACTCTGTGTGTGTGTGTGTGTATATATATATATATATATATATATATATATATATTCATTTATTTATTCATTTAGATAGAGATAGGTACCTACCATTTTAGGCCAAATTGGAGATATCATGCCCTTGAATTCTAACTATGCTGTTGTCCTAAGAACATAACTACAATGCAATTATTGAAATCAAAATCAAAGAGTAAATTTGACATTGAACCAATACTGTTGTCTAATTGATTCATAGTCTACATTTATTGTCAATTGTTCTAATAATGTTCTTTGTGGCTATCTTTTTCTCCTGTTGATGAATATTTAATAATAACACTCCTAAAACACTTCGTGCACTCCTCCAGCCCAGAGTGGGTCCTCTCCTCCCTTTGGAGATGGAACAGGAAAGAAGTTCACAGGCCCAGGGGAGAAACACCCCACACTCTTCCACCTAAGCTGAGTAGGGCATGGGGAGACAGAAATACTCCTGTCGGACTCCAGGTGCCAACTTACTATGATCAGTTCTGGGGCAGCACTCAGGCACAAGACACAGCAAGAAAGCCAATGAGCAGGAGACGAAGGTCTTGGTTCTCCCAGTAGTTAAATATGTGGCCTTGGTCAAAGCCCTTCATTCCTCTGGACTTGGGCTTCCTTGCCAGTCAGATGGGGAGTTTCTCCAGCTGACCTCAGGCCTTTCCCAACTCTGACATCAGCATCAGCCCGTTGGATGGAAAGCTTTTGAGTGACACAGTTCAGTTGAGATTAATAACTCTCCTTCATATCATCTGAAGTGTGAAGGAGTCCAAAGCTACAGCAAGTATAGTTTAGGTCACACAGCAGCAAAAGTGTCCTGAGGGAAAGAGGCCTTAAGCATACAGGTTTAGGGGAGTCCCAGCTGGAGGGGGCCCAAATGGCCAGGGGAGTTCTTGGGAATTTTGCGTGAGGGGAGACAAGCATGCTGGCTGTGTAAAGGAGGCATTGATGGGGCTTAAGAAGTGGCCTTAGGAAATGCACATGAGGTGATGCCAGTTTGATACCAGACTCTGGGAGTTCCTCCTAGCAGTCTATATAAGCTGATGGTCTTTCAGAAGAGATATAAACGGACATCCATGTGGGGCTTTTACACCTTGAAGACAGAAACCAGGTCCTGTCCATCTCCAAAACTTCATTAGCTGGTCTCTCAGTAGGTTTATAATAAATATTTGATTTTTCAAACCAGTTCATAAGTTCCCATGCTCCAAGGGTCCCTGCCTCCACTGTGGTTCTGCCACTGGGGATGATGCCAATGGAACATCCCTTTGCAGTCCATGCCTGGCCTTGGCCTGAGCTTCACCTCTGACATCAGTCACTTTGGAACATCCCAGATTATGAGACTCTCAGATATCTTTGCCTAGACCTCCCATATGTGTCTGCCTCTAAAATGGAAAGTTGTGTCAATTTGAAAGCATCTCTGGATATTAAAAACTGTCCCTTTTCCATGCAAGATTTCCCCAGGATCAAATCTTTTTTTTAAACATTCCTCCTCAGGTCATGAGGAATGTTCAATCCTGATGGGATTCAAAAGGCTGGAAGAGAGGTTGGGATTTGGCATCAAGACTTGCCTGACAGTGAAAGATGTGGGGCCCTGGGAGAGAGGCTGGGCTATTTCCATGAATGTTTCTGAAAGCTGGCACCAACTCCCAGTTACTCCCAACCAAAATGTGGGTCTGGGAGGAGGAATAGTGCCTACCTGGCACACTCCCACCCACAGGCATGTGACCCTATGACTTCCACCCACTACTCCTCCCAACTCACCCAGTGTCTCCCATAAGCCAGTGAACTGGCCAGAGGGGAGACCTGGAAGGTACCCACCAAGCAATGCTGGCACCCCTGGCCCAGCACACCTCTTTCACAACCATCCTGATGCTCTGTGTCCTGGGGGTTTGGGAATGGATGTAATCAGAGGAGCAGTGTTTCTTTGCAATCTCCTTATGTGACAGCCCTTGCTTTGAGGAAGGTGAGCAAGAAATTTGCCCAGAGATGTTAATTCTGGGAAAATGACCAATATTCCTCCACGTATCTGTAAGCATGTACTGGATGAGACCAGCGTATACAGTAGGGGAGTGGGTCAGGTCACCCAGGGCCAGTGTGGTAGGACTCAGCCTTCCATCCTCAGGTACCCCCACCTCCTTCCTGCTCCGATACAGCCTCATGGGGTGGGTGCTCACTCCATGCTCAACCCAGCTGGAGTCCTTTTCAGGAGCCTTTGGCAGAAAGTTCATGCTGATTTTGGGAATTTTGAAGGATTTGATGTCTATTTTTAACTACCTACCTAAAAAGGGAAATGTCCCCAGAGAGGCAGACATCCAGGGACCTCCCTGTACCCAAGGCTGGTAAGGCTAGTTCCCTAATTCTCCTTTGCTTTCCATTATCTCAGACCTTTTGACTCCGTGAGACCCACCTTCAGGCTCTGCACCTATCTTGCAAATGTTTACTCTGGTCTCTCTGCCCTGCTGATTTTCCATGTTTCAGAGCGAGGCATTCAGGTGCCTTCAGACTGAGCATCTGGAAACTTCTGTGGGTTACTGACCTCCTTTTTTTTCCCCAGGACTAGGTTAGGGCTTGGGTCAGCTGGAACAGATTACCTGAACAATTAGGAGGCTGGCCTCCCCACCCCTGCCCCAGGTTTCCCAGGAGGCTTCCAGATCCAATGCTTTGATTCATGTTTTTATTGGGCTATTTCACTTCCTCTAATATCAATCTCCTATCTAGAGTGGAAGGCTCAGCACCTGGCAGCTTTGATCCCAGAGGGGACAGCAGAGACTGATCCTTTTCATAGAAAGTTATATAAAAATTCAAGCCCCAGGGCTATATTTCTCAGCATCAGTGCCCAGGGCTGGGGGAGAATGTTCCTTGGGAATTCCCGGGTTAACAGAAATCCTTGAGGGTTTCACTCATTCCTTTAATGGCCATTTATCAGGCATGTGCCAGGTACTATGCTAGGCACTGCAGATACAGAAGGTAGACCCTATCCTTGTCCCCAGAAGCTTGCCGTGGTGTGTCCATGTTGGGGACAGGTTTCTGAAATAGCGGTGCCTGATGAATGCTGTGATGGAGCTACCTCAGAGGGCCATGAACCCCGTGGGGCATTAGTGGTGCATGAGCTGGGGCGACCTGCCCAAAGAATATGCAAGAGCCATCCAAGAGAAGAGGGCCCAGCATGTGCAAAGGAGCGAAGGCAAGAGCCTGGTGTTGCAGAAACTGAAAGACATTCCATGTAGATTACAGAGCAGTACTTCCCAAAGGAAGGTGCAGGGACCAGCAGCAGTAGCAGCACCAGCACCTGGAAGCCAAGAATCTATGTTTTTATTAAGTCTTCCAGGCAATCATAATGTAGGCTAAATTTTGAGAACCACTGATATTGAGTATTGAGGTTGTGATGAAAGTTGTTCCCTCTTGGGAAAGCAAGCAAGAAAGTTGGGGATGAAAGCCAGGGACAGAGCTCAAAGACCTCGTAAGATGAGTTGAATTTGATCCTGAGTGGCAATGGGCAGCCACTGAACAGGTTCAGGCAGTGAAGTGACATCATATTTGCATTTGAGAAAGATCACTTTGGCCACAGAGTGACAAATGTGACGGGGGACAGGGGACCAGAAGCCTAGGAGGTGATGCAGTTGGGACTACAATGCTGATGGTGGGAAGGTAGAAATTGGCAGACTGAGGAGGTACTTAGTTGGTGTAGACAACAGGCATTTGTCAGTGGATATGGGCAGGGAGGGGGCCTTGGGAGAAATGGGGACAGGGAGCAGGTTTGGGGAAAAGGTCTTGGATTTGGTTTTGCACGTTTGGCTGGCAGTACGTGTTTGGCATCTCCCTGGGAGATGATGGTCAGGTAGTTGGATGTATTGGTATGGGCTCAGGAGAGAGGTCTGGCTTCAGGGGAAATGGAGGAAAGAGAATAGGGGATAGAAAGAGGAGCTCAAAGGGCAGCGATGAGCACAGTACCCCGGGGCAGTGCTCTACCAGGAAGGATGTGCTGCCTGGGCTGACTGCCTAAAGGAGGTGGCTGAGCCCCTCTTCAGAGGAGCAGCCTGAGTAGGGCGTGCTCTGCCCTCCCTGCCTGTCCCATGGCCAGCAGCCATCATGGAGTTTGCAAAGGTGGATGGGTTTTATTTTCCTTCTAGGATGTTCCTCTCTGACTGGCTGGTACACAAAGTTTAGGGTGTCAGAGAAGAGGATGAGAGACACAGGGCTGACAGGAATAATAAGATAATAAGAGTGACTCCAGAGGAGAGGAAACTAGTTAGTGAGCCAGGGAGTACTGTGAGTTTGTTTGGGCATCTGGACCTGCAGAATGTCCCCTCTTCTGAGGACCTGGACTGGGGAGAAGAAGCACAGGTGCCACATGAGAGCTCTCAGGTTAGTGTAAGGCTGAACTGACCAACAGGGTACCACATAGATGAAAGGGCCAAACTTGTCCCAAAGGACAGAGAAGTCCTCTGGGGATCTGTTTGTTTCAGAGAGCGGGGGAGTGGGGGGAGGGGCTGATGTTAGAACATGCACTGAGGCTGAGCATGGTGGCTCACGTCTGTAATCCCAGCACTTTGGGAGGCCAAAGTGGGAGCTCACTTGAGCTCAGGAGTTTGAGACCAGCCTGCGCAACATAGTGAGTCTCTACAAAAAATTAGCTGAGTGGGTGCTGAGATGAGGATCACTTTAGCCCAGCAGGTCGAGGCTACAGTGAGCTGTGATCATGCCACTGTACTCATCTTGGATGACACAGCAAGGCCTTGTGTCAAAAAAAAAAAAAAAAAAAAGAAAAGAAAAAAAGAACATGCTGCACTATATGCTATACTTCCCTTACAATGTAGCTTAACTCTTTACAACAAATTTTATTTATTCCATACCCTGGGTGGCAGGAGGCTCAGATCCCATTTCCAGCTCCAGAACATCAGGTTTTATGAACCTAGCAAGTCACCAGACTTTTATGAGATGCCATCTCCTTTTTCATAAAATGGAAACATTATGATACTCCCTGCTGTGTTTGATTGGGATGAGAACCAAGTGAAATGCTCCCTCTGAGAAACCGGGTTTTAGAACCAGGTGCTTTCCCCTATAAGCCCAGCACACAATTAGTGGATTTCAGCAGATGGTCATATAAAATATGTATAGAATAGGATATAAAACATTGTTAACGCTTAAATTGTTTTTACTGATAGGAACCAAGCCAGTTTCAAATGCTAACCAATTCAAACAATGGTAGCTCCAAATTTACAGAACAAACATAAAAATTTGACCTTCAATCCTATTTAACCATGACACTGAAAGATTAGTTAGGGCTTCTCTTCCAGTCAAATGGGTTTACCCAGAGCCACCAAGTATGGGGCAGGACTTTGGAGTCCCCTGATTTCATGCTGTGCTCCTAGCTCATCACCCCAGGGATTGTCAGCCTCCTTCTCACACCTGGTGCCCACCCCACTGGTGCCCACCCCACTAATGATGCCCATCCACAGCTATATTAGTCTTCTAGGGCTGACTTAACAAAGTACGGCAGACTGGGTAGCTTAACCACAGAAATTGATTCTCACAGCTCTGGAGGCTAGAAGTCCAAGATCGAGGTTTCTGCTTGAAAATGGCAGTCTTTCCCCTGTGTCCTCACATGTTCTTTTCTCTGTGTGTGCATTTGTCTGGTCTCTCTCGCTCTCCTCCCTCCTTCTCCCTTCCTCCCTCTTTCTCTCTCGCTCCTTTCTCTCTCTCTCTCTCTCTCTCTCCTCCCCCTGCCCCTGTCTCTCTTCTTCCTAATCTCTTCTTATAAGGACACCAAATTGGACTATGGCCCACCCTAATGGCCTCGTTTTAATTTAATTACCTCTTTGAAGGCCCTATTTCTAAATACGGTCACATTCTGAGGTACCAAGGGTTAGAGCTTCAACATGTGAATTTGGGGAGACACAGTTCAGCCCATGACAACAGCCCTCCACGTAGCTCCTCTGAACAGATGGCCTCCTCTCTCCAGAGATCATATCTGGGCTCCGGTAGAAGCCCTCTCTTCTTCCCTGGAGAGCTTCTCTCTTCCCAACAGTCCTGGACAAAGAGGGGCAGGGCCTTTGTGGCTCAGCCAGTCACAGGCGTCCCATATCCCATCTGGTCTCCCCCACCAAAGGATTTGGCTCCCCGTGCTCTTCCCTCTAGTGTCTTTGGGCTCTCTCTCTCCACTGTGCCCTAGCCATTGCCTTCCACCTTGTCATCTTCTCTCTTCTCTCACCTCAGAAGAAACCTGAGCTTCATATTCCCTCTTGTTTCCTTGCTTCTCTTTGTCCTTTCACCTCCAGGATCCTTGACTATTTTACTCCCCACTGTTTGCTCAAGAATCTCCTCTGGGGTGACTTTGGACCATGCTGTCCCATGGAACCTGGCCTCTCCAGCATCACCGTCTCTCACTCCATGCTGGGCACACCTGGTGCTCTTCCCAGCATCTGTCCTCTACCCTTGCTTGTGGCGACACTCCTCCTGCTCTCAGGGTCCTTCCACAGCCCTCTCCTGTGTCTCGGCTTCTTTACTGTGGACACACCTGGGATCAAACCCTGGCCTCCGCCCCTCTTTCATTGCATTCTCTTTCCCCAAAGAATTGACCCATCTTCAAGGTTTCCATTCTAATGGCTTCTTTAATTCTGGAATCTTTCACTTCCAGTCTCCACAAACTTCCCTCTGGAATTCTGATCCTGGGCTTCTAACCTACAAACAGATTCAAGCTGAAATATTAATCTTGTACTCCTAATTCTATATTCCTTCAATATGACTTTCCACGTGTATCTATGCAAGAAATCTCAAAGTAATCTGTGTACCTCCTTCTTGTTTAGCCCCTTAAATTATTTTAACTTTCCTCTGCCTCTCATTTGCATCTTCTTTTCTGCATGGATCTTGATCAGTGCCTTCCAAGGTATGGCAATAGCCTCCTAATTGGATCTGTCCCGCAAGAGCTGGAAAGACCTATCAGGGACCTCTAGCCCAGCCTGACTGCTGTTTGAGTGAGGACATGCTGTTCAATCAGGACAAAGCCTTAGCTCGTGAGCTTAGCATTTGAGGCCAGCACTGTCTAACAGAACCCTCTGTGATGAAAGAAATGTCCTACGTCAACACAATGTGATAGCTACTAACCACCTATGGCTATTGAGAACCTGAAATGTGACTAGTGCAACCAAGGAATCAAATTTTTAATTTTCTTTCTTTTTTTTCTGAGATAAGGTCTCTCTCTGTCACCCAGGCTGGAGTGTAGTGGCAAAATCATAGCTACTGTAACCTCGAACTCCTGGGCTCAAGCAATCCCTCCCAAGTAACTGAGACTACAGACAGGCACCACCATACCTGGCTGTTTTTATTATTTTTTACAGAGACAGGGTCTTGCCGTGTTGCCCAGGTTAGTCTCGAACTCCTGGCCTCAAGTGATCTTGCCACCTCTGCCTCCCAAAGCGCTGGGATTACAGGCTGAGCCACTATGCCTCACCTTAATTTTATTTAATTTAGAGTGCCCACTATCCTCATACCACTGCTGTCCAATATCAGCCCTGTGCTCTGCCAGCCTCCACCAAACATCACCCTGATTCTCACCTCTGAGCCACTGTCTATTCCTGACCTGTGGGTTCTCCTCTTTCTCCAGTTCAGACCTTCCCTAGCCTTCAGGTCCATCTTACATCCTGTCTTTTAGCCTTCTAACTAACCATCTCCTCCACCAACAGTGTTCCTTTTCCATTCAAACAGCCACATCACGTTGACTGAATAACATCTTTTTTTATAACTTTCTATTTAACTTTTATCTTGAAATAATTTGAGACTCACAGAAAAAATTGTAAAAATAGCATGAAAAATTATTGTATATACCCTTCATCTAGATTCCTCAAAGGTTAACATTTTACTATGTTTGCTTTTTTTTTTTTTTTTTTTTTTGAGATGGAGTCTCGCTCTGTCACCCAGGCTGGAGTGCGGTGGCACGATCTCAGCTCATTGCAGCCTCTACCTCCTGGGTTCATGCAATTCTTCTGCCTCAGCCGCCTGAGTAGCTGGGATTACAGGCGCACACCACCACACCTGGCTAATTTTTCTATTTTTCGTAGAGATGGGGTTTTGCCATGTTGGTCAGGCTGGTCTCAAACTTCCGACTTCTGGTGATCCACCCGCCTCAGCCTCCCAAAGTGCTGGGATTACAGGTGTGAGCCAATGCACCTGGCCTTGCTTTTTCATATATTCTTTCTCTCCCTCTCTTTTTCCATTTCTCTGTTCCTTCTACTTCTCCACACATATATACATGTATATATACACACACATATATATGTATATACCATGAACAGTTTGAAAGTTGCACACAGGATACCCTCTACACCTAAATACTTCAGTGTGTATTTCCTAAAAACAAGAACAATCTCTTATAAAGCCACAGTTTGATGATCAAAACATGAAATTAACACTAATCCAATACTATCCTCTAATTTATTGACCTTATTCAGATGTTGCCAGTTATCCTATAAATGTCCTTTATGGCAAAAGAAAAAAAAAAAAAAGCCTTTCCTCTTTCCTGTGGACCACGTCTTGATATTTAAGACCTTGAGGCCTGATTTCTTACATTGTTTGGTTTCCTCCTCAGTACCCAGGTTAGTCGTGTGTACTGACTAGCATTTGCCTGGCACACAGTAGGCCCTGAGTAACTTTTTGGAGATGGACGGATGGATCAATGATGACAATGAGCCAGAGGGAACCTGGTGGAAGCCCTCATCCTGGGCTTAACCACACAGCCGGCAGCCATCAGCTCGGTGATCTCAGTGTGCCCCTGCCAGGGATCACTGCCTCACGCAGTCCTCCTGGGGCATTCACTGGGCAGCAGCACGTGTCCTGTCGTGGAAATGCACAAGTTCCACAAGTTACTAATTTGCCTGTGGTCACAGGGCAACCCATATCCAAGCCAATGACACCGCTTCCCCTTCATCTGCAGAGGTGAAGTTATCTGGATGAATAATTGTTAATATTAGCCCACTCATTCATTCAACAAATCGTTATTGTGTGCCAGGCCCATTGATATACAGCAGTGAACCAAAAAAGTCCCTGGCCTCAAAAAGCTCACAGTTTAGGAGGAGGAGAAGGGCAGACAGTAAATAAATAAGTGAAGATATAGTTTTTCACATGGTGATAAGTGCTATGGGGTGGGAGGACCATAAAGCGAGATGAGAAGGATGAGGGGTGCTGGGGGCAGGGCTGCTGTTTGTATGGGGTGGTTAGGGAAGATCTCACTGGTGAAGTGGCTTTTCCTCATTTTTTATGTTAAGGTATAATTTCCCTGCAGTGAACTTCACCCTCTTTGGTGCACAGTTCCGTGAGTCTTGATAAATTAATGTCATCATGGACTCCCAGCATGGTCAAGATCTGGTTCTGTCACCACAGAACATTTCCCTGTGCCCCTTTGCAGCCCACCCCTCCCCCACCCTACCTCTGGCAACCATTCATTAATCTGTTCTCCATTCCTATAGTTCTGCCTTTTCTAGAATGTCGTATAAATGGAATCATACAGTATGTGACCTTTTGAATTTGGCTTCTCTGAGCAGAAGAAAAAGAGAAATCATTGAGATTCATCCATGTTCTGTGTATCAGTAGTTTCTTCCTTTTTATTGGTGGCATCAAAGTGCCACAGTTCATCCATTTGGATACCTTCTAGTTTTTGGCAATTATGAATAAGGCCACTGCAAATATTCGCATACAGATATTTGTGTGCCTGTAGGTTTTCATTTTATTTGGATAGATAGGTTAGATGGCTTTTGAGCAAAGACCTGGAAGGGATTTGAAACAAGCCGTGAAGACAGCTCAAGATGTTTTCGCACGTGCACTATATTGTGATTTAGCCAAGTGAATAGGTTTGTGCTGCATGACTGTTCTGTTTGAGTCATTTTTCTCATTTGAGTTATTTGGAGGAAGTAAGAGTAAGAAGGGAGGAGACCATTTATTCATTCATCCATTCATCCATCCAACAAACTTTAAAAAAATGAAAGCCACCAGTCAACAGTCTGTGACCCAAAGGAAGCTTGCGACCCTTGGATCCACACCAAAGGCTAATTTTAGTTGGTTTATCTGACATGACATAATTTCCTTTCTGAGTTTCCTGAAAGTTAGGGTGAGAGAGTGGTTAATGAGTGTGGCATTATCGTCTTCGAAAAGGGCTATGGGAGCACGAGCATTTTAGAGAGTTTTTAATCTCATTGGAGGCTTCAGAGACCCTTTCATAGGTCCCTGAGAACTGATATTCTTTTTTGTCTGTGAGGTTGTCTGTGTGAAAGGGCAAAGTGATCTCTCAAAAGACATATTCATTTACTTTCTTTTTTCTTTTTTTTTTTTTGAGACAGAGTCTCACTCTGTCACCCAGGCTGGAGTGCAGTGGTGCAATCTCTGCTCACTGCAGCCTCCACCTCCCAGGTTAAAGCGATTCTCCTGCCTCAGCTTCCTGGGTAGCTGGGATTACAGGTGCACACCACCATGCCCAGCTAATTTTTTTGTATTTTTAGTAGAGATGGGGTTTCACCACGCTGGCCAGGCTGGTCTCAAACTCCTGACCTCTAGTGGTCCACCTGCCTCGGCCTCCCAAAGTGCTGAGATTACAGGTGTGAGCCACCGTGCTCAGCCTGAAAAGACATGTTCAAATAAGAGTCCTCCCTGGATGAGGGGCCAGTGGACAAGACTGCATCTTCCTAGGATCAGGAGCTTTGTGAAAAAAACAGAACTACAGGAAATAACTTGTGAACTTCTTTGTTTCAGGTGATGCGACTGTGAAAAAGAAACCTGCCCCCAAGACACCTCCGAAGGCAGGTAATTGGCCACGGCACTATCTGGGGTCAAAGAAGTCATCTACCATGGGGGTTTTGCCTTTACCTTGCTAGACTGACACCTGGGTATGTGATCCCAGGAGACACCCCACTGCAACCCCACCCCCACCCTCAGTTCCAGCTCTGCATTTTTCAGGCTGAGTTTGCTCATGGAGAGCCTCTGCACAGCCTGGCTCCTGGTCCCCTTCCACAGCTTTGTCTTTCCATCTGCCTCCCATGTTGACAGCATCATACAGGACTAGCAGCTCTCCTGCCTGCCCCTTCTACGAATTCTGCCCTGCTGTCCATCCTCTGCCCTACCCTTGTGTACATGACCCTCTTGGGGCTATTTTTGTGCCCAGCTCTGTGTGTCCTTGTTATATGGAACCCTTGTCTGTTTTCCATTGGATGACACTTGAGGACTTGAATCAAGCCTGCCAGCCAGGGTGACCTGGAGTTTAGAAGGCAAGGTGATGCTTAATTCATAAGTGAGTTAGGACCTCAATTCAAAAAATTAGGGTAAGTCACAAATTCCAGTACAACCCATAAATGGAGAATCATGCCATGTAAGTAGTGTGGGTCACTTCTGAGGGAATCAGAAAGAAGAGGTGAACAAACCTAGCAGGTCCATGAACTTGGATGTCCTGCAGCAGGATCACTGCCCCTCAGTCTTACCCTGAAGGTTCCGGAAGCCAAGAGAGAAGCCAACAGACCACTGTGGACAATGGCGTCGAATGTGATCAGAATGCCTGAGACCCTTCTGCCTCGCTCACTTTCTCCCTGTCCTCCCTCAGCAATGCCCCCTCAGATCATCCAGTTCCCTGAGGACCAGAAGGTACGCGCAGGAGAGTCAGTGGAGCTGTTTGGCAAAGTGACAGGCACTCAGCCCATCACCTGTACCTGGATGAAGTTCCGAAAGCAGGTCAGTGACGGTATGGGGTGGGCACTGGGGGTGCTGGGAATAATCCGTACAGCCTTTGGACCGAAAGGGATGAGAAATGCCGTGCTGGAGATGGCCTCACTCTTCGTAGCTTTAGAAATGGGAGAGGCCACTCCCCTACCCATCGCTCACCTGCCAAACCTGAGTTCTTGTTAACCTTTGCTTCTGAATCTACCAATAATCCCCGCCTTTGTAGACAATTTGTGTAATAGAAGTGTGAGGGGAAAAGTAGAAACCATCCATGTCCCTCATCTGGTTTGATAGCACAGTCTAGAATCCTATTCAGAGTCAGGAAAGTCGAGCCTGTGACCCAAGATGACCCTTAGACTCCATGAGCTTGCTGTGATTCTGTGCCAGCCCACTGATTCCTGTCTGTTATAACCACTTAAACTTGCCACATGCTGAAGGGACAAAAGCAAATGTGAGTATTTGGATAGAAGAATTGTATGATAAATAGAATTGTGTCTGACTGACCCAGAAATCTAGCTACAATTTATCATAATGGTTCCTATGGAACAATGTTTGAATTTCTAGACAACCAGCATTGAAAGGACTTGGGGAGCCCAGCAGCTCCACCAATCCACGGTGGTAGTGTGTGCCTGTATGCATGATCAGCAGAGACCCTGGAATGATGGGTTGGCACAGGAGTGGGAAGTTGTGAAGATTTATTCTGAGCCCTCTGTTACTCTGTTTTAAAATCACTCAAATTCTCCTAGCCCCAGAGATGAACACTTAGTACTAACAGGGAGGAAAGTAGGGTTGGTCTCAAAAGATGGAAATGAGAAGTTTGCCTTTAGCATCCCAGAGCATGTTTGCCCTGAGCGACATCTGGACTACTGTTGTCTGAAATAAGATGGAATCTCATCACTTTTCAGAGACATTTAGCCAAGTCCCAGCTCTGTCCTTCAGAACTTTCTGCCCTGATGAAAGTGTTATCTCTGTGCTATCCAATATGGCAGCCACCAGCCATATACATGGGGCTATTGAGCACTTGAAATGTGGCTAGTGCAACTGAGGAACTGAATATTTAATTTTAATTAATTAAAAATTGTTATAGCAGCTTTGTTAAGATATAATTCATATGCCATAAAATTCACCCTCTTGAAGTGTACACTTCAGTGGTTTTCAGTAGATTCACAAGGTTGTGCAAGCATCACCATTATCTAATTCTAGAATACTTTCATCATCCCAGTAAGAAACCCCAGACCCATTAGCAGACATTCCTCTCCTTCCCCCAGGCCCTGACAACCACTCATCTACTCTCAGTATTTATGGATTTGCATATTCTGGACATTTCATATCAATGGAATCATACAGTATGTCATTCTCTCTGTGTAGCTTTCTCTTTTTTTGACTTAGCATACTCTTTTCAGGGCTCATTCTTATTGTAACATGAATCAGTACTTCATTCCTTTCAATGAATTAATAATAAATATTCCATTGTCAGGATAGACCATATTTTGTTTATTTGTTCATCAGTTGATGGACATCTGGGTTGTTTCCACTTAACTAATTAAAATTTAAATAGCCACATGTGACTAGTGGCTACAGCATTGGACAGCACAGAAGAGGCTAGAACCCACTGGAGTGGATCTTGTGAATGACTTTGCTGAGATGTGTTCTCCTATCATCCCATTCCAGAGAGGTAGAGGGAGACCAGGATATTTCTGGGAGCAGTGAGTGCTCAGCTAGTTCATCCATCCATCCTGCCCCTGCTCCACACCCTCCCTGCCCACCCCAGACCTGGCACCCTCAGGGAAGCTGGACTCTGGATGTAGGAGAGAAGGGGCCTCAGGGAGAAGGGCAGAGTCCAGACCAGACTGAGCCCCCCCACAGCTTGTCCAGCTGCATCCTTCAGGAAGTAGGGAATGGGGAGGAGCCCCCTTCCTTTCCTAGCCCAGGGGCCCAAGGCTCCAGCACCTGCTCCATCCTCCGCCCCTAGATCCAGGAAAGCGAGCACATGAAGGTGGAGAACAGCGAGAATGGCAGCAAGCTCACCATCCTGGCCGCGCGCCAGGAGCACTGCGGCTGCTACACACTGCTGGTGGAGAACAAGCTGGGCAGCAGGCAGGCCCAGGTCAACCTCACTGTCGTGGGTGAGTCTGGTGGCTGGGTGGCATGGAGCTTGGGGCAAGGGGAAGGCAGGGAGCCCCCAGGCAAGATACGTGGGCCTCAGGACTTCATCACCCATTATCTCTCACCACTCCTGTGCCTGATTTATAAGGCACCACAGAAAGAAGATCACGGCAACCCACAGACTCCCTGCTAGACCCTGCTGACCTCCAGGCTCAGCAGAGGGGCCAAGGCTGGGCAGAAATCCTTTTCCCTGTCTCTATCAACACCTCTCTGTGATAGCTGTTCCTGGAGTTCCCCGCCCTCAGGCCTTGGCATCTAGCTTATTTGAGAAATAAGAGACATGAGGCATAAACTTGGTCAACTTCTTGGCCCCTACGCCACAGGTGTCTGTATCTGTCCCCATCCTGACTCCACCCTCCAGGCTCTGGGGATGGCCCACCTTGGTCCCACCAAAGGCTGCTCCCTTCTCCTGTGCTCTGGACCCCAGGTCCTTGGGGGCTCCACCATCCCTACTTCTCTCTTCAACCTCTTCCTCTCTCCTGGCTCCTCCCAGCAGCCCGTAAGTGTCGCCATCTTAGCCAGATGCACAGGCATTAATAACTCCTGCAATGTTCTCTCTCACTCTAGCCACCCTACCTTCTCTCTCTGACAGGGGTGAGTCTCTACTGCACTTCCGCTTCTTCACCCCCCAGCACCCTCCAGCTGCCTATGGCCTCACCCCCACGCCCCATTAGTCTGCAGGGACTGTTCTTCTGAGGTCACCATGACCTCCCAATCCTGACTCCACTCGATTTTCCTTACCTTCATACCAGGATTTCCTTCATCCCAGGATTGAGTGGGGTCTGTCTCCAGACTGATTCTCAAGTTCACTTTTCCTCTCCTCCCTTAACACTGTCTTCGTGCCCTGGTCAGCTCTCTCCTGGAGCATCAAGAGAGTTTTCTAACCAGTCTCCCGCTGTTGTCATGTTCTGCTCCAGTTGTTCCCCGTGTGGCAGGTGCTTGGGACAGCAGAAGAATGAGCAGGCAGAGGAGCAGACAGAGAGAGAGAGTAGACTCTATGCCTCATGCATTTGTGGGCCTTCATATGTTGTGCATGTGAAAGCCTTTGACCTGGCATTTATTGATATGTGCACGAGACCCGAGCGGGTTTTCCATTTGTCCTTGGCTTTCAAGCTTATAGGGTACATTTGTGAAAATTAGAAAAAGGGGCCTTGCTGGGCAGAGTGAAAAGGGTACAGCACCCCCAGCCTCACCCCAGAACTCATGACCTGGCCTTGGGGAGGACAGGTTGGCCCAGATGCCCCCACTAGACCCCTTTTATGCAGTGCACAAAACTCTCAGCTGTGTGTGCTGATCCCAACCTTAACTTCCTGCAAACTAGCCTTTCCTGTGTGTTCCTGGTGCACACACACGTGGGCACACAGAACAAAAGGATCTGTTGGTAACAGGGCTTGTGTGGCTACCGTGGTTAGAAGTCTTCCACTGGAATCTCTCTTATGGAAGTATCTAGATATGAAGTTAGAAGTTGTAGACATTGACTCTTAAGGTCTCTTGTAGCTCTGACATTCTATGATTCCCCAACTCTATTCTCTGACATTCTGATTCCTCGACTCTATTCTCTGACATTCTATGGTTCCTCACCTCTGTTCTCTGGTGGTCTGTGATTCCTTGACTTTGTTCTCTGACATTCTGTGATTCCCTGACTTAGTTCTCAAGCAGTTTTTCTCCCCTATCTTCATCTCGTATCATCACCTTAGGACTAGGATGGACAGGACTGATGTTTCCAGCCTTATGCAGGAGAAACTGAGGCCTAATCTGAACAAAGTAACATAGTGCATCAGAGGCTAAGTGGGAACTAGCTCTAAACTTTCAAACACTTGTCCTCCAGTGCCACTCATGGGAGTGTGAAGTAGGTACAGAATGTCCCAAAAGGTAAAGGAACACTCTGGCTGCAAAACTCATCTTGAGGGGAGACATGCAAGCCTTTTGGGGAGCTGTCCACATGCCAGAGAGTTGTTGATGTCTGTGCCTCCATTTTTCTCATGCTGAGCCTTAGGAAGCCCTGTAGCACTTCCCTTCAGCCCCTAAGCAGCTGGGGAAGAAGAAGTCCTTGTCCAACCAGGTGAATAAGGAAGACACGAGGATAAAGGTCAAAGTAATACAGAGCTGGGAAGACAAATGAGGTGGCCAGTGAGCTATGCCCATGCCAGCTACCAGAACAGACCACAGGTTCCACACCCTGGCCCGACTCCCCAGAGAGGAAGTACTGCAAAGCCCCCTGGAAGATTGTCCCTGGACACAGGGGACCCGGGAGAGGGAATTCACAGAGGACTGAGCTCCAGCATCCACTCCCCACCCCCAGTTGTCCATATTTCTGTTTACCTTCTCTCTTGCTCTGTTCCTCTCCCTGGCCTTGTTTCTTTACCCTGTGTTCTGTTTCAGCCATTTCTCAGTGTCCGTCACCCTGTCCCATGTCCCCTCTTTTCCCTTTGTCTTCCTTCCTCTGACCCTGTTCTTTTGTTTCTTTTGGTTAGAAGTTTCAGATCGGGGAAGACTGGTGTACAAAGGGGTCAGGGAATGGGTTTTTCATTTCTAAAGGAGAAGAACAACCCTTTTCTCACTCTGTCTCTTTTTGGTGACTCCAGGTGTTTATTTGAATAATTTCCTCCCAAGGAGTCAGGAACCTGTGGAGGCTTGGTGCTAGTGATCCACTTTACTGGTACATTTAGATCTGTTCTGAAGCACTGATTTGGCCCTGTACTCCCGTCCTATCAGCAAGCATCAGTTTAAACTTTTCTTTGATGTTCTCTCTCATCTGCTCCTCCTTAAGCAACTTTGGGGTCAGCTTCTTTGAACTGCTTTTCTACAGAAAAGCTCTCCCTCCCCCCAGCCCCCACGATGCCCAGCTCCTGCGCAGTGCCACGCACTCCCCTCCTCCGATCACCACTACGCGGGCTGCAGTTCTGGCCTTTTATGGTTTAGTTTCTTATTCTCTGCAGCCAGTGCTGACAGGGCCATTGGCGTGGCTGTCTGCCAGCTGGCAGGAGCAGCATGTTAAATGCCGTCCTGGGAGGGGAATGGAATGGAGGAGAACCGAGGCTTTCTGTCTGCCTCCCCCTCAAAGAACTAAGAATAGAATTGCTCAATAAAATAGGACTCACATTGATGGATACAGCAAAGCCACATTCATTCAGAGCCTGTACACTTAGAATTAGTTCAAAGTAAACCTGGATGAAGCTCAGATTTACCTGTGCATCTTCAGGGACATCTCTGTATTCCCTGATCAGGGTTTATTAAGCAGATGTAAAATGTACATGAGGTAAAACAGGAATCACTTGGTCTGCTCCGGACAGTTTTCATGCATTTACAGACCAGCTAAATAAGGCCAGTTTAATACAACTCCTCCTTGTTAGCAGCAAACTTCTCTTATTGTATATTCTTTAAAGGGCCACTTTCTTTTCAGATCCTCTCTGGCTCCTATTTTTCAAACAATAATAAAAACTAGCCTTTCCCTCTGTTAGCTTAAATGAGTGATATTTAGCTATTTTGGAGACTTATTATTATTATATTTTAAAAGGCAGCCCAGGAATTTGCAATGCTCAGAGCCTCTTCCTGCACATGCGCCCCTGGTCTTGGCCTGTGGGGAATAAGGGAGGGGACAGTGAGCAGCATACCCAGATGGATTCCTTAAGGTCACTCACCCAGCACGAGAAAAGCAGGTCTCTTTTCATATCTTTAAAGGAGAAAAACAAAGTAGAGAGAACCCCAAATACCCAATAATCCCCAAATACTAACTGAGTTTGGAGCTTGCATGATTTCCCATCTTAATGCTCAGCTCAGGCTTAAGCAAGATGCCTTCTTGAGCTCATTCTGCCTGATAGCCTGGAAAGTCTTGAGCCCTGGAGCGAGGGTCCAGAGGCTTTTTGGAATCTCCTTTTGGCTCTGCCACTGACTACTGGGTTTTCTTGATAAGCAAAATGCCTTAGCTGCTGAGGACCCATTTCCCAAGGGCTAGGATTATCCAGGTAGATGACATGTGGGGGCCCTTCCAGCAGCTGCTGAAGTCCCAGGGAAGGGACATCCAGGTGGGGCTAGGCATAGCCACTGGTCATCTTCAAATAAGCGAGGACCAAGAGACCTCAAGAGCAGTTACTCTAGTGGGAAGCTGTAGGACAGGATCCTCCATTTTCCTGGAAATTAGAACATTTGCTGAGGAGAAAATCCTGGAGCTGGTGCCACTGGAGACTCTTGTCTTAGACTGAGCTGAGTTTCCTATTCTGTTAGTCAAGCCTCCAGGGAGCCCTGGGAGAATTCAGAGGAAATGTGGAGTCTCCTTTGCCCAGAGATGCCCAGGGTCTCCCTCCCAGTCTGAGTGTGTCGCCGTGGAGGACAAGCTCACAGGAGCTCCCTGTTCTAAGGACATCTGTTCTTTTCTGAGAGTTTTCATCCCTTTACTAGTTCAGCCACTGCATGGGGCTCATAGCTTAGAAAGAACAGAAAGCATTAGGTGCAGCCCACAGCTCTAAAGGCAGGTGGAGGAGTGGGAGGCCTCCAATCTCCTAGGACTTCTGACTTGGGTCTTTTCTGAACTCCTTAATTTGGTAGCAAATTCCTTAAAAATGTTGGAGTTTTACTTGGAATTAAAGTCCCTCGCCCCAAATTTTGCATCTTCTCTTGTGTGACAAGTCTTACGTATCACATATGTCATGTATAGGTTCTCATTTTCAGCCAAGAGACATGTGTAACAGGGTAGGGTACAAATGGCACCTCTTCTGCAACACCCATTTCTCAGTTTTCTTTTCTTGACCAAAGCAGAAGGAAGATCAGTTGGCAGAGTGCATTCGTTTATAAGCCCACACAACTCCAACTGTGGCCAATCACATGGTCTCCAGGCAGTCTTCTCTGGGAGGAATAGTGGGTCTGTCTTCCATCCCTCTTCAGGTTTTTTTACTTCCTTAGCTGGGTCTTGAGAGGACTTGAACCACTTGTCTTTAAGAGAGTTTAGAGTAATAAACATCTTAGCCAAAACCAGAAATGTTTCAAAAAAGGCCAATATATCTCTCAGAACAAACAGTTTTTCTAAGAGAACATATTAAACAGCCAGTGAAAGTGCTTCCATCACAGGAGGCCTCTGGCATGACTGCCAGCACTGGGAAGTGGCTCTGTCACAATCCCAGAATCATTCCCAGGGCTTTGGTTATTGGGGTAGACAGTTTCTGGGCAGTGCATTCTGGGCTGGAATGTGGATCGGCAGGGCTGGGAGAGGGGACAAGAATGAATATGAGTATGAGTATATATACTCATATACACATGTATATACATGCAGATTTTTCTTCTCCATATACACAGGGTCATTTGCAGCCATTGCCTTTGGCCTTCCTGCCTTGCTGGAGGTGGGAGAGTAGCGGTCAAGTACTTTATCTATGTTTGCTTACTTGATGCTTGCAAAAACCCTAAGAGGTAGGAACATATTAGCACCATTCTCTGAATGAGAAAGCCAGGCAAACAAACCAGTTTCAAATTTGCTGGGGTTGACATAGCTTAAAAGCATGGTTTCAATTGCTAGTTTGTGAGGCTTCATGAAATCAAACAGCATTGGGGGAGATGAAGGGTTAATGAACACAACACAGATATCTGTAACTAACCAACCATCTGCAAAAACTAAATCTGAAAAATAGGAGAGTTTTGCTCAGATAAGCAACTAATAAAATCAGCAAAACTCAAGAGCCTCATTAAAGTATTGGCTACCATGATTTGACTTGAAGTTGGCAGTACTGCTAGTTCTGAGGCCAGGTCATCTGAATGAGAAGGCAGCCAGCCAAAAGGGCCACTTCTTATTTGTGTCCTCAGCTCATTTTCTGTCCATTAGTCAGGGATGGCTGTGATTTGCTATTGTGGTTTGCTTTTGAAATTATTTATATCTCAACAGCCCTCTGAGAATAAAAGAGGTAGGGTAGGAGTAATTTTTAAGTATATAAAGTTAGAAATAAACTCCTACAATAATCTTGATAGTAATGACTAGTCAAGCCAGCCACTCTTCTAAGAATTTCTTACAACCACCTGTGATACAAGTGCTGTTGTTATTCACATTTTACAGATGAGGAAACTGAGGCTCAGGGCAATTAACAGCTACTGTGTGGGGACAGATCTGTGTTCAAACTTGAATCTGTCTGACTTCAGAGCACAAACACTGTGCTATACCACCCCTTGGTGGGGCAGGCATTTCTCAAGACCCAGAGAAAGTGGAGGCAGACCCCTAGTTATGTCACAGGTCATTGGCCAAGGGCCTGAAGGACAGACACACACACTCATGCTGAACTCTCTCTCTCAAAACATGTTTTCGATAGGAAATAGTCCACGCCTTCTGGGCAGCTTCCTAGATCTGTTTACTCTGACAAATATGTTTATGACTTGGGCAAAGTACAGGAAATCGTGACTTGCATGTAGACTGGAAAACTAGCAAAAAAAAGCGAGGGGGCCTTTTTTGGAGCAAATAATTATACATGGGGCTTTCCGTACAGGTGGGTTTGTACATAGCTCTAACTGTGATGTGCGGATGAGGGAAAGAGACGCAGGACCAGGGACTTTGGATTGGGTTCTCTAGGCTGCCTTCCCCCCATGACACAGGTAATTCAAAAACTTCCTTTGCCTGCAATTCTGGAAAGTGTGGGTGATGTTGTGCTTCTTTATCCCCAGATAAGCCAGACCCCCCAGCTGGCACACCTTGTGCCTCTGACATTCGGAGCTCCTCACTGACCCTGTCCTGGTATGGCTCCTCATATGATGGGGGCAGTGCTGTACAGTCCTACAGCATCGAGATCTGGGACTCAGCCAACAAGACGTGGAAGGAACTAGCCACATGCCGCAGCACCTCTTTCAACGTCCAGGACCTGCTGCCTGACCACGAATATAAGTTCCGTGTACGTGCAATCAACGTGTATGGAACCAGTGAGCCAAGCCAGGAGTCTGAACTCACAACGGTAGGAGAGAAACCTGAAGGTAGGCTGCCATCACTTCATCAGTGGCTTGAAACAAATGTGCGTGACTGACCTTGTGTATGTAAAGACTGTACTGAAAGGGGTGAAAAGGAACTGAGGAAACATTAATGATGACTGGCAGGGTCTTTTGGGGTCTTGGTTTCCAAGACAGTGATGTTGAGCCATTCTTCAAAAAAAGTATTAATACTTAGGACATTTCAAAAAACATTGAACCAGCAATTTTGGCATGCTGCCACCAGGGGGTGATGGTATGTTACTCAGGAGCATAGGAGTTCAAGCGGCCTCATGTTCCTCTTCCACCCTCCACCCCTTCTCTTCTCCTCTTGTATCCATATTTGAGTGTCTACTTGGTGTCAGATTCTTGGAACACAAAGATAAGACATGGAGCTTAAAATCTAGAGGAAGAGAGGTGTGTATGGCTAACTATAATGAGAAGGGATGCATCCTATTATAGCTGGGTAAAAAAAGAACCAAGGGGACATAACAAAATGCATGGAGCATTTTTCCATGGAGACCAAGGAAGGCTTTCTGGAGAAGGTGACACTTAGTCTGAGTCTTGGAAAAAGGGATAGGATTCTAAAAGGCAGGGAAGATAAGGAAAGGCACTCTACAAGAGGAAACAGCATGAGCAAAGGTTACAAAGCCATGGCAGTGTGTGACATTTTCAGATGCTCGTGTGTGGCCAAGGCATATGTTGTGTGAGACAGAACAGGAGGAAGTAAGACTAAAAGGGCATTTTAGGTAAAGTTGTGAAGTTCATCAAAGATTCTCAGGCAGGGGATCGAGACGATTAGAGCTGGTTTTCAGAGAACTAGGGAAAAAGCAGGGATTTGCTATTCACAGTGCAGTTGTGGACCAGCAGCCTTGGCATCCTGGGAGCTTCTTAGCAAGCAGACTCCCCCAGGCCCTTCTGGGCCTTGACTGAAAATGATCCACTCCTTGGGGATTCAGATGCACACGAACATTTGAGAAGCACTGGAGTGGTGGGTGGGTCAGAGGAGATGAGACTGCAGTCAGCCATATCAGATGGGCCTCTGGGATGACAGTCCAGGGGAGGGATGGAAAGGGCACGAACTTCAAGCCTCAGGAGGTAGAAGTGACCATACTTGATGACTTTTTGCATAGTGAGTTGAGGAAGAGAACTGGAAGATTCTAAGATGACTTACAGTTCCTGGCTGGGGTAACTGAACACAAATTCAAGAGCCAGCTAGAGGTTTATTGTTATAATTCACCATGGCTAACATGTATTGAGCACTTACTCTAAGCTTACGATGTGTTAATCACTTTATATGCATCATTTCATCCAATCCCAATAGCCCAATGAAGCAGATACTGTTATTACCCTCATTTTACAGATAGGAGAAATGAGATTTAGAGGGGAGAAGCTACTTGCCCAAAGTCACAGAGCTTGTAATTGGTGAACTGATGCTTGAACTCAGAGCTGTCTGGCCTGAAGCTTGTGCTCCTTTGGTTAGACTGAGGGAAGAGGTCAGGCTGTCTTCCAGGTTCCTGACTTGAGTAACTTGGAGGTTACATAACAGTCTGGGAGGAGAGGGGAGCTGCGGTTTCAGCCCTGCTGAGTTGAGGCATCTAAGGGCTAGCCGAGGGAAGGTATCCTAAGACTGTTGGGTCTAGAGCCCAGGAGAAAGGTTTAAGCTAGTGTGGCAGGCTTGGAAGTCTTCACTATTTAATTAATAATTGCAACCATGGGCATTGATAAGGTTACAGAGAGTGTGGTAGAGAAAGTCAATACCAACACCATAAAGAAGGAACTTGCAGTACCAGGAGAAAGGACTGAGAGGGGAGAGAACCAAGAGGAGGCTGGAGTCTCAAAGAAACAGGGGAGGGAGAAGGTGCAAAGAGGGCTTCATAAACTGCATCCAATGCTAAATAAAAATGAAGGAGATGAGGACTCAGAGGGTCTTTGGATTTAGTCCTTTGGTTGGTAGTGATCTTTGTGATCCAAGTCTGTAGAGTTTCCACTGAGTGAAAAGATGGTTGCCCTGGTTAAGGAATAAATGGAAGAAAGAGAGGCCAGAAGCATGGAATATTATTTCAAGAAGTTTTATGTGAAGAACAGGAAAAGGACATTGTAAATTTAGGATAAGAGGCCGGGCGTGGTGGCTCACACCTGTAATCCCAGCAATTTGGGAGGCTGAAGCGGGTGGATCGCCTGAGCTCAGGAGTTCAAGAGTAGCCTGGGCAACATGGCAAAACCCCATCTCTACTAAAAGTACAAAAAATTAGCTGGGCATGGTGGCATGCGCCTGTGGTCCCAGCTACTCAGGAGGTTGAGGCAGGAGGATCGCTTGAACCCAGGAGGCAGAGGTTGTAGTGAGCCAAGATTGCACCACTGAACTCCAGCCTGGGTGACACAGTGAGACTCCGTCTCAAAAAAAAAAAAAAAAAAAAAGAATTAAAGAATATAGGATAAGAAAAAGTTGGGGGTTAGGAGAAGGTGGAGGGACATCAAGGGAAGAGAGCTCTTGGAGACAGGAGAATGTAGAGTTGTGAGGCAGATGGTAGAAGACTCAAGTATCAAAGGAGACTGAGCTCCACATGCAGAATGTCACTTGAAAACCAAAACTGATCAGTAGGTGAGAATGTATTTGACTTCTTCTAATTACAAGGAATTAGAAATCAAGTGAGGCAAATAGTGAACCTGAGCAAAGCTCAGAAAGCGAGAAAGCGAGCAGGCCTGGCATCACCAGGGAGCTAGAGCCATCGTGAGTATGGAAACTGTCATCTGATTCAATGACCCTGTTTAGTTTTGAAAAAAAAATTGAAAATTAGGTACAAAATAGGTATTAAAATTTTACTTTCAATTAAACAAGGGCTCCAGAAAGAAAGAAAGTTAGGGTACCAATGGGAAACATACCAACTTTACAATTTTATGCTAGCAGCTGTGTGTCAGGCGGCCTTTACCCGTTGAGCCATGTCAATATGCATAGAGCAGGTCTCCTTGAGAGCTATGGTGCAAGTCACGGAGACGTGATGCCTGCTCCTGGGACAGCTTTCGCAGGGATCCCAACCACTAGCCACTCCCAAATGTCTGTCAGGGGACACTGAGTAACAAAACTGCCATCACTGTCTTCTTACACACACACACACACACACACACACACACACACACACACACAACATCCCTCTGAAATGAGCAGAGTGGGGGCTGCATAGAGTGTGGGTCCCAGGGGGGCAATCAAGTTCCAGTCTGTGGTGTTAGGATGTTACTTGGAAAAGTGACAGGAAAAGGAGTAAGATTGCAGTGTGAAGATGTTCATTGGCTGGAAAGGAAATCATCCAGGTCTGTGCTATGGTGTAAAGAGGGAGAGACTGGAGAATCCCCGACTAACCCCAGGCAGCAGGACCAGAGGCCACGGGAGCTACAAGGTGTGGCCCCCAGGGGTCTAGGACAGCTGCTCCCAGGGCTGTGTGGAGACTCTGCCAGGAGGAAGAGCTGTGACTGCCTGTCTGGGGCAAGTGGCCTCTCCCTTGTTCCCTGCCATCAGCCCGCTGAACCCTCTCTGGGCCTTCAGACTCCCCTCCCCTGCTGCCACCCCTCCCAGCTGGGAATAGACAAAGGGCAATGTTGAAATCACTTGAAATCCAGAGGAGGAGTCCAGTCCACCCAGGGCTTCCAGACAGGAAGCTACTCCCCAGCTGAGGCTGGCTGGATTACCAAGGGGGAGGAGGAAGAGGGCAGAACAGTTGGCAAGTGTTAGGCCTCAGGGCAGAGGACTCTGGTTGAGGGGATTCCAGGCAAAAGTCCTCCACGGTCTGCTCAGATGCTTGTTAGTTATAAAGCTTCATAGGCCATCCCTCTGCTGAAGAGGGAAATGGCTCTCAGGGAAGTGGCGTGTGTGTTCACGCACGTGTGTGTGTGTGTGTTGGCAGAGAGGTGGGATCAAGTGACAGGTCATTGTAGGTCATTTCTGTGGAGCAGATGGGGTGGGATCATATTAAAAAGGCAGTGCTGATTAACCCACACTCCATGAAGCCCGGCTAATGTTGGCTCTGACCTTCACCACTACCACCACAGCCACTGCCACTCCTGCCTCTCGCTCTTCTACTTCATTCTCATGCCTCATTTGCATCCCTGTTGGTACCCTAGCCCTCATCCCACATCCACTCACCATGTGTTCTGTGCCCCTCCTGTGTTCTAGGCACTGCCATGGGCACTGGGGATACACTGGGGGACAAAGCATGGGTTCCCCGTGGAGCTCCAGTGGCTTCTCTATGCCAGAGCCACTCCTAAGACTAGGGTCCCTGAACTGACAATGTACTCCCAAACCCAAGTGCACAGAGCCAGAACCTTACCACAGCCCCGCTCCCTCCCAGCCCAGCCAGGTCTTGAACTGTACTCCTCCTCAAATCCTGCTGTCACTCAAATCCACTCCATCCCTGCTCCTTACCCTAATTTGTTCTAGTCTGTATAATTGTTAGCAAAACAGCTACTGTGACTGAGGCTTCTTGCAGAACTGGAGCCTCCTTGCAACCCCCAGGACAGTTCGAGATATAAAGCCTGTACCGCTCCCATCCCAGGCTGCAGCTACGCCCTGGCCTCAGAGGCCGTCTCCGGGGCGGGGGTGCCCTCTAGTGTTCTCTGGGTGTGCAACAGTCCTTGGCTGCAGGAAGGGACAATTCTCTGTCCAGGGGACTGACTGGACTTGTGCCATGTGAGGGTCCTGAGCACTCAGCTGATCCTCTCCCAAACACTCCAGGGTAACGAGACTCTCATCTGTTTGCAGAAATATCTCAGAACCATCTTCCAAATAGCCTTCCACTTAGCTCATGGATCTCATAGCTCATTCTGAACAGATTTTTTTTTTTTTTAAGTTCAGTGGAAGACCCTTCCCTAGTGGAAAGATGGAAACCAGTTCACCTTTCTCAACAACCCTTTATGCACCAAGAGCTCTGCTAATTGAACTGTGGTCTTTCCTCTACTTCTCTCTCACTCCTCCCCTTGTGGTCAAATAGAAGAGAGGCAGGACAAGAAGGGAAAAGCAGAAGGGGATGTAGCAGCCTGGAATCTTTCTCTTTTTTAAAGAGATCGGGTCTCACTCTGTTGCACAGGCTGGATTTGAACTCCTAGACGCAAGCATTCCTCCCGCCTCAGCCTCCCGAATAGCTGGGACTACAGGCACTTGCCACTGCTCCCTGCTTAGTCCGGACTCTTGATCCGAGTTTCCTGCAGCATAAAGGAACACAGTGCACTAGAAAGAGGGGCTGGAATTCCTTGAGAATGATCTAGGTCCTTCCCCCAGAGCATTAGCATGAGAATCAGATCTGCCACAGACCTCTGGGGTGAGAGGCGAAGGTGAGGCATGGATGTGGGCTCATGAGTGAGGCCAGAGGCTGGCCCTGTGGCTGTCTACCTGGACTCACAGTGACAGGCAGGGGCCAGCTCTAGGACTGGATGCCCCCTTCAAGGCACGCAGGGAAAGCCTCCTGCTGCCGGGCCATTGGCAAGACTGCTTCTCCTGACACCAGGCCAGGAAAGCTGCCCTCTCCTTTCCCTCTCACTCTGCTGCTTGGAATACACTGGTCTCCATGCCACGCCGGGAAAATGTGGCACAGGAACAAGAAATAAAGGATGACTCAACTGGTGAACCACTATATCAGGCAGCAGCACCACAGGTCAAGACAGGGGCCTCCCTGACAGTAAATAGGATGATTCTGTGTCGAAGACCTAGTCCAGTGACTGGTCCACCTGGTGTCCCATCACTCATTGACTCCAATATTGTTGCTTCTCTTAAAACCCTGTTTATAATATCATCACTGAACTAACCTAAATGTCTATTGAACATACTTATTATTCTAGTGGTACTTCTCATGTGTGAGTTCCATATCCCTCCAGCCTTCCTCCTACGTGAGGTAGAACACTAAATGGTTCCCCCAAGATGCAGTAGTCATGAGTTGATGAAAAGTCTGAAACTCTCATCTCATCCTTGGCGATTGTGTGATTCTCTTTAAAGTCATGTCCATTTTAGACTTCTTTCCCAACCTCAGAGGCCTCACCTTTTCTGATTAAGACATAGCCCTTCCCTTCAGTGGTCTTGCTTGCCACCTCCAGCTCCATTGTGGCTTTTGGACTGCCGACAGCCAGAGCTCCAGGGCAGGCACCCAGGGCGCTCTCAACAGCTACCCAGTACTCACCCCTGTTTGGGGCCCATGCACACTTTGCCCTGTGACAGCATCTGACAGCCCAAGCAGTAGATTGAGGAGCTGCTGTTTCTGTCTTGGGTATTAACTATGGACTTTAGGGTTCACCACCCTAAAAGGTAGAATGATCAGATTCTCCTGAACACTAACTCCATTCCTGGCTTCTAGTTGCATTGCTCTCAGGTCATCCTTTCCACCTGTGAATTGGACAATGCCACTCTTAACTCTCCAACATGTGGATTTAGGAATATTGACCAGTTAGGCCCACATCCCGACAGTAACCGTGAAACCCACCTCTGATACTTCAGCTAGACTATCTGGGTGTCCCTGTCTATCTCATCCTTTTTTATTTTTCCATGGCAGCTTCCTTTCTGTGATAAAATATACTTTCCAATCCCATTCATGTTTAGTTTTAGTCTTTTTTTAAAAAAACTAAGCTTTGTCAGCAGCATTTTAAGAACTCTAAACACACTCACACTCACACTCACACCGGTACACCCGCACTCACACTCATATGCCCACTCTCTCTCACACACACACACATACACACACACTCACACTTTAAAAATCCTTTTCCTCCCTCTATGCTTTCTCTCCTGTCTTTGTTTTGCTTCCTTGGGAAACCTCCCATTCATTGTCCAGCTGTCAGCCAGGACGCAGCCCAGACGATGGCTGAGGAACACACAGCACATGACGAAGCGTGGCATCCAGAGCTAGCCAGGGCCAGAGACATCAGGTGCAACCCTTCCTCTTACAGATGGGGAAACCAAGGCCCAGGAAGGGAAAGGCAATCAGCCAAGGTCAGGAAGCCAGAGTGGCTCGATTGTCAACAAACAAACCTGTATCGAGGCAAAGGAAGGCCTGGAGCTCTGAAGTGGGCGTGCTGTGCTGGATGCCCCCCTGTTCCGGGGAACCCCTCCTGTTCCCCGGACCCTGTTCACTCCTGACACGGCCATGGGAGCAGCTGGCATGACTGTGTCCCTCCCTGCCCTGCCTCACAAATACCTATTGGTTTCATTTGTGTGACATCACTCACGCCTTCATTGTATTCCATCATTTCCTGTAAGACGCAACTCAAAGGCTATTTCTTCTAAGAATAATTGCTCTCACTTACAATTGCACCATTTTGTGTCACCCTCCTCTGTTGTGTATTCACTTTGAACCATGGTGATATGTGCGTGATTATGGTACACTTTGTAAATTGTTACTTCAAGTATATATGTTTTTGCCTCTTGAACTAAATTATAAGCTATAAGAAAGGAGAGACCATGCCTTCTGTGTAATATGTTTTGAATGCCCACAATAACTGGCATTCAAGATGCTTGGTCCAGTGCTGGGATGCCGTCAACAATGTTCAATGAATGGCTACATGGATTTGACACTAGAAGCAGTTATAAGTTGCTGACTTTTGAGCCAGGGCAGAAAGAGACTGTCACAGTTGTGTGTAGGTTCTGAAAGTCAGAAAGGGTTGGATGAGATGTGGAGAAGGGTATATCTGGGGACCATGAGGCTAGAGAGGATGGGACAGAGGGGAGACCTGGTGGAGAAGTGGAGCTGAGTGGAGGGAGGAGGCTGGCACCTGCCAGTCTGCACTGGGCCCTATTTGCTATATGGACTGACCAGCCCCAGGGGATGCCCAGAGCTCTGGACCTGGTAGTCGTCTGCCTGGGGAGGCTGAGGCCTGGCAGGGCCCCCAGCACATCTTGCTCTCAGTGGGCCTTCAGTACTAATCACCTGTGTCCTCTCTGTCCTTCCTTGTGCCCCCCCCAGAGCCGAAGGATGAAGTGGAGGTGTCAGATGATGGTGAGTGCAGCCCCTGTCTTCGGGTCAGGCTCTTGGGGTGGAGGGGGCTGAGTGGGGGCATCTGAGACTCACACCAACCCTGACCTGTGCCCCACAGATGAGAAGGAGCCCGAGGTTGATTACCGGACAGTGACAATCAATACTGAACAAAAAGTATCTGACTTCTACGACATTGAGGAGAGATTAGGATCGTAAGTGGAGTGGGAAGTTGCCTCTGGGCTCCCAGGGTGAGGGTGGTGCGGGTCTCACAGTTAGATTCAGTGCCTCAGCTTCCTGTTGCTCCCTGGGGCCTGCCTCCTCCCCAGACTGAGAGTCCTGCAGGATCCAAAGGACTGACCCACGAAAGCATCACTCACTCACCCAGGACTCTCTGCAGAGTTGCCCATGCGGTCCTACACTGCCCCAACTCTGCAAAGGCTGTGGGCAAGTCCTTCCTTTTCTGTGCCTCTGTTCAGAGCCCAGGACCAAAATGAGACACAGGGAGGGGAATAACACTCACTGGGGCCTGTCAGGGGAGAGCAGGGGGTGCGGGGAGCAGAACATTAGGGAGAAGAGCTAATGCATGCTGAGCTTAATACCTAGATGGTGGGGTGTTAGGTGCAGCAAACCACCATGGCACACGTTTACCTACGTAACGTACACATCCTGCACATGTACCCTGGAACTTAAAAACAATAAAATAAAATAATTTTTAAAATAAAATAAAATGAGAGGACTGGATCAGATTATCTTTGGCACCCCTTCCATTTGATCCACAGAAGTCAGTGTAGCCTGATCAGTGCTCACTGTAAAGCAATGCCTGCGTTAGTGCTCCATTAAACGCGCAGCAGTCATCAAGCTCCCTCATGAACTTGGCTCGCACTGCTTACTCTGGCTTCTCCCTAGGGCATGGAGGATAGAGTGGGCTCAGACCCCAACCCTGAGCCAAGCTGTTCATCTGCCCTTACGCTGTCCCTGGAGGAATAGAAGAGGTGGGAGAGAAAGGAGTGGGACTCCACTTGTATTTCCAGTGGTTTCTGGGAAATGAAGGAGTGATGCAAACTGGGTAACAGTGTCAGAAAGAAGTCAGTGCCATCACAGAGGAGCCCCACTCTCCCCTCTCTCAGCAGTAGGAAGCAGGACCCTGCCTGGGCCATCACCAGGGGGTCAGTGGTAGGGAGTGGAAGGAAGGAAGGCAACTGCTCAGTAATACTCTGCATTTGGGAAGGGCTGTCTCCACCCATCTTCATGGGTTCCACTGCAGGGAGGGGAAGAGATGCCATCAGCCAAAGTTGACAGTAGGCTTGTCAACATTAGAAATGTGCTTCAAAGGCCAGGTGTGGTGGCTCACGCTTGTAATCTCAGCACTTTGGGAGGCCGAGGTGGGAGGATTGCTTGAGGCCAGGAGTTCAAGACCAGCCTGGGCAACATAGCGAGACCCCATCTCTAAAAAAAAAAAAATGTTTAAAGATAAGAAAAAACAAATGTGCCTCATTGCTCTAGAGCAGGAGTCTGGGCCTTTCATAAAGGCTGATATCTTAGATTTTATGGGCGATATGCCTTTAGCTCTGCCACTGTAGCACAAAAGCTGCCATAGACAACATGCAAACAGCCAGGCAGGGCTGTGCTCCAGTAACACCTTACTTATAAAAGGAGGTGGGCCAGATCTGTCCCATGGGCCATAATTTGCCAACCCCAAGTTAGCGGAAAGCTTGGCTAAATGTGGCTTTTCTCTCCTCCCCCTTTCATTTGCAGTGGGAAATTTGGACAGGTCTTTCGACTTGTAGAAAAGAAAACTCGAAAAGTCTGGGCAGGGAAGTTCTTCAAGGCATATTCAGCAAAAGAGAAAGAGAATATCCGGCAGGAGATTAGCATCATGAACTGCCTCCACCACCCTAAGCTGGTCCAGTGTGTGGATGCCTTTGAAGAAAAGGCCAACATCGTCATGGTCCTGGAGATGTGAGTGGCCCACTGCCAGCAGCGTGGGCACCACAGGGAGCCCCCAAACGTGTCTCCCCTACTGCCCTACCCCAGCCACCTCTGCCCCAAGATGGAAAGCACTGCAGACAGGAGTGTGATATGTAAGATGCTCACCAGCCATACAGCCAGGCCTGACCAAACAGAACCGAAGGTCTGTGCACAGTGCTGGCCCTGAGCCTCTGAGCACCAGCCCAGCTGCAGCCTTGTGCTTATTTCCAAAACAAACCAGTAGATCTTTGAGGACCCTGGTGTCTTTCTCGCCCTCATCTCCCCATGAAAGGGCCAAAGCTATCCCTAGGCTCCTTGGTTTCATTTGGGGCATTCACACCTGAAGGTGGTTTAGGGGAGGGACAGGGCAGCTTCCTGACTTCCCTGTGAAAGATAAGGGGGCCCCTGGCTGGGGGCTTGAAATCCAGGATGGAAGCCTCTCTCTGGTCCTCAGTCCCATCCTGTGTCTCCACATGCCCCTGGTCTACTCTTGTTTGTACTCTTTGGACTTCTCACTCACTAAAGAGTGGTGCTTTCCCTATGGGGTTGTACAAAGGCAGGGGGATTATCAGATGACCTCCAGCCAAGCCTTTCGCAGAATTCATTGTTTCTTCTGCACCTGAATCCTCCACCTCCCTTACCTCTGAGCTGTTGGTGCATGCGTGTACACACGCACACACACACATGCACACACACACACATACAGTCAAGCATGCACACTGGCATCAGCAAGCCAGGCATCCCCCACAGCATCTGCATTCTTAACAGTTTCCTTTTTTATCTGAATTTTTAGAATATATGCTACAATCACCTCAAAAAATATTAGGAAATACACAGTGAAAAGTCTAATTTCCACCATTATTCCTGTCTATCCTTTCCTAAACACTACAACCATCACCAACACAAACAATTTTATTGGCTTTTATCTGTATCCTTCCAAAGTTTCTTTATGAAAATATAAGTGTATACAGACACACACACACATATATATATTCTTATTTTCTTGCCTTTTAACACAAAAAGTAACTTCTTATACTCACTGTCATATACTTTGCTTTTTTAGTTTGGTTTGTTTGTTGTTGTTGTTGTTTGAGACAGAGTCTCACTCTGTCGCCGAGGCTGGAGGGCAGTGGTGCCATCTCGGCTTATTGCAACCTCCGCCTCCCAGGTTCAAGCGATCCTCCCACCTCACCACAGGCTCACGCCACCTCACCCAGCTAATTTTTGTATTTTTGTACAGATAGGATTTCACCATGTTGCCCAGGCTGGTCTCGAACTCCTGGGCTCAAGCGATCCATCTGCCTCAGCCTCCCAAAGTGCTGGGATTACAGGCGTGAGCCACCGCACCCAACCTACTTTGCTTTTTCAGCAAATTGCTATGGGAGTTAGTCCCATCTCACTACCTAGTGAGCTTCCTCATTCTCACAGCTCTGTGGGGTTTTGTTGTATAGAAAATCACAATTCATTTAAGCAGCCTTCTTTTGATAGAGATTGAGTGGTTTCCAGCCTTTTGCTTTTACAAACAAGCATCGTTTGTAACCTTGTACACACATCTTTTCACTCATGCCTGTGAATATCTATAGGATAAACTCCCAGAAGTGAAGGAGAGCTGGGTTAAAGGGTATGCACATTTGAAATCTTTAGAGATATTGTGAAATTGCTTTCAACATCCTTGAAATGCTCATCCTGAACTTGGGGGGTCTCTGTCCTTTGGTGAG
This sequence comes from Homo sapiens, assembly GCF_000001405.40. Lineage (NCBI taxonomy): Eukaryota > Metazoa > Chordata > Mammalia > Primates > Hominidae > Homo > Homo sapiens. The sequence continues at coordinate 123,645,496 of NC_000003.12, read as the reverse complement.
GGCTCTGTTAGCATCTTGGAATTCTCTCCCAGGAAAGTTGAGTCCAGTAAGACATCCCCAAGCTGTAGATATGAGTGGAATATTAGTCTTTTCTCTCCCCTCATGCCATTAACATTCTGGCACACAAGTATTTCCTTTCCGTATGTGTTCCTTAGGAAAGGCAATAGTAGTTCCGAGTGTAGGCTTGAGTCAGATGAACCTTACTTCAAATCCCAGCTCTGCTTCTAACTTGTTATTTGACCTTGAGTAAGTTATTCTATTGTACCAATCCCTAGTTTTATTATCCATAAATGTAGATACGACACCCACCTCATGAACGCTGTGGGATTCAATGCAATAATGCATATAGGGCACAGTGCTCTATAATGGGGAGTTATTGTTAGTAGTATGATACATTGACTTTTTTTGTATCCTGGTTTTTTTCCACTTAAAAATACTTTTTGAGCATTTAACTTCCAACAAGGTGTTGTGGAACAAATCCTCCCTAGTATTCAGGAAGCCTGGCTTCAGTTTCTGCTACTATTGAGTCATGATTTTGCAATTGTCAAATCCTATCAGCACGAAGAAGTACTTGGATTAGAACAGTCAATCTCAAGATGCCCCTTTTGGTTATAAAATTCTACTATTTCATGGAACCATAAAAGACGCGGTGAAGAATTTCCATTCGTATCTTACAATCTACATTCAGCCCCAAATTCAAATGTTCCTCCCCATTTTCAGGAAATACGTAGCCCACATCTGTGACCTCATTCTTTACACCCTCACAATAGCCCCGTGGGCTGCATCTTTTCACATTTATTCTAGAACAGGTTGCTTAGTCCAGGCGGTGTGGGCATGTGAGGACATGTGGAGAAATGTCTTATCTTTAGAAGTTAAACCTTGAGCAAGTTGAGAGGGTGCAGGGAGGGCAGGAGTCACAGGGCCTGGGGAAGGCTAGGCAGCAGCACCAGTGGGCAGAATACCATACTTAGCTTGGAATTGGGAGTTGGCAAGCTGGATGGAAAAAGCAAAGAGAAAATGTAAGAAAGCTTCAGCTAGTCTGGCTTTCATCCCTCCACCCCATGCCTCCCCTGTGGACAGCAGCAGGTCTTCCATGCCCAGATACCAGAAAATTTGCCTGCACTTGGGACCTTGGCCAGGTCGCCAAGAGTAGGAACTTGGTAAGAACTCAGTCAACCAAAGAAGAAGGGAACAGGTTCATACTCCATCTATACATCCCTTCCAGCTTAAACACTCTAAGACTTGACCACTGAGAAGGGAAAGAATGATTTTCACCAGTGCAATGTGCTAACCTTGTTGGATGGAGAAACTGAGATTAAAAGAAGGATGATGCCTGGGGATAGAATAATGGAAATGTATTCCAGGGTCCCTGCCTTAAGTCCAGTTGCTTCAGATCTAGTGGGAAATAGTAATGAATGTGTCTTCATCCTTTCTGACTTCTGATTACTGGATGAGCCCCCACCATATAGTAGTTGGTCTGACACAGCAGTTCCTTCAGGCCCCTGGCCTACTTGGGCTTGTCCTTTTGGAAGTGCTTGGGACATTCCAGGTGGTTGTGGGACCCTGAGCATTGAAGACAATGTGAAGTTTAAGCTGTGTCATCCATGGCTCATCTCATGTTTGTGCTACTATTAGCAAAATTTATCAAAGAACGTTCCAGCTGGCTGCCATAGGGCAAGGAGCGGAGGGTCTCGAGTCCAGTGATAGCACCATTCCTTCTTGCTTCCTATGAGAGCTAGCCAAGGTCTAGGGTTTGGGGGATGAATCTGATTCCTTAGGATAGGGATCACTTATTTATTTAGTCATTCACTCACTCACCATTAATTTAAGCCTAATCTTGGCCCTTGGCATTATCCCATTACTGTGGGTGGCAGTTTCTGTCTATCAAACCAATATTTTCCACCCATAGCATTAAGTATTTTGAAGATAAACCCACAGAACCATTAATCCTGCCTCTTTAACCCCTTCCATCTTAGAAAGTTGAACCATAGGAACAGTTTTCAAAATATAATAAGTATATCTGAATAGGATTGAACCTATTTGAATTTATATTGAATAGGTTTCCTCCAGAAATGCAGCAGGAATTATCTCCATGGCTCAGATTCCCACCACTCACTGCCTCAGACATTCCCAAGGGCATTGAAAACAATGGTTGCTTGCTTTTTCAGAATATTTAAAATTTAAATGTAAACATTTTGGAGCACCTTGTCTGTGCCAAATATAGTCGGAGGCAAATAAGGGTCTAGAGATGAGCCTGCCACCTGTGATGTGTTCAGAACTTCAAGGCAAAGCCAACTTGATACACAAAGTGCGGAGACGAGGCCATGGACATAAGGCCATGGAAAGTGCAGAGACAAGGCTATGGACATAAGGCCATGGATGCCCAGTGAGGGAAAGATCATTCCATGTGAAGAAATGGGGAGTGACTTTTTCAGAGGGCGTGAATTTCAGCTGGCCTCCCAGGAGTGGTAGTTGAGTAAGCCAGTATTTCTCAAACTTGTCTGATCATAAGGATGACCTGGAGTAATTATTACAAATATAGATCCTCAGATCTCTCCCAAGACTTTCTAAATCAAAATCTCCAGAGGAGGAGCTTGGGAATTTGTATTTTTAATAAGAGCCCCAAGTGATTCTTTACATAGAAAATTGATCATTAATATTGAGCATTGACTGTGTGCCAGACACTTCCAAGCACTTTACCTGTGTTGACTCATTTAGTCTTTGAAGCCACCCTGTGAGGTGAGGCTGTTTTTAATCTGCATCTTACAGATGAGGAAAATGAAGCACAGAGATGTTAATAACTGGCTGAGACCTAAGAATACTTGTAGATGAGAGTTTGTCTTGGAGCCTTGGCAGAGAGCAATAGAAATGGAGGGCATAAGGACAAGAGCGCCACCTGCAGGCCATTTGGGGACCTTCTTCTCAGATGGGTTTTAAAGTATGAGTTCTAGCTCCCTCCAGCTGTCACTGGCACAGACTGACCTTCTCCAGTTCAGCCCTTCCAGAAGTGAGTGTGTGTGTCACGTGGCAGAGGCTGTGGTATGCTGGGCCCCACAGTGCATCCCTGTCTCTCTCCTGCAGGGGTCAGTGACAAGATCCACCTAGCCCACCACAGCTTATCAAACGATAAGTAATAAGTGTTGAGCACCTTCTGTGTGTTAGGCATGATACTTTACAAAGCCTCCTACATTCCTAAAAACTCTATGAGGCAGGGATAGATAAGGAAACTGGGACTCAGAAAGGTTAAGCAACTTGCCCAATGTCACACAGCTCATAAAAGGCAGAAGCAGGATTCAAACTCAGCTCCTTTCCTCTTCGTGAGGACTCTCTGTAGGAGAGGAAATACCCTTGCAAGAGGACAGGCCCAGAACCCACCCGGCCTTGTTCAACTGGTGGACCTACAGGCCACTGCAGAAACATGAGCTTATGACTGGGTGACAGAGAGAGACCCTGTCTCTACAAAACATTAAAAAAATTAGCCAGGTGCGGTGGCACATACCTGTAGTCCTAGCTACTTGGGAGGCTGAGGCAAGAGGATCGCTTGAGCCCAGGAGTTCAAAGTTATGTTGAACTATGATCACAGAACTGCATTCAAGCCTGGAAGACAGAGCAAGACCCTGTCTCAAAAGCGAAAGAAAGGAAAGGAAGGAGGAGGGGAGGGGAGGGGAGAAGGAGGAAAGGAGGGAGGCAAGGGAGGGAAGGGAGGAAGGGAGGGAGGGAAGAGAGGGAGGGAGGGAAGAGAGGGACGGAGGGAGGAAGGCAGGCAGGACAGAAGGAAGGACGGAAGGAAGGAAGGAAGGAAGATAGGTAGGTTGGTTGGTTATAGGCCAGGCATGATGGCTTATGCCTGTAATCCCAGCACTTTGGGAGGCTGAGGTGGGATAATCGCTGGAGACCAGGAGTTCCAGACCAGCTTGGGCTCCCCTCCCCTCCTCCTTCCTTTCCTTTCTTTCACTTTTGAGACAGGGTCTTGCTCTGTCACCCAGGCTTGAGTGCAGTTGTGTGATCATAGCTCAACATAACTTTGAACTCCTTGTCTCTACCAAAAAAAAAAAATTGAAGAAGAAAAAAAGAAAAGCAAGCTTACTGATATCTGGGTGCTGCATAAGTTACCAGAGAGATGCTTTAAACTTGCTAAGCAGAGACCAAGAAAGGTGGGTCAGAGGGCTAGGACAGGGGAACAGAGAGGACTCATGCAACTCAGGCGGTGGGGCCATGCATTTGCACTGAAGGGCAATATGCTGATGGCTGAGACCCCGGGGCAGTCCCTAGCAGAGGATGCATGCCTGTGGCTGCAGAAGCAAAGTTCACTAGAAATAGCCAGGATCCAAAGCCTATCCAGTTAGAAAGGATTACACAGCTGGGGTAAGGAAGGGGTCCAAGGGAGACCAGTTAATTATGACTGCAGGGAGTAAACCAATACTATAGGCCTGGCCAGAGTAAGCAAATCTGTCACAGCTGTAGGTATAATGAGTTACAGCCAACTAATTTTAGAAAATTTGCTGAGGCTCATTATTGATGATTGAAGATATTTTTCCGTTCCTGGCTATGCAGAACAAATGCTTGTGGGAACTGTGAGTATTTTGAACTTGAGTTCCCTGTGACTAAAAGACACGGCTAGAGTACAAGAATGTTCCCTTAGGCATGTGTGGTCATTTGAGGGAAAGAGACTGTTTAGAGGTCACTCTTTTTGCTAAGAAGATCATGTCTGGATCTCTGTGTTCACACCCACCTCTGAAACTGCCTAGTGTAGATGCTTCCCTGAGTCCCCAGCAGCTTAGAAGGTGCAGGGCAGGGTTCCCTGATGGGAAACCAGGAGGCCCTGACCCTTCTCCCATGTCGGAGGGTGGGGATTCAGGAATTGCCCATCACCCCCATTCCCTGGGCTTTCCTGCCAATTTCTCCTACCCCCAGCCTACCCTGGCCAGACTCCCTGCCAGCCTGGCCTCCATGAGCCTGTGGCCTGACCACCCCGTGCACGTGTTCCCGCAGCGTGTCAGGAGGGGAGCTGTTTGAGCGCATCATTGACGAGGACTTTGAGCTGACGGAGCGTGAGTGCATCAAGTACATGCGGCAGATCTCGGAGGGAGTGGAGTACATCCACAAGCAGGGCATCGTGCACCTGGACCTCAAGCCGGAGAACATCATGTGTGTCAACAAGACGGGCACCAGGATCAAGCTCATCGACTTTGGTCTGGCCAGGAGGCTGGGTAAGGCTCATCTGCCTCTCCCATGGACACCAGTGTGTATTGCACTGGCCGTTTCCTCTCACACTGAGTGTGAGAGGAAACATACAGTATTGGGGTTAAATCCGAGACCATGAAGACTTCCCAGGTTTGAATCCTGCCCCTACCACATACTAGACGTGACAGTAAGCCTCAAATTCCCCATCAGAAAAGTGGGATCATAGTAGGACCTAACTCACAGATTTGTTAGGAGGATCAAATGTGTTAATATAGGTAAAGGGATGGGAAGAGTGCTTTGCACATAGTAAGACTGCTTAGGTGTTAGCTGTATATATGATGATGATTATCCCCTTTTGTTTTTCACTCTGGTGCCATTAGCAGCAAAAGTCATTTTGGTGATGGTGGCTCTGCACATCTGCATCATACTGTACAGTTTCTAGAGCACTTTCACATAAAAAATAAACCCTATGATTCTCACCATGAGGTGAGCAGGGTAGATTTTATGAGCCCCAACTTGTAGACTAGGAAACAAAGGTTCACAATAGCTTTGCCCAGGAGGTCCCACTGTGAGCCAGGGGATGTGCTGGGATTGGAACAAGGACCCCAGACCTTGCTCAGGGTGCTCTGCAGCACCTCTGATTCTTATGCTAGCCAGGAGAGAGGTCACAGGGGTAGGCGGTCAGGGTCTCAAGGCCGCCCTGAAAGCACTTTGGTAGATGCCTGCCTGGCTCACATTCTGCCTGCATCCAGCCTGCCTCTGCAGCCCTTTGATGTCCCGGTGATTGAGGAAACAGCTTCATCCTCCCTTCTTAGCCACTGCCCTGCTAGCAAGGAGCCCGAGGGCTGGGGTGAGCTGGCTTTATTTCACCACCCTGCAGGTAGTAGAAAGGAGGGGCCAAATGAATGCCACCCAATAAATGTCTCCCACGATGTTCAGTGCTGGCTGAGGCTGTGTTGGTCATAAAGAGGAAAGGGGTAAGCAGGGGCGAGGTTCCGATAGACTATGACCGGTCTGGTGGTCAGCGCAGTCAGGTGAGAAACATGCCTCGGCGCTGGGCGCATGTGCCTGCTCTGCTCTGCTCACTCCTGCTAAGAGGACAGGGTAGGGGCAGTGGCTGGCATACAGGGCCTGCCTTTGAACAGTGACCACCAATAAATTAAACAAATAGGCCACTGTCCTCAGGAGTCGGCAGTGTCAGAGCCCAGGGAACACAATGTCCAGCTTCCACTGGTGAGGGATACTGTGGGAACAACCGTGTCCACCAAGGACCAGATAACTGAGAAGTGGCTAAAATGTAGCAGAAAGGGCTGAGAGGCAGGAATTGGAGCAGAGCTTTCACATCTGAGGGCTGTTAAATGCTTTGTTTTAGAACATTTGCTGTGAGCTCTGCGAAGTTAAGCAAGACCAGGCATAGCCCACAGGTACCTGCCTTTTGCACATATTAACAGACATCTCTGGTCCTTTATGGCCAAGAGGTACCACCCTGGGGTTGAAGCCTCTCCCGACTACCCTACCAGTAGCTCCTGAAGGACAGCCATGAAGCTGTGTGAGGAGTAGGAGAGGCAGGAGGGAGGAACGGTGGTAAGCATGGCTCAGGAGTTGGACTACCTGGGCTTGAGTCCCGACCACCACTTGTTAACCGGGTGGGGAAATCACTGCACTTCCCTGGGCCTCACTCATGTTCTCAGTAGCACGGGCATTATACCTACCCCTTGGGGTGGGTGAGAACCCTTGTAAAGCTGCCGGTGGGGTACATAGGACATAGTGAATGCTAGAGATTATTATTAAGCATAAGTCACAGTCCCTGCCTAGGGGAACTAACTCATGAGACAGACTCACAAAAAGACCATTCAGGGGCGGGTGATTTAGCGGCCTCTTCTCCCCCTGCCCACCCTGCACAGGACATTTGAGGTGAGTGTGAGGTTTGTTGGTTTCACTGGTGTGTTGACGCACCTGTTTAACAAGGAGGTCAGATGTCTCTGTGCCTGTTCTCTGTGCCAAAGCCTGTGTCTGGCCCCTCCCAGGTTGGGGTCAACACACAGATTCGGGCAGCTGCTGGTCTCAAGCTGGCTCCGTGATGTGCTGGCAATTTATCCCTCTCCATCCTGGTTTCAGAGAATGCGGGGTCTCTGAAGGTCCTCTTTGGCACCCCAGAATTTGTGGCTCCTGAAGTGATCAACTATGAGCCCATCGGCTACGCCACAGACATGTGGAGCATCGGGGTCATCTGCTACATCCTGTGAGTCCTGGGGCACTTGGTGGACTGGTGGACCACTTGGTGGACCAGTGGGTGGGGGCTGAGGGTTCCACAGGAGGGTCCCCAGGCTGCCCTGCCATTGTCATGATGGGGAGCCCCCCCCAGAGTCAGGAGGGTGGCAGGCTCCCCTCCTATCCCTGGCAGCCCACCCTGCTCCTGGGCTCCCAGGGAGTCAGTAGCATGCATATTCTATAGCATCATGTAGCTACACATGCTAAGATCCCCATTCTGGGTGCTCACTGTCCCCAAGGCTGGCCAGCCTGGGGCCTTTGGTCAGGAGGGTGGGAAATGTGGCTGGCACCAAGTAATAAAACCTCACTTGTGTGGGTCCACAAAGAAGGAGGGCAGGAGGCCAGGGGCGAATCTCTGGGCATCCTCATTGTCTTCAGGGCATAGCACTCCATCCCCAAGGCACGGGGACCCCAACTACTAGCCTCATCTTTGAGTCTAGTATATGGATGAATTAATAAACACTATTGATGATCGAGCCTTCAATGGGACTAACAGATAAAAGAAAGTAACACAGTAATTAGAACTGAAAAATCAGGTGGGAAATCCAAAGCCATTTCAATGAACAATAATGCAGGAGAGGGGAGGCCAGCCATCTAGGCCGGCACTTCACAAACATTAGCATGCCTGACTCACCTAGGCGGCTCCTTACATTGCAGGGTTTTTGTTCAGGTCTGGGTGACCTGGAATGCCACATTTCTAACAGGCTCTAGGTTTGTGAATGTGCTGGTTCAACGACTGCGCTCTGAGTAACAAGGCTTGAGAACACTCTGTCGGTGGGGTCTGGCTGCTTTAGTCCCTGAAGCCCCAGGGTGCGGACGGTCATTAGCCCCTGAACCTGTGTGGCCACATGCAGTTATGGGATGGTGTCCCCAAAGATGCAGATGTGTATGCTTTCATTCAATAATGTTTTTACTGTCAGAACAAAAGGAAAAATTTAACATTTTCATAGAAAATGAGGAAGACCTCTATGAATACTTTCTTAGACCCCTGGGGCCTTCAGACTCCAGTGTGAGAGAAGGTTCTGGGCGATTCTGATGCATAGCCAGGTTTAGAAACCAGTGTTATAAAAGCTTTAGCAGAAGTGGTGTGAATTTTGTGCAATGTGACTTTTTCACATGCTCAGGAACTTTACTCACTATAGCCTGTTAGGACAGTCCCCTCAGTGGAACCTGCACCACAGGCATTGTAGTCCAGACAGTTATCCTCTTTCCTGCCTGGGATTAGCCCCACCACCACAGCCTTCCCCAGATCAGCAGAAAAACCCCGGGCCAGGTGTGCATTTCCCTGCCTGTTTCCCTGCCCCGCCCCCTCTTGGAGAAGGGGCGCTGACAAGTGAAGACAGCAGCTGGACTGGAGCTTGACTCCCTGGCTCCCTAGATAAGTAAGGAACAGCAGGGTAGGGGGCGGGGCCAGCCTGCCCCTTTCAGGGCGGCCCCAGGCCTGGGCAGTGCTAACCTCTGGCCCTGGGAAAAACACCAGACCCTTGAGAAGCAGTCCTTGGTCAGCTCTCACTGTTCAGCCCCAGCTGCGCTGTGGTCTCGCTTGGTCCCAGGGTCCCCCTCCAGCCGTCATGGAGACTTGCCTTACTGTTTATTCTTCAGTGGGTTTTCCCACTGCCGTGGCATCAGGATCTTCTGCAGCTACAGATTTTCACATAGGACCTTGTTTGATGCTCACAACAAACCCAAGAGTGGATCATGGCAGGGATTCCATCTTCATGTGGCGTTGAGGTGACAGGGGCCAAGGAAGCCCACGTGGCTGCCCACTTCCCACAGTCGGGCCAGGGGACCAGTCGTCCCAGTCTGCCAGGATACAGGACTTTTGGTGCTAACATGGGAACAGTCCCAGGCAAACCAGGACAATTGGTCTCTCTACTGGTCAGTGACAGAGCAGTGACTAGACTGCTCACTAAGTTTTCACCTGTGTAACCTCTACCCGGATCAAGAAACCAAGCACTGCCAGGCCCCCACAGCCCTCTGGCACCCCTCCCTGTTACCAACCCCCAGAGGTCACCATTACCCTCAAGGCTAATGTCAATGAAATCATACAGAAAGAAGTGTCTGGCTTTTTTTGCTTGACATCGTTTGTGAGACTCATTCATAGTACTATGTGTCATTGTAGACTGTTTATTCTCAGTGTTATGTAGTATCCCATTGTGTGAATATAATCCAGTTAATTTATCCGTTCTGCTTTGATAGGCTTTTGAGTGGGTTCCAGTTTGGCCATTGGAAGCATTCTGGTTCACGTGTTTCAGTGAATATATTTGTACATTTCTGTTGGATATATAATCTAGAACTAGAATAATTGGGTCATAGGGCACTTTATTGTCAAATGAGAGTTCTTTTCGGTGGAGGAACATAGTAATTTGGGCACTATGTTACCTTGTTTACCAGATTACTTTTAAAGCAAAGACCAAGAACTAGGGCAGAGTTTTGGAAATGGGGAGAAGATAGTTTTGATGCTGCCAGTGCTTGGGCAGAGGGTTGTCAGGAGGGAGGAGGGGTGTGTGTGTGGCAAGGACCCAGGCCAGGTGGCACTGACTCAGGCTGGATCAATCCTGTGCCACATCTTAGCTCCTGGACCCCCACTGTGAGCCACTGCCCTCTGGGGCTTTTCCAGCCTGGCTCTCTCAGCATGGATGGAAGTCAGGGAGTTCCCCCGGCAAGCCAGGGCTCTCAACAGAGAGCGGTGCTGAAAACAAACATTGGCGCCAAGGAGATGGTTTCCTTTAAGCGCCTGCTATGCAGAACTCTGGAGCCACTGCTGGGAGCACCCAAAAGAGGCTCTCTGGTGGCCCTCATGGCATCCTCTGGCCCACTCTATCCCTCTCTTTGGAGCCTAGTCATCTGTCGGGCAGTCCCTGTCAGGGCGACTTCCACCTTTGTACCACAGAGCCCCTCCTGTTCTCCTTTCTGGGGCCAGTGAGAGATGGAGAGGCCAGGGAGTTGGAAGGGAAGGCAACAGACCGTGTCACCATAGGACGATGTGACTTTACTCTCTCCCACCCAGCCCAGCCATCAGGGCAGTTTCTGGCCCTATAGGGAAGGAGCAGAATGGGGTCGTGGAGCCCCCACACTCTTACCCCGGATCCTGAAAGGAGATAGTAGGTTGTGTGAGTACCTAGAGACCTTCTGAAGTTAGCAATACCCATGTGGTTTCTGGCAGGAAGTGAGAATACCAGAGAGCTGGAGGCCACACTTCCATACGGGAGAAATCCTAAGTCCACCTCCGTTTAAGAGCCCTCCTCCCCCTGCTGTCTCCCTCCCCTACTTCCTGGACTTGGTACTTCCTTGCTGCCTGTGGGGAGGCCACAACAGCTCTTCTCCGAGCCCTTCCCTCACCCTACTCCACAATGCCTTCTCTCCCAGCCTCCCTCAAGCCAGAGCGAACCAGCAATGGCTGCTCTGCTTCCTCCTCCTGCCTCTTCCTGACCAGGCCCAGCAGCACAGCCTTCCCATTCATGCTTGTTTGTTTGTCCAACACCCACCGTGGTGCAGACAGCTGTCAGCTGTCCCTCCCCACCCTGGTGTGTGGTCGGGAGATGCCAGGAGGGAGGAGAGGTGTGTATGGTGGGGAGGCAGGTCAGCTCTTCTGGTGACAGCTGCCCAGTCAGCTGAGGAGGGGTCACAGTGCCGGGGCATCGGGGGCCTCCTCAGACCAGGGTCTGACTGCAGGGCTCCTCAGCCAGATCCAGTAACCTCTGCCTTCCCCACCTGGGGCTGCCGCTGCCCTCTCTGCTGCTGAGCCTGGAAATACGCTCTGATTCCAGCCCTAGGATCCCTGTTCCCTCTCCAAGCCCGGCCACCACCTTCAACTTTTACTAACACAACTAAACCCCAGGTCGCTGCTTCCTCGGCCAGTCCACAAAATGATGCACAGCTCTTCCTGTGGACCTACTCAGCCCTCTCAGCTCTCCCACCAGAGTATCAGATGGCTAATATGGATAAAAGACTAACCCCTTCCTAGCAGTCAGTAGTTCCATCAGCAGATGTGTGGTCCCCTTAGCTGGCCACTGGTACAGTCGGGGCATCTGTCTGCTGCTTGAAACACAACACAGAAGCCAGGTGCAGTAGTGTGCACCTGTGGTCCCAGCTACTCAGGAGGCTATGATGGGAGGATCACTTGAGATCAGGAGTTCAAGACCAGCCTGGCTGATATAGCGAGACCCCCATTTCTTAAAACCCACACACATACACGCACACACACACACAGAAAGTGTAGTCCAAGAGGCATTTCTGCACCCTCTGCTCTCCTAACCTTCTGCCCCCACAGCCAAACAGGCTTCCACATCAGATTCCCTGGGGGAATTTCTTTGGCAATGAGCTGAGAATTAAGAAATTAGAATGCCCTGCATTCATGACCATTGTGTTTCATCAGCACAAAGACTAATATTTGACCACTAAAAATCAACATGTAGAGTCTGGCTGTACTTGATACATCCAGTGAAGAAAAAGTAAAGCATCCAAGGACTTGCCCAGACTGATTATAGTTTTGTGAAAAACAGATCAATCCATTAGTTAAAAACTAGATAAGACCAGGGAGATAAAGAGGTGTTTTAATGCTAACATTATTTGTTGACCGGTTGATTTTTTTAACAAATAATGACTGTTATCTAGCTGGGCGCAGTGGCTCATGCTTATACTCCCAGCCCTTTGGGAGGCCAAGGTGAGTGGATGGCCTGAGCCCAGGAGTTTGAGACCAGCCTGGGCAACATGGCAAAACCCCATCTCTGCAAGAAATACATAAGGTAGCTGGGCATGGTGGCGTGCGCCTGTGGTCCCTGCTACTTGGGTGGCTTAGGTGGGAGGGTCACCTAAGCCTGGGGAGGTTGAGGCTGCAATGAGCCATGATCACGCCACTGTATTCCAGCCTGGGTGACAGAGCGAGACTCTGTCTCAAAAAAATAAAAAGAAATAATAATAATGACTATTTTATAAATAAAAAGACAAGGCTGGGCACAGTGGCTCATGCCTGTAATGCACTTTGGGAGGCAGAGGTGGGAGGATTGCTTAAGCTCAGGAATTTGAGACTAGCCTGGGCAACATGGTGAAACCCCATCTCTACCAAAATACAAAAAATTAGCCAGGTGTGTTGGCGCGCACCTGTGGTTCCAGCTACTCAGGAGACTGAGGTGGAAGGATCGCTTGAGCCAGAGGTTCAGTGAGCTGAGATCGCACTACTGCACTCCAACCTGGGCAATAGAACAAGACCGCATCTCAAAAAAAAAAAAAAAAATTAAAAGACATGATCCCTTATGCAAATTCTGCCACAAAGAAAAAGTTCCCCAAAAAGGTTTTTAAAAATCCTGTAAAACCCCACCACCCAGCAACAGCATTACTGAAAATTCAAACACCCTCTTTGTCAACATGCTGTGTATGTATTATATTTTTTATTCCAGACACATGCTCTTTAATAGGAAGAATGCTGGGGGAACTTGGGCAGGCAAGGAGCCAGGCAGGGTGAGGAGAGTATTTCAGATGGATAGGCTGCCAGGAAGGAGGAGTGCCAGAGGCCAGAGGCGAGGAGGCTCTCCCTGACTGTGCCCAGAGTTGCAGAGATTAAGACCTATCTTTGCAGGATTATAGTTCCTAATAAGGAAGGGAGGTTTGCAGAAGGGGAACTTTCTGCATTCCACAGCAGGGTTGTTTGCTTTTCCTGCCATCTTTTGGAGTACTGCCGGACTTCCCCCCTCTCTGTTTCCAGTGGAAAATGTAAAGAAGCAGCAGGTGGCTGACAGGCAAGAGACAGGCTGCTTCCTGATGGGGCTTGCATGGGCCACGTGGGGGTCGGGGTCACAGAGACAGAGAGAGCTGGGAGGCCCCTAGGAAATCTAGCCTAGTCCCCTTGATGTATAAAAGGAGAAGCTGGCTAGGCGCGGTGGCTCATGCCTGTAATCCCAGCACTTTGGGAGGCCGAGGCAGGCAGATCACGACACGAGGTCAGGAGATCGAGACCATCCTGACGAACACTGTGAAACCCCGTCTCTACTAAAAATACAAAAAAAATAGCTGGGTGTGGTGGTGGGCACCTGTAGTCCCAGCTACTCGGGAGGCTGAGGCAGGAGAATGGCATGAACCCAGGGGGCAGAGCTTGCAGTGAGCAGAGATCGCACCACTGCACTCCAGCCTGGGCAACAGAGCAACACTCTGTCTCAAAAAAAAAAAAAAGAAAAAGGAGAAACTGAGGCCCAGAGAGGGGAAAGGAGCAGCAGATAACAGTGCAGACTCGGGGACAGGTAAATGCCCACCCTTCCCTCATGGGGACATGACCGAGAATGATTCTCTTTGCCTTCTTAAAACATAAATCAGGGTCTTGCTTTAAAAAAAAATCCCATCCACAAAGATCTATTATTCAGAAACACAAATATGTTGATTAGGATGAGACAATTCACATTGTAAAAGCTTTCTTCTCTTTACAAAAGGTTTCACCAGAGGGTTCCTCCCATGGCAAGCTTTTTCTCCCAATATTTCAAGTGGGGTTTGTTCTGTCAAACTCAACCAAAGCCTTACTCCTGAAGCTGTCAGTGCTTGGCTTATGATGATGGATTCATAAGCATTTGGGAGAAGGGACATTGGTAAAGCCCTAACTTGACAGGTTGATGGCAGGAGGGCCCCAGACCCATCTCTCTTTTTTTTTTTTTTTTTGAGATTGAGTTTCGCTTGTTGCCCAGGTTGGAGTGCAATGGTGCGATATTGGCTCACTGCAACCTCCACCTCCAGGGTTCAAGCAATTCTCCTGCCTCAGCCTCCCGAGTAGCTGGGATTACAGGTGCTTGCCACCATGCCCAGCTAATTTTTGTATTTTTAGTAGAGACAGGACTTCACCGTGTTGGCCAGGCTAGCCTCAAACTCCTGACCTCAGGTGATCCATCCATTTTGGCCTCCCAAAGTGCTGGGATTACAGGCATGAGCCACCACGCCTGGCCCCCAGACCCATCTCATGGGGCTCAGCTGAGATCAGGGCAGGAACAGCTACACAATTTGCAACATGAAAGGTGGGGCCACTTGTTCAAACCTTATTGAGAATCTTGAGACGACAGCAGCAGAGCATTAAACCAAGCACAGGGCCTGTCTAAGGGTGGGACTGTGGGCAACTGTGCTGGTCTAACACCCATGAGGCTGACTCACAAGGCCCTCATGAACAGTGGGGTGAGTTGTTGCTATGAAGGTGAGGTGCACAGAGGTGAGAGGTAAGGTCAGTAAGCCACAAATCTGCTCTATTTTGTTTTGAAATTCTTTACCTTATAAAGTTTATTTGGCTTAAGCTGCTGGTCACAAAGTCATTCCTGCACTCACAGCTTGGTAAGGCAGTGGAGGGAACCCAGCAGAACTGCATGAGATCTCCGGGCATGGACCGCCTCCTTACTGTGGACCAGGCCTGGTGCCAGTGCTGAACACTGCAATTTACTTCATCTTTACAGAAATGTTAGGATAGTATAGCATTTAAGAGGACAGGCTCTAGAGGCAGATACCTGGCTTCCAATCTCACTGGCTGTGAATCTTTGGGCAGGTGACTTGAGCCTGGGCTGTGCCTCAATTCCCTCATCTGTAAAACAAAGTTATAAGAATTACTTGCATCATAGGGCAGTGTTAAGATTAAGTGAGTTCACTTGTTTTAGGCACTTGACCCAGTGCCTGGCACATAGAAAAACCTCAATGAATGTCTGCTGCCATCATGATGATGATGAGGATGAAGAAGTGACCACCCTATAGTTAAATGGCAGCTTCTCCATTTTAGAGGAGAAAACTGACACAGATCAGGGAATTGTCCAAGGCCATACAGCAAGCGGAGAGGCTGCACTCTGTCCTCTGCCATGGCACCTCATAGGGAAGTTTTCTAGTTTGGCATAAATGCCTCAAGTTCCCCGAACCTACATTGCTGATTCAAAGTCCATCTATCCATTGGGCACACACTTCACTTGCTGAGCCTCTCTTATTTGCCGGGCCCTCTTCTTGGAGCTGAAGGTGTGTGGAGAGAGGTGGGAAGGAGGGGACAGAAGGGTGCAGTGGTGATCACTACCATGTGCCCAGTCCACAGAGAGGGGGCAGGAGCACGGGAGGAAGGGGCTTGGAGAAGGCTCTAGCCTGGGCTTTGGGGAATAATAGAAAACCAGGACAGAGGGACTTATCAGCCCTGCCGCGTACCCTGCAGAAGCCCGTAATCTAAAGCCAACCTGCTGCACCTCAGCCTCACAGGTAGGTGGTGTCAAGAGGCAGGTGACCAAGAAAAGACAGGGCTGTGAACCACACCCTCTTTTCTTTCCACAAGTGGAAGAAAGGCAGGTGCAAGGCCCACAGAGCATGAGTTTGGGGGTGGGGAGGCTGGCCGACCCTCGCCTTTGACCTCAGTTACCACTCACCTGGTCGTCGCGCCCTCTCCTAGCCACACCTGCTGTCCTGCTCTTGTCTCTCCAGAGTCAGTGGCCTTTCCCCCTTCATGGGAGACAACGATAACGAAACCTTGGCCAACGTTACCTCAGCCACCTGGGACTTCGACGACGAGGCATTCGATGAGATCTCCGACGATGCCAAGGATTTCATCAGCAATCTGCTGAAGAAAGATATGAAGTAATGAGTTGGGATTTCAGTCTTTGCTTCCCTACTCCCTGCCCTGTGTTGGGAAGCAAAGGGGGATTCCTTTGCCTGTTGGGGTGCCCTCCTTGCCACCCCGCCTTGGGTCGTTCCTAGCATTCCCTGAGGAAGGGAGGGTGGGCATGGTAAGAGACCCGAATGCATGTGGGTTGGGGAGGCGACTTCCTAGGCCCTGCCCCCTGGAGCTAGACATGGGATTCACCTTCAGAGGCTCAGACACCTGACTTGAAAAGCGACACTTGACCACGTTACAGAGCAAGGGGCAGCTGTTCTGTGTGAATAATGACCACCCTTCTTATTTTCTGGGTACAGTTGTGGCCAGCCACAGCCCTCTTCAGGGGCTGCAGGGGAAGGACCCTCTCAACAAGCAAGAGCAGAGGACACGGGCATCTTAGAACTTCTCTGTGGGTCCCGATCATATCCCCAGATTATTATTATTATTCTGGCTTAGTGTTTTTTTATATCTCAGTTATTTAATAACTGCCTGCTTGAATACAGCCAGGTACGTTCTAACATCTGGCCAAAGGGAGGCTATGATCCCAGACCACTGGGCTTAGCCCTCTCCCAGCTCCTCCTCTGTTGAGGTTCCCCACCTGTGCCTGCTGCAGCTGTGAACATAGGAAAGTGAACAGTGGGAGGTCAGCATGCATGGGCTGTGGGGAAAGGTCAGGCACTCAAGCCCTCTGGGTTTCAGTAGAAGATTGGAGCTTGGAGTTGTAGAGGAGACCAGAGTGGGAGGTTGGCTGAAGGTGGGCAGTGGGTGTGCCTAGACAGAATCTCCTGGAAGGAACTGTCCTGGGCTCTGCATGTGTAGGGAGAGCTGCCCAGGGAAAGGGAGCAGTGGGACTCAGGTGAGAACAGCTGGCCTATTGGGCAGCTCACCCACTCTGCAAATAGGTGACTAGATGAGGCAGGGCCTGACTGTAGGGGTGCCGAGGAGCTTGGAGCTATACTTGGCAATCCCAGGGAGCAGTTGTAGCCTTGCCAAGAAGGGTGGTGTTGACATGGGTGGCGTGCTAGAGAGAAGGGGAGGGGCCTGGCTCCAGGGCGGGCAGGAGGCTCTGCACTCCCAGGTGACTTTGCAGCCTTGCGGGGCTGCCGATGGCTCCCCTGAGGAAGAATGGCTGTTCGGGGCAGGAAGGCACAGTTAGTTGCTGAAGGAGCAATATTGGAGTGTCTCAGATGGCTCTGTCAGGCTTTCCTGTGATGCACCCCACTCTCAGTCCTTTTTAGCCAGTTCAGGGCCAAACTCCCCCAGAGGCCACATTCTACACTCCTTGACAATGAGATCTTTTTAGCCTTTTGCTGTCACAGTCTGTATCAGAAATGGGCATGACCCAAGGAGAACTGAGATACTGTGGGAAGTCTAAATTCTCTTCCAATATGAGGGACCCCCACACCCAAGGTGCCTCAGGAGATGGAAACCTCCTCAGTAACTCTGGTACAAGGATGGCTTTTGTCATCCAAGCTTTATTCACTGAAGATTTGGTAAACAAGGTATTGTGTGTGTATATATCTTATTTTCTCATCTGACCTTGAATTAAGTCAGTAACAGGCTGTACTGGATCCCTCTGTGCTCATAAAATGGATTCACCAAAGAACTGATCTTATTCAAATAGATCAAGACACTAAATTCCCATAAACTCTTATACCCAGCCTCTCTTCAACCAGAAATCACCACCTATCAGCACTTAAAAAAAAAATTCCTTCCTACTATAAAAATAATGCATGAAAATTATAGAGGATTTGAAGAATATAATAAAATTTAAATCATCTATAATCCCTTTATCTAAAGTTCACTACATTTTGCTATACTTCTTTCCAGTCATTTTTCTATGTATGTTAGCATTTGGTTCTTTAGGCTTTCCTAGTCCTGTTACAGTTAAGGCAATGGCTCTAAAATGTTTCTAGATCCCCAGAGCTTTCAGAAAGATGAAGTGAGTTTCAGCGCAGTTCTAAAGTAGTCATAATTCATAGGTTATAGGCAGGACCTACTTCTTTGAGTTGTAATGGAAAAACCTGATATTCAACAACACCGTAAGACATTAAACATGAAAGTTCAGTGATTGTCGGAGATTTTATCCTAGGATTTAACTCTCCCCTCCTCCAGACAGGGTGGCAGGAGGATTAGGCTTTGTGGGCCCCAGCCCTCATGAGAGGAGCAGAATGACGCCACCCTGGAATAGGGTGCCAGCCAATCCCAGAAACGTCTGCCCTGCAGCACTTACTCTTCCTCGATCCCAAGAGCAGGCCATGGAGCCCAGTCACTTCCTTGGTGCTTGGGCTTTCATTAACACCAACCCATGCTGGTTCTGGTTAGTGTGACCCAGACCAAGTGAGGAGAAAGGTGAAGAGCACAGTGATCCTGATCACGGTGGATGGTCCGGGAGCAGGGGCCCTGGGCTCTGCCCTCATGACCAGGGACAGGTGGCCTCCCATTTCTGAACTAACCAGTGGTCTCTGAGGTCTCCTCCTGCTCAAAAATCTCCTGATCTCTGCCTCTGTCAGAAACCGCCTGGACTGCACGCAGTGCCTTCAGCATCCATGGCTAATGAAAGATACCAAGAACATGGAGGCCAAGAAACTCTCCAAGGACCGGATGAAGAAGTACATGGCAAGAAGGAAATGGCAGGTAATGAGAGGGTCACTTTGGACTGGGATGTTGCCCCTCATATTTGTGTTGTTCAAGCCACTTTCATTCCCAGCTTGCCCTGGCCTCACACCAAGAAAGTTTAAATTTATTTCTGAAGTAGTCTGGGACCAATTTAGGCAGCTGATTAAGGTACAGTGGTTTGCTTAGTCCTGAGTGCAGAGTCCCTTTCTCAAGGAGATGGGATGGATTCTTAGCTTAGCTGTCTCTCTGTTCCTGCTCACCTTTGCCCCAGGGGACCGTAAACCCTTATTCAGATTAAGCCAATGACATTTTGTGTCTTCATGGCTTGGGATGAGCAACATCACTTTAAGGTCCATTTGTCAACCCTGAGAATGGGGTGGTAGTATGGTGGTTTCACATTTCTTTATGATGAAGGAGGGCACATGATCTAAAGAGAGAGACATGGTCCCACCATCTAGGAAGGTTGTATGTTAATAGCCATGTGTCCTTAGCAAATGATGTAACCTTGCTGTGGATTTTTCTCATCTATAAAGCGGGGATAATAGTGGTACCAACTTCACAGCATTGTTGTGATAATTATGAGAATTACACGAGATCATCCTCATGTGGCCTTTAGTAGTACAATGCCTGGCACATGGTGAGTGTCCAGAAGCGATCCCAGTCGCTAATAGGTATGAAGGTAGGCCATCTGTCAGGGACCATTTAAAGCACTATCTATGCACTAAATCTTTTAACCCTAGGAGGCAGGTACTATTATTATCCCCACTTTACAGACAAAATTGAGGCAGAGAAAAGGTTAGGAAAGCCATCCAGGATCACACAGCTAATAAGCAGAAGGGTCAGGATTCAAACCCAGAGCTTGACTGCAAAACACATAGTCTTAACCCCAAGACTGCCTCTGATAAAAGGCATGGGTGGATAAAATTATTATCCAAAACCACAGGATGTTTTTCAGTTTATCACCATCATCACCTATTTTATCATTTTTATTACCACAATTAGAATTACAATTCTTTTTTTTTTTTTTTTGAGATGGAGTCTCGCTCTGTTGCCCAGGCTGGAGTACAGTGGCACGATCTCGGCTCACTGCAAGCTCCACCTCCCGGGTCACACCATTCTCCTGCCTCAGCCTCCCAAGTAGCTGGGATTACAGGCGCCCACCACCACGCCTGGCTAATTTTTTGTATTTTTAGTGGAGACAGGGTTTCACCGTGTTAGCCAGGATGGTCTCAATCTCCTGACCTCGTGATCCACCCGCCTCGGCCTCCCAAAGTGTTGGAATTACAGGCGTGAGCCACCACTCCCGACCTAGAATTACAATTCTTAGGCTGCTGGAGAAGACATGGTTTCTTTTTTTTTTTTTTCCTCGAGACAAAGTCTCACTCCATTACCCAGGCTGGAGTGCAGTGGCACGATCTCGGCTCACTGCAGCCTCTGCTTCCCAGGTTCAAGCAATTGAGAGGACATGGTTTCCTTACTCAGGGACTACGTAGTGCAATGGGGAACTGAAGCAACTAGACATGAAAGGATGTAACACGCACCAAGATGTATAAACTATCCGGATAGTTCTCCATAGCCATGGGTGTGTATGGATAGAACGGACCTGGTCGCAACCAGAGTTGGATGTGATTATGAGGAAATGCTCCCAGGTGCAGGAGTTTGAATTAGGTGTGGAACCTCAGTCAGAATACAGAGAAGAGGACTGCACAGGTGGAGGAGAAGGCACAGAGGTGGGAGCCGGACCCATTCCGGCTGGGCTTGGCTGGACAGGAGCAGAGTCTTTTAGCTGGATACTCAAGGGACCCAGGGGCATTGAGACTTTGCCTGGGTGGCAAAGAAAAGGGAAATCACTGTGTTGGAGGCAACTGGAACACTGGTCATTTACCACACCAGGTGACTAAATCACAGTTGCCTCAGAAAGTAGAGTGTCACTCAGAGGTTGAAAGAGGGAGCAAAGGCGAATGGGGGCCACAAGTGTGGAGTTTAAGTGACCACCATCCTGAGCACATATCAGCTGTGCTCCTCCACCATGGAAGTCAGTTCCTGGCTACACCCCTCATGGGAAGGTGGGTCTCCAGGCCTCCCTCAAGTGCAAGGTGAGTTGAAACATCTGTAGCTGCTTACCTTTTGGTGCCACTAGGATCTGAGTAGCAAATATTCTTTTTAAAAATGTGGGGGAGGATCTACAAAGTCAAAGTCAGCTGTATTAATAATCCTGTAGCCAGCAGGTCTCAAAGAAATATTTCTGGAAAGGATAGGGAAGCTGATGTCAGGGCGGGGCAGTCCTCAGAGCAGTGAGTCTAAGTGGATATTGCTTGGCTGAGGCTATAGGTTAAGGGGCAGCCTTATCACCTGGGAACATCTGCAGATGAACTAAAGCCAGGAGGATGCCTAAACCCAGGGGCTAGGAGCAGAGAAGAGATGAGGAAACAGGAGAGGAGGCAAAGGGAATTTTTCAGTTAAATCAGTCAGGGAATCATAGTGGTGCTGATTTTTTTTTTTTTTTTTAAAGAGACAGGGTCTCATGCTGTCACCCAGGCTGGAGGGCAATGGTACAATCATAGCTTACTGCAGTCTCAACCTCGTGGGCTCAAGCAATCTTCTCGACTCGGCCTCCTGAGTAGCTGGGACTACAGGCATATGCCACCAGACCGGCTAATATTTTTTTTTCTCCTTTGGTAGAAACAGGGTCTCACTATGTTGCCTAGACTAGTCTTGAACTCCTGGCCTCAAGCGATGCTGCTGCGTTGGCTGCCCGAAGTGTTGAGTGCCCAGCCTATGCTGATATTTTAATCAATTTTTTTTTCTTCTTGTTTACGGCATTATTAGCCATAGGGTTTTCTGGAAGGGCGGGGGAAGAAAAGGGTAGAATTCAGAGAATGAACCTTAATTTTATATTTTAGTATAGATGGCGACATTTGGAAATGATTTTTCCACAAAATTGCACACAAAAGTTGTCCACAAAAATTCCATTCAACAAGTAGTTTCCCTGAAGAGTAGCTTCCCTGGTAACAGCTCTAACCATTTCATGTTACGTTGCTCCCTCAGGAAAACGTTTTCTGCATTTTAACTGCAATCACCAGGGCCTTAGCTCCCCTTGGAATATGAGGGTTCCCTCTTGCAGCAGCCAAGGTTCTGTGCAGTGGGGTGGAGTGGGCTGTGGGCGGGGGCAGAGGGAGAGGGGAAGATCAGGCTCAGGTGGCCCAGAACTCTCTGCAGCTGTGCCAGAGAAGGCACCTTCTTGTTATTCTGGTGTGGTTTTCATAAAAAGCCCTAGAAGGAATGAAGTGACATGGGAACAAATCCCTACAAGCAAAGCTAGGCTGGGTATAGATGACTAATCATATTACTCATCTTGGAATCAAGTTATTCCGAAAGAAGGTATATTTTAAATTTATATTAAAAGAATTTTACAAAGATATGTTGGAAAGGTGTAGCAATGGGGGCAGGTAGGTTGAGCAGATTAACAGGGTTTCCGCATGCACACTGGAAGCAAAAGACTAGACATCAGAGGCCCTTAGGTAGCCATCTTTATTTTCTGGGAACCATAAAGACCCCAGCAGTATGGACCAAGGGCATTAGGGGAGAAAACACTGGACTCAGTATAGCACGGAGTATTCTTGGCCATCCCATTTGGATGGTATGCACTGCTCAGGGGAAACTGTAGTCTTGGGGCTACTGGTATATATGGGGGGCTTTGATGGGTAACCAGCTTGCTGTATGTATGTCAGGGAATGTCTTAGTATTGGTGCCAAAAGACCCTAATCCTGGGAAACTCCACAAGCCTGCCTGGGCAAGCCAGGATGGCTGGCCCCACAAGCTCTCCAAGGGGCAGGGAATTTGTGCTGCATGAAGGAGGCTGGTGCAGATACTGCTCACCAGCGACACAGGAACCCAGCCTGGGCAATTGCCCTCAAGCAAGAAAAAGGGAGAAATTACAAAATCAAAACTTGGCGATCTTGATGTTCCAAAAATTTCCAAAGGTCTTTGGTCAGTAAAGCAACAACCAATTGTCAGCTCAAAGGCATAAAACTGGAAGACTAGAACATACTGATATATTCATTTCTAGTTCTGACAAATAACTTCCTCGGCAATTTTTTTTCACAAATCAATTCCCAAATATTTTTCTATGTTTTAGAAATTATATGCTGGATATCTCCATCTTTTAGAAAAGTTCTCCCTATGTGAGACATATTTATTTGTTAATATATTTACTACTTCCTCTGAAATACTATAACTCTTTTGTTTCCTCATTCTGATAGCTTCATTTTAGTCATTTTGTTATGAAATAAAATCTGGAAGAAAAAAGACATCGTCTCGCCACACCACACAGGTGAAGACAGTCCTCATCAGTCCCAATCCTGATGTCTGGAATTGGGGAGCCCATGGGCTCAAGGCGGGTGTTCCTTGCTACACATTTATGGATATAAACCAGAGTCGTTCTGTAGAGGTCTGGAACTGCAGGAAGATTAGAATCTTCTGCTCCCAGGCTACTGAGGCCCAGAGAGGGGAACTGACTTGCACAAGGTCTCCCAGCAATTAGGGTTAGAGAACTAACCTGTCCCTTGTTGGGAATGAACCCTCTGGGTTTAGAGGCTCCTAGCCCAGGACAAACCAATCTGTGTTGGATAAAGGGAATGGAGAGCAGAGAAGGGCCGAGTCTGAGAATCGGGTTGATTAGGAAGCAGGCTGGTCTGACATTGACTACGTAGGGAGGGCTGCCATGGCTGGTACCACCTCTTACCTGTTCCTGAGGGCAGGGTAACCTCCCATGGGAAGAGCTGGGTCTCTCTCTCTCTACACTTTGTCTAGCACAACAAACAGGTTGAACCAGTAACATCTCCCAGAAGAGCATGAAAGGTTGCCACGTGGCCTGAGCCTGCAGAGGCATTCTCCGCAGGGCCACACGGTGGTTCTGCGCACAGTTAAGTTGTTCAGTTTTCATCTCTCACCATCTTCCCCTCCTCATCACCTCCACCTGGGGCTGCGTGGATTCTGTTCAGCGACCCAGCCTCACTGTGGTGGCAGAGGCCAGAAACATACCCACACCATACAGTGTGATGTGTGTGAGAAGGGATGGCCAGGGGACAGAGCAAGGTGAAATGTCTGTCCAAAGTGCATGAGAGCAGTCTGCAGCAAGGATGGCAGGAGGCATGACAGTAAGGTCATCCCGCTCACTGCAGTAGGTCTCCTCTTTAACCATACACACACGCACACAATTTTCTGTATGTTTCCTTAGCACCCAGAAGTTATTCACTTTCAAAATGATCAGTCTTTTTACTGAAGCTTACTGGCTTTCCAACTAGTCCTAAATTGTGAGGCTTTACTGAAGTACTTGAGCATGTGAAGTGAACTGAGGAGGAAAATGGCTTTGCCGGCAGAGTTTGAGATGCAACGAGTACAAGCCATTTGCCTATGAAGAGGCTGTTTCCTCCCTCTCTCAGGGAGGACAAGTAGCCAGTCTGTGGTGACATCTGTTGTCTAGATGCACAGCTTTTCGATGCCTAAAAAAGATGCTTTGGGTGCAGGGGTGGAAAGACTTGGTTGTGCCTTAGTTTTCTTATCTTAGTCATTCCTGTTAACCTTAGAAAAAAGGTGAAAAACTTACTGAAAGATAAGAAACAATAAGACACAATTGTACATTATTAGGGATCCTATGCTTGGTAGAATTTTCGCAATGTAAATAAATTACATCTCAAGTTCTGATCCTTTTCAGCAGAAATTCTTTCCTCTCCCAAGTCTAGTCACTGAGAAGCAAAGTGCCGTTGCCTTTTATTTCTTCAATGCTTCTTTTTGGTGCCTGAATGCACACCAAGGAAGAGCTCCTCTCCAGAGCTTCACTGCATCATAGACTTGTGCAGGGGCCAGCCAGAGTGTTTCTCAAAATCTTTTAAGTCTCTGAATTATAAACAGAGCTAAATGGGACCTTGGAGATCATCTTGTCCAGCCCCCTCCTAGAGAAGGAGACTGAAGCTCAGAGTGGTTAAGTGACTTGCCCAAGGTCAACAGGATGCTGTGTTATTATTATTATGATTATTTTTGCATCAGGACTTGTGGGATCTGTAGTAACTATTCTCTTGGCCAATTATAATCACATCACTGGCATTGTTTTACGAGAAATAGCCCCGCTAGGCCCAGTCAGCAATAAGTCTTTGGAGCTGTCTCAGCCTGCAGTTGCTTTATATAAACCATCCCTTTTATGGGAGTTGAAGCACTGTATGAAAAGGGTTTTTGTCTCATGTTGACCTTGTTTAGTCACATTAACGCACACATCAGTTCCAGGCCCCATTCCATTCTCTGAACATCTTCTGACACACTGACAGTGCTGAGCAGAGCAAGGTTGGGTTCGCTCCTCTGGCAGAACCTCGGCTCTCAGGAGGTCCTTGTTCCAGGGAACAGCTGCTTCTCTGGGGCTGGGCTCTACTCCCTGCAGCCCCTCGCACTACCCAGCTGGAACCAGGGACAACGCCTGAGTCCAACCCTCGTGTCTATTTTCCAGAAAACGGGCAATGCTGTGAGAGCCATTGGAAGACTGTCCTCTATGGCAATGATCTCAGGGCTCAGTGGCAGGAAATCCTCAACAGGGTCACCAACCAGCCCGCTCAATGCAGAAAAACTAGAATCTGAAGGTAAGGAGGAGTTTCTCCAGCCAGCTGGTGAGAAAGAAAGGGCTGGGGAACAAAGGGGCATTTTGAGGTTTTGGTTGGTTTTGTTCTTTTTTTTTTTATTTTAATATTCCCTGCAAGGATAAATTCAGAAGTAATTTTGGGTTGCCCTGACAATTACTAAGTCTAATAATTATTCTTAATCGTTTAACTTTAAGCTTAACCATTTTCGGAGGGAAAGTTGTTATTTGTCTAATAGAACTAGATGACCTCAGCTATGCTTTTTCATATATTTTGTGTTAAAATTAACAAAGATTGTATTAAAATCTTCTTTTGTTCTTATGGCAAAAGTGATATTCTATATTAATAGGCAAAAATAACATTAAAATTACATGTAGTTGTGTAAGATTTATAAAATATTCTATTTTCTACCATCTTTGTGGTTTTGTTTTAAATAAAAATTAACTCATATGGTCCACATTCTTTGGCATTGTTCATGATGCTGAATCGTGTCATTTGAACTGGGCAGACTGGGACTGGCAGGTCTCCTCCTGGAGACTAATAGGGTCAGTTACTTGCTCACCATCTTAGATGCTGTCCCGTCCATCTCCTCAGTGAAAACCCCAGCCTTTTCCTGCTTCAGGTGCATGCAGGGCCAGACCCTTATCTCATTTGGCCAGAGACACCCTCTGTCCCTCCCTGCCTGGTGCTTTTTGTATCCACAGGTGAGAATCTGAGTTTAGATTCCCTTGGTGAGCAAAGGTAGGGTTATTGGTGAGGCCAGCAACTGCCTGCTCTGGAGCTTCCTCACAGCCAGGGATAGAGACTGCAGCACACAGGCCTGGTCCCTCCTGAGCCACTTCTGCCCCTCCTCAGATGACCCAGACATAGCCTGAAGGGAAGGGAGGAGATACAGGTGTCCCTCCAAGTTACAGCTTTTCCCTGAACCAATCCCACATCCTGGTCCACAGTCACACAGCATGAAGGCAGTGTGAGCATGGAGAAAGAGCCACTGGAAGCTAAAGATGCGGCTAGGACCTGACTCCTCCCTTGTAAAAAGCAGGTGGAACACCTGCTGCAGAAGGAAGGCAGAGGGATACCAAGACTAGGAAGGCTGATGAGGTCCTGCCCTGCTCAGATACCCTCAGCTGAATCCTAAAGCAGCATGAAATGCAGCCAGAAATCCTTTTTAAAGATGATTTCCTCTTTCAACATGTCAGCATAAGGGGAAGGGGGAGTCTGATCCTTCCTCAGCTTGGGCACAGTTCCTTCTTCTGCCAAAAACCATTTGGCAGCAGGCCAACCTGTCCCCAGGAGAAAGGCGTGCTTATGATTCAGTTCTCAAAGCTGCCTTCTTTGCTAAATCATAGCAACTTTTTTAAAAGTTAGTTTCTTTAAGCTAGAGGCGAGGCGAGAACAACGAGTGAAGAAATGACCTGGTCTTCTTCTCTGTCTTCTAGAAGATGTGTCCCAAGCTTTCCTTGAGGCTGTTGCTGAGGAAAAGCCTCATGTAAAACCCTATTTCTCTAAGACCATTCGCGATTTAGAAGTTGTGGAGGGAAGTGCTGCTAGATTTGACTGCAAGATTGAAGGTAAGTTGTAGCTGTGCTTCTCTTCACCATGAATAGGGTGTGGCTGGATGGTAGAGTCCCTACCATGCACCGTGGGCAAGAAGTCAGTTCTGTGCAGCTGGGGACAATGAGGAACTGCCAAGCTTTGGGGGAAACTGGGTCAGCAGGAGCTGCTCATAAAGGGCTATGCCCTGCACTCCCACCTCCTGAAGGTGTGTCCTTCAGTCACTTCCCCAGGGGGCACATTTGAAATTTCACCTACTTACATCAGCCACTAGACCTAAGTTTAGAAATGGCCTTGCATGGACTTACCTGGCTTTGGAACATGCTTAGTGAAATGAGCTTTGCAAACTGCTGAAAAGCATGTGACTTGCCCATATGAGGCCCTCAAAGGAAGGCTGGCACAAAGGCATAGGATGTGGAATCGGCAGGCTCTGCTACTCGTCCACAGGCTGTGTGACCTTGGATGGTGGTCCAACTCCCCTGAGTTACGGTCCCTCTGCTGTAAGATGATAGCTAAGTCACGGAGTGGCTCTGGGGATTCTGTGAGGGGACATATGTGAGAAGGGGGAACCTTTTAGATCTTGTAAAGATGTCACAGAGCAAAGGGAAAAGTTGTGGGACTGGCAGGTACAGAGAGAGTGCATGCATTGTGACTTCAGACTGAGGCCAGTTGGGAGCCAGGCACCCGGGACAAAGCACTCAGCCGGCACCATCTTCCCCAGGCTGCTTATCTGCCTGCTGGGAATAATGCAGCCACAGACCTGTCAGTGGTCAGAGCTCAAGGGACCTTAAGGGGTCATGGCATAGCACCTGAGAAATGAGCAAAGTTGATGACACAAAGCGTTTCCATTTTCATATAGATTGCAACCGTCTAGAAAGAGAAGGGACAAGATAAGACAGGCTCTTTGCTTCAAGTCTGTGACTTTCACCTGCCAACCAGGGTGGTGGGTTATCACCCATTTTGGTCTGACCAAATAAAGCACAGAAGTTTATTAGGCAACTTTCCCGAGGCCGCATAGCACAGTACAGCAGTCAAAACAAACTGTGCCTCCCACTTTCTTTGATTCTCCAGCAATGTGACTAGACAATGCCTTTTGAGTAAAATAACCCAAAGTTAGGAATGGAAAAAATAGTTTTTCTTCTGCATCTTTATATTATCAAAGTGCCTTATCAATGCTTCGCCTACCATAGTCATTTTCCTTTCCTCACTCAATTAAAAGAAAGTGGATGTGCTGCCTTTGATAATGTGAAAATTCTCGGACTGGGGATTCTGCTGAAGGCTCTGGAGCCACTGCTTGCAATTCTCACCATTACCATTGCATTTGGGTCTTCTGAAGTTTCTTTTCCTTTTTGAATGTTTTAAAATAACATAATGATTATCATTTTGTACTTAATTTTCTCTTTGGGATTGTTTCGTACTTAATTTTCTCTTTGGAATTGTTTCATTGATATTTATGTAACTTTTGCCTGGGGCTCTGATGAGAAATTAAAGCATATGGATGCTGTTTTGATAAAAACAAAATTGAAACTTTTGCACTGAGGGTGCAGGGCATGGGAGTGGAGGGTACTTTATGACCAGCTCTTCCTGACCCAATTTTCCTCATGGTCTGGGTGTTCCTAATTACTTCGAAAAAACAATTTCTAAAATTATTTTGAAAAAACAACATTGAAAAGAACATTAGAATTCTTGATTTCTTATGTATAATTTTTATTCTGGTTAGGGCTCATATTAGCCTGTTTGCATTGCTATAAAGGAATACCTGAGGCTGGAAAATTTATAAAGAAAAGAAGCTTATTTGGCTTGGTGCCAGTATCTGCATCCAGTGAGGCCTCAGGATGCTTTTAATCATAGCAGAAGCAGGCATGTCACATGGCAAGTGAGAGAGCGAGAGAGAAGGACGTGCCACGTTTTAACAACCAGATCCGCATGAAATGACAGAGCAATAACTCACCCATTACCTCGGGAAGGGCACCAAGACATTCATGAGGGATCGGCCTCCATGACCCAAACACCTCCCACCAGGCCCCACCTCCAACACTGGGGATCACATTTCAACATGAGATTCAAGGGGCACAAATATCCAAACCGTATCAGGGCTACAATTTTTTTCCTATAAAAATACTTCACCAACATTTAAGAGAAAGTCAGGTGGAATATATTGTATATTTTTAAATGTATGTATATATATGACTTTAAAAGCGGGGTACATGTATATACTATGTACCTGCAAACAAAATGCATAATGTTGGTAATGCTTCTGTACATATATATGTACACATACACATTAAATACATATAATATATATTTTATATGCATGTGTATTTTATTTTTTAATGCTGAACTTTGCAGAGATATGACTAATGCATAAAGGCTCATTGGTGAGGTCCATTTCCAATTGTCCATAGGCAAATTACCTGCTTTGGATCAGACTAAGACAAATATTGCTTTCTTCTTCTTAGCAATATTATCAGCTCTTTTAAATTATGTTTTATATAGCTGTTATTAGCTTTATTCAGTTATAATTTATATACTATAAAATTCACCTATTTTAAATGCACAATTCAATTATTTTTAATGAATTTATACCACAATCCAATTTTAGAACATTTTCATCACTCCAAAAAGATCCCTTGTTCCCATTTTGTTTTGACTCTTATTTTTCATTTAAATTATTTCACTTAAACTATTATACAAAATTGAAAATTTAGGCTGGGCATAGTGGCTCACGCCTGTAATCCCAACACTTTGGAAGGCCAAGGCAGGCAGATCACTTGAGTCCAGGAGATCAAGACCAGCCTGGGCAACATGGTGAAACCCTATCTCTACAAAAAATACGAAAATTAGCTGGGTGTGGTGGTGTGTACCTGTAGTCTGAGCTATGCAGTAGGCTGAGGTGGAAGGATCACTTGAGCCTGGACATTGGAAGTTGCAGTGACCCGAGATCATGCTGCTGCACTCCTGCCTAGGCAACATAGTGAGACTCTGTCTCAAAAAAAAAAAAAGATAGAAAATTGTATTTTCGGCCGAGCACAGGTAGCTCACACCTGTAATCCCAGCACTTTGGGAGGCCAAGGCAGGCAGATTACCTGAGGTCAGGAGATACAGACCAGCCTGGTCAACATGCTGAAACCCTGTCTCTACTAAAAATACAAAAATTAGCCGGGTGTCGTGGCGTGCACCTGTAATCCCAGCTACTCAGAAGGCTGAGGCACAAGAATCACTTGAACCAAGGAGGCGGAGGTTACAGTGAGCCAAGATCACGCTACTGCACTCCAGCCTGGGCGACAGAGTGAGACTCTGTCTCAAAAAAAAAAGGAAAAAGAAAATTGTATTTTCAATCTAAGAAGGTATTCAGATCTAGGTGTAGAGTTGGAATTGGAGCAGTATTTCAGGTAGTACTCTATTTTTAATTTTTATTTTTTTGCCATGTTGGCCAAGCTGGTCTTGAACTCCTGCCCACCTTGGCCTCCCAAAGTGCTGGGATTACAGGTATGAGCCACCATGCCTAGCCTCAGGTAGTACTCTATGTCTGTTTAAAGATGGGTGGGTGTGGTGGCTCACACCTGTAATCCCAGCACTTTGGGAGGTCAAGGTCAGAGGATCACTTGAGCCCAGGAGTTTGAGACCAGCCTGGGCAACATAGGGAGACCCTGTCTTTACAAAAAAAAAACTTTTTAAAAAATTAGCCAGGCATGGTGGCATGTACCTATAGCTCCAGCTACTTGGGAGGCTGAGGGAGGAGGATCACTTGAGCCCAGGAAGTTGAGGCTGCAGTGAGCCATGTTCATGCCACTGCACTCCAGCCTAGGTGATAGAATGAGACCCTGCCCCCCTACCCCCCAAAAAGTGAAAGGTGTGATGTTTAACTGAGCACGGTCGCTCATGCCTATAGTCTCACTACTCAGGAGGCTGAGAAGGGAGGATCGTTTGAGCCCAGGAATTTGAGCAACAGTAAGCTACGATCATGCCACTACACTCCAGCCTAGGCAACAGAGTGAGACTCATCACTTTAAAAAAATAAAAAAACTATTAAATAAGTTTTTTAATAGGTGGGATGTGGTGCTAGTCCAACATGTGTGGGAAATGGAACAACTTTAAAATATTCTATTTGGGGTTTCAGATATTGGTATTTACAAGACATGTCCATATTCTAATGTAGATATCAAAACAGTCGATAAAGGCCAACATCAAAATTTTCTCCTTAACCACCTTAATCAATAGTGGTAGCTTACAAGTTGCTTGCATGAGTTGATAAGAAATTTTGAATAACAGTTCCTGCAACTTGTGTTCTCTCCCTGTGATGCAGGATACCCAGACCCCGAGGTTGTCTGGTTCAAAGATGACCAGTCAATCAGGGAGTCCCGCCACTTCCAGATAGACTACGATGAGGACGGGAACTGCTCTTTAATTATTAGTGATGTTTGCGGGGATGACGATGCCAAGTACACCTGCAAGGCTGTCAACAGTCTTGGAGAAGCCACCTGCACAGCAGAGCTCATTGTGGAAACGATGGAGGAAGGTGAAGGGGAAGGGGAAGAGGAAGAAGAGTGAAACAAAGCCAGAGAAAAGCAGTTTCTAAGTCATATTAAAAGGACTATTTCTCTAAAACTCAAAAAAAAAAAAAAAACTCAAGATAGTAAAAGCACCTAGTGTGATAGATTATCGGTTAGGTCATTTGTGGGTTGATTCTTCAGAAACAGCAGTTGATACCTAGCAGCGTTATTGATGGGCATTAATCTATGTTAGTTGGCACCTTAAGATACTAGTGCAGCTAGATTTCATTTAGGGAAATCACCAGTAACTTGACTGACCAATTGATTTTAGAGAGAAAGTAACCAAACCAAATATTTATCTGGGCAAAGTCATAAATTCTCCACTTGAATGCGCTCATGAAAAATAAGGCCAAAACAAGAGTTCTGGGCCACAGCTCAGCCCAGAGGGTTCCTGGGGATGGGAGGCCTCTCTCTCCCCACCCCCTGACTCTAGAGAACTGGGTTTTCTCCCAGTACTCCAGCAATTCATTTCTGAAAGCAGTTGAGCCACTTTATTCCAAAGTACACTGCAGATGTTCAAACTCTCCATTTCTCTTTCCCCTTCCACCTGCCAGTTTTGCTGACTCTCAACTTGTCATGAGTGTAAGCATTAAGGACATTATGCTTCTTCGATTCTGAAGACAGGTCCCTGCTCATGGATGACTCTGGCTTCCTTAGGAAAATATTTTTCTTCCAAAATCAGTAGGAAATCTAAACTTATCCCCTCTTTGCAGATGTCTAGCAGCTTCAGACATTTGGTTAAGAACCCATGGGAAAAAAAAAATCCTTGCTAATGTGGTTTCCTTTGTAAACCAGGATTCTTATTTGTGCTGTTATAGAATATCAGCTCTGAACGTGTGGTAAAGATTTTTGTGTTTGAATATAGGAGAAATCAGTTTGCTGAAAAGTTAGTCTTAATTATCTATTGGCCACGATGAAACAGATTTCAACTGATAAAGAGCTGGAGAACTCCATGTACTTTGGAATCTCCTCCAAGATAGCCAGAGTTTAATACATCTTCATTCTCAACACTCTCCAAAGAACTTGACCTACCTTATGGGTTCCATATTTTTCTTCTTAAATGTGCATCAATCATGCCTTGCCCCCAACCTTTAAATATATTCTTAGACCTGGTAAATGCACTCAGACTTGCGTCTTTAGGAATTTTTAACTTTCTTTCACTACATTGGCACTTAAATTTTTTCTTTATAAAGCTTTTTGAAGGTCATAAACAAAGACCATAATTGATGATAGACCTAATACATTTCCTCTGTGTGTGTGTGTAACATTCCAAATACTTTTTTTTTCTTTTCCACTGTTTGTAAGGTGCAACAATTTAATATTTTTAAGGGACTTTTTAAGAGTTCCTTAAGAACCAATTTAAAATTACTTCAGTGCAATCCTACACAGTATCAACATTAGAATTTTGATATTAGTCTTATGTTATCTTCCATTCTATTTTTATCTGCTTTTTGCTGCTAGTTTCAAACTGCCAGTATTTTTCCTTTTGCTTTTAAAATAGTTACAATATTTTTCATGATAGCCACAGTATTGCCACAGTTTATTATAATAAAGGGTTTTTATTTGATTTAGCGCATTCAAAGCTTTTTTCTATCACTTTTGTGTTCAGAATATAACCTTTGTGTGCGTGTATGTTGTGTGTGTGCATGTGTGGCGTATATGTGTGTTACAGGTTAATGCCTTCTTGGAATTGTGTTAATGTTCTCTTGGTTTATTATGCCATCAGAATGGTAAATGAGAACACTACAACTGTAGTCAGCTCACAATTTTTAAATAAAGGATACCACAGTGCATGCTGTTTGTTCAATCTTTGCAGACTTCTCTTTCTTTCCATGCTACCAGTTGTAAAGGACACAGCTATATCCTGGAAATGAAAAACAAACACTGTGGTGCCTAGATGTGAAGAACTGGCTTATGTGGTTGTGTTTTGCTATGGAACAGAATGATTTAGGAAGTTCTTGTTTATATAGGTAGCCGAATTTACACATTTAGTTCAAAATTTCTCTTGAGCATCAGCTTAGTACTATATCAATCATTCTAGAAGGATATCTTATAGAGCAGGTGTCCCCAACCCCCGGTAAGTAGCCTGTTAGGAACCAGGTCACACATAAGGAGGTTAGCAGTGGGCAAGTGAGCAAAGCATCATCTATATTTACAGCCGATCCCCATTGCTCGCATTACCGCCTGAGCTCTGCCTCCTGTCAGATCAGCGGCAGCATCAGGTTCTCTCAGGAACGAACTCTATTGTGAACTGCTCATGTGAGGGATCTAGGTTTCACGCTCCTTATGAGAATCTAACACCTGATGATCTGTCACTGTCTCCCATCACCCCTAGATGGGACAGTCTAGTTGCAGGAAAACAAGCTCAGGGCTTCCACTGATTCTACATTATGATGAGTTGTATACTTATTTTATATTATAATAAAATATATTATTACAATGTAATAATAATAGAAATAAAATGCACAATACATGTAATGTGCTTGAATAATCCCAAAACCACCCCCTCTCCTGGTCCATGGAAAAACTGTCTTCCATGAAAGTGGTCCCTGGTGCCAAAAAGGTTAGGGACCACTGTTACAGAGTATCAGGTCCTCAAGATGCTAAAATCTATATGACATTTTTAACATGTGACATTATCATCATCATCATCATCATCATCACTGATGATACTATTTACCAGGGCATGGTTTGAATTGGTGACTTTGGTGCAGTTCATTATTGGCAGCCAAATGCTTTATCCATACCTTCATATTGAAGAATTTGTTATCAGGAAACTACCAGTCCTGCTTTACAGGAAGTCTGTTATCAGATATCAGATGGCAAGTTCCCCATGTCTTCAGATGTTCAAACAATATTGTGGATGGTCTAGAAAGAGTTTAAGACATGCTGTTAAATGTAGGGCTAGATAATTCTCTGATTCTTTGATGTAGTCTGGAAAGAAACAATCCATTGTCCAGTTAATAAATATTTAGTGTTTTCATTTTTAAGACACTCACAATCCACAAATGTCCCTAACAATTTATTATTTTTAAAGAAAATGACTTTTTATTCCTTGCTAGTGAAAAATGTACAATTTATATGCTGCACTGAGAAAAATAACAGATATACTTTCTTCCATTCATTTTCATCCCAAACATATAAAAAATAATCCATTGATTGTTCCTTGCATTGCATATCTTATTAAAAGATATTTCCTACATGCAACTAATAAGACATGCTGACTGTTGTCAGCTCTAAATTTATGTAAAGATTTTTTATTTTTGTTAAAATGTTTGAAATTTGCTTTTTGCTCCACACCTCACCTGTTTTTGATAAATCTGTGCTAATAAGTACATAGGAGGTAATAAATAATTGAGTTGTGAGAAACCCAATTCTCCATTTTTCAAGAAAACACAAGTAGCACTACTCTCTTTATCCCTTGGGACTCCTTCCTGTAATTTGAAAGGGGGGGCTAATGTTGGTGGCAGTTGTTGCTAAGGATCTCTGCACAGAGTTAGGGCTTCACTCTCGGCTTCCTGGTTAGATGGGGCCATGTGACTAGTCCTAGTCAGTGAGCTGTGACCAGAAGTGATGTATGTACCCTCGGGACCAGAGCATTTATGTGCTGGTACAAGCCTCTCCATAATGACGGGCAACACATGAGATGGTGGCTGCTGCAGCCATCTGGGTCTCTAGCCAACCCAAAATGGGGACATAACACAAGCAAGAAATAAACATTTGTTCTTATAAATCACCAAGATTTTGGGGTTCTCAGTGGCTGCAACATAACCTAGACTATCCTGATACAGGCTTATCACCATGTTCTGGATGTGTGGTGACCAGGATGGTAGCCACTACTCACAAGTGGCTATTTAAATTTAAGTTACTTTAAAAAATAAAATAAAAAATTCAGTTCCTCAGTTGTATGAGTTACATTTCAAATGCTCGACAGTCACATGTACATCACTTTTCAAATTATGTGAAATTAAAACTGAAAAGCTTGTGTGAAAGTCTAGAGAGTATGGTCTATAGTTTCATCAATTGTATTGGATAATATAGTCTCGATACTCAAGTGTTGTTGTTCTTAATTCTTTATTTATATTCAAATATAGTTTTTCACTTTTTAAGACATTTTAAAGGCTGGGTACAGTGGTACACACCTGTAGTCCCAGCACTTTGGGAGGCCAAGGCAGGAGAATCGCTTGAGGCCAGAAGTTCAAGACCAGCCTGCACAACATAGCAAGACCCCATCTCTATTTCTTTAAAAAAAATTAATTAAAAAATAAAAAGACATTTTAAAAGTACCAGTTCTGGCCAGGCGCGGTGGCTCACGCCTGTAATCCCAGCACTTTGGGAGGCCAAGGCAGGCGGATCACGAGGTCAGGAGATCGAGACCATCCTGGCTAACACGGTGAAACCCCGTCTCTACTAAAAATACAAAAAATTAGCCGGGCGTGATGGCGGGCGCCTGTAGTCCCAGCTACTCGGGAGGCTGAGGCAGGAGAATGGCATGAACCCGGGAGACAGAGCTTGCAGTGAGCGGATATTGCGCCACTGCACTCCAGCCTGGGCGACAGAGTGAGACTCCATCTCAAAAAAAAAAAAAAGTACCAGTTCTATGCTTCTGACCTCAAAATCTAAATAGTCCTGCAATTCACAAGCAACTCTCAGATTATTTCTGATATGAGACAACCAACAAGGCCAACATTCTCCAACGTCTTTGGAATTTGCTACTTGAGATGGGGGATCACCAGTGGGGACTATGAGATGGATGCAGAAAGGGAGACAGGGCTGCTGAGGCAGAATTTCCTCAACCATGGGTCAAAAGGCAGAGGAGCCATCCTGAGGCTACAATCCTTCCAAACTCAGCTGCCTTTTATCAGAACTCCCTTCCCACTGGAATTCAAAACACTCAGGAGATCTAAAGTGCTTGGGGACAACATTGAATTTCTAACCGCTGCTGGCTGGAGATTTTAGCCCATAGGCCTTACCCGTGTTCCAAATGCTTATACCCTGCAGGAAGCGCTTCATGTCAGAGACTTCAGTCCCCCGAGTCTCTGTTTGAGGCCTGTGGTAAATTTTCACAAGATATTTTGTGACTCTCTTAGACTAGATTTCTTTCGGCTGGAGATAACTAAGGGAGAAGGAGGTTACAAATTAACCTAAGTCAATTTGGTCATTCATATTTATTATTAATAACATCTTTAAGGCAGGTATCAGTAGCCTCCAATAGTTAAGATAAGATTGAGCTATGGGGCTTCTCCACAACCACGCTTCAGGTGGTATGTTTCAAAGATAGTCTCAGGCCAAACTTGTCAAACACCTATTAGCCAGCAGCCATACAACCGATTCTGCAAGCTCCATGAAGTCCCAGATATGCCTCTCCAGAAAGCACCTTGCATGTTGTCACTGAAGGCAAATCCTGCAGTGTGCTTGGGTAGGAGGCAGCTAACCTGGTTAATCAGTGGAGTCAGTTCCTCTTGGTGCTATCCTAGGAACCAACTTGTCCAACTTACCCACCATTTTCATTCCCTCTGTAAAATAAGTTACTACCTCTTACCTCTACCTCTTACTACAGCTGTGTAGCTTGTGCCTCAGTTTCCACAGTTATAAAATTAGAGTTATAGTAGTTCCTCACTCATGGCTTGATAGAAAGATTAAACAAGCTCTATGTGCCTGACCTTATGGTACGCCCTCATTCTGGCACTCAGAGATGCTAAGATGTATCAGAAACAATCTCTACTCTGAAAGAACAGATTACATTTCTGCAGGAAAAAAAAAACCCCAAATATGTGAAAAAGTTATATTCAGTCAGCCCTCTGTATCCATGCATTCCAAATCTATGGATTCAATCAACTGGAGATGAAAAATATTTGGTGGGAGGCTAGGTGTGGTGGCTCGTGCTTGTAATGCTAGCACTTTGGGAGGCCGAGGTGGGCAGATCACCTGAGGTCAGGAGTTCAAGACCAGTCTGGCCAATATGGTGAAACCCTGTCTCTACTAAAATATAAAAATTAGCTGAGCATGATGGCAGGTGCCTGTAATCCCAGCTACTAAGGAGGCTGAGACAGGAGAATTGCTTGAAACCGGGAGACAGTGGTTGCAGTGAGCCGAGATCACACCACTGCACTCCAGCCTGGGTGGCTGAGCGAGATGCTGTCCCCAAAAAAAAAAAAAAATATATATATATATATATATATATATATATATATATATATATATATATATAAATAAACTATATATGTAAAATTATATATAATATATAAAATATATATTATATATAATATATAAAATATATATACTATATATCATATATATTATATTATATATTATATATAAAATATATTATTATATTTATATATTATATATAAAATATATATATAATATAAAATATAGTATATAAAATGTAAAATATATATAGTATATAAAATATAAAATATATATAGTATATAATATAAAATATATAGTATATAATATAAAATATATATAGTATATATAATATAAAATGTATAGTATATATAATATAAAATGTATAGTATATATAATATAAAATATATAGTATATATAATATAAAATGTATAGTATATATAATATAAAATATATAGTATATATAATATAAAATATATATTATATATTATATATAATATAAAATTATATATTATAAAATATATATTATATATAATATAAAATATATATTATAAAATATATATTATATATAATATAAAATATATATTATATATATTATATAATATATAATATATATTTGGGGGTGGGGAGTTCCACAAAATTCCAAAAAGCAAAACTTGAATTTGCTGTTCACCTAGTACTACATTGAATCTATGTGAAAGAAGTGATGTGTAGGCATTGTATTAGGTATTATAAGTAATCTAGAGATGATTTAAAGCATACAGGAAAATGTGCATAGGTTACATGCAAATACTACATATGCCATTTTATATAAGGGACTTGAGCAACTGCAGATTTTGTTATCTGTGGGGGTGTCCTGGAACCAATACCCCACTAACAACTGTACTAAAGATGGAAGGTATTATTTTAAGTTCTACCCACCTCCCAAAAAAA
The DNA here is from genome assembly GCF_000001405.40 of Homo sapiens. Classification (NCBI taxonomy): domain Eukaryota; kingdom Metazoa; phylum Chordata; class Mammalia; order Primates; family Hominidae; genus Homo; species Homo sapiens. The sequence goes on along the minus strand of NC_000003.12, from coordinate 123,607,040 downwards.
AGGATCTTTGAAACTGAAAGTGCCATGCAATTGTACAAAAAAACAATTGCTGTGAGTTTAGGAAATGTTACAAATCTAAATCTCGTTCTAAGGAAAATTTTAACTTCCAATCCCTAAATATTCCCTTCTTAACAGTCAAAGGAGAAAAGCTCATCTGACCTTATGAATATTATTTTTCTATCAAGAGGAAATTTCCCAGAGTTAGCTTGACTTAAACTAATTACACTTTAAGTTTTATCCTGACACATCCCCTAAGTTCTAATTGATATTTGCAAAAGCTGACTTACATTGACTTGTTTCTGGCTGCATATTAACCACAGAACAAATAGGGCTCTGAAGGCTGAGTAGATGTCTTTTTCAAATTGTCTAGAAAGCTAAAAACTGAGACTCCTGTTTTCAGAAGAATCAGGAGATGAAGGAAATATCAGCTTAGGAAATAGGAACCTACCACAGTAGAGAGAAAGTCAAACATGAATTACTCAAGAGAAGCAGTGATTCTCTACCCCTCAGAACTTCCATTAAACTGATAGTAAAGGGATAACAATGTTTTTAAAAAAGATGTCCCCGGTGTGTGATGTTCCCCTTCCTGTGTCCATGTGTTCTCATTGTTCAGTTCCCATCTGTGAAGGTAACAAACCTGCACATTGTGCACATGTACCCTAAAACTTAAAGTATAATAATAATAAAATAAAATAGAGATATAAACTCTTCAAATATAAAGACAAATACAGGTGATGATAGATGGAAAATGTCAGAATTATGGAAGATGGAAAACAAAGAATGGATAACTGACGTAGAGCAGAGAAACTGAAGCTAACATCCTGCATTGGAGGAAGCCAACAGAAAGACAAGTCAGTCTGCCCTGAATTCCCCAAAGGCTAGAGGCTAGACAGCCAGGTACCTATGAAAGGGAGCCTCACAAGGTATGACTCATACATGCAAACCAAGGTCTTTGAGGTCAAAGCAGCTCAAAAGTCCACTAGGAGATAAAGGCAGAGGCAGGGATTGTTGGGAGTTAGGACAGAGCAGGGGCCAAGAGTCAGGAGGTTACTCTGGACTCTTCGATACTACCCATGTCAAAGTGCAGAAAAGACTCTGATCCCAGAAAGGCAGTTGTTTGCTTAAGGCTTTTTAAAACACCGATTAGGCTGGGCACGGTGGTTCCCAACTGTAATCTCAGCACTTTGGGAGGACAAAGCGAGAGTATTCCTTGAGCCTTGAAGACCAGCCTGGGAAACATAGGGAGACCCCGTCTCTACAAAAAAAAAAATAAAAACAAAAATAAATTGTGTTTTAATTAGCCGGGTGTCATGGTATGTGTCTGTAGTCCCAGCTTCTTGGGAGGCTGAAGAGGGAGGATTGCTTGGGCCTGGGAGATTGAGGCTGCAGTGAGCTGTGATCACGCCACTACACTCCAGCCTGGGCAAAAAGAATGAAACCCCATTCTTTTCTAAAGAAAAAAAAAAAAAGACAGATTAGCTTCTTTAAAGTTAAATTGGTTGTCCAAGAAGCCAAATCATTTAGACTTTCAATAATGCACCCTCTTAATGAATGCCTTATATTCATTTATTTAAAATAGAAACTCAGTTGACTAATCTCCATTTAATCCAACTTGCCCAACTTAACCACAACTCTCATTCCTTCTGTAAAATGACTAATGCCCGCATACTTCTGTCCCCACTAACTGAGGTGCATATTTACCAAGAGTCAAAATGTGTTTGTTCTTTTTTTTTTTTTGAGACAGAGTCTCACTCTGTCGCCCAGGCTGGAGTGCAGTGGCGCAATCTCGGCTCACTGCAAGCTCCACCTCCCAGGTTCACACCATTCTCCTGCCTTAGCCTCCACTACAGGCGCCTGCCACCACGCCCGGCTAATTTTTTTGTATTTTTAGTAGAGACGGGGTTTCACCGTGTTAGCCAGGATGGTCTCGATCTGCTGACCTCGTGACCCACCAGTCTCGGCCCCCCAAAGTGCTGGGATTACAGGCGTGAGCCACCACGCCCGGCCAAAATGGGTTTGTTCTTAAACTTATTTATGCCAGTTGTACTTGTCATTGTAATTATATCATTTGATTAAGTATTACATAAAGCAACAAAAATCGAGTACTAAGGAGAAAAGTCCTTGTTTCTATGGAAGCTAAATTGAGACCACTTGTCATGCCCGGCAGATTGAACACCTGCATTTTCTCCTGTTTCTCCCAAAACCTAAATAAAGGAACAAAAGGCATAAATCCATAAGGGCAAAGAATGAGAAAGGAGATACATTAGAGTTGAGATGTCAGCAAAATTTTGGAATAGGCTAATTGGTAATTAAGTTTCAACTTTTTCCATTCTGCAAGTGTCTGCAGGGGAGAAAGCCTCAAAAACAAGGTGATTCAGGCTGGGTGTGGTGGTGCATATCTGTAATCCTAGCTACTCGGGAGGCTGAGGTGGGAGGATCGCTTGAGCCCAGGAGTTCAAGGCTTTAGTGAGCTATGATCATGCCACTGCACTCCAGCCTGGGCAACAGAATGAGACCCTGTCTCAAAAACACAAATGAAAAAGGCAAGGTAATTCCTACCACAGAATTAGCAAAAGCAGGGGAACTAGATATTCCCCTCATCTCCTCCTCCTCTAGCCCATATGGCCAGCTGACAGTTCCTCCCCTCGACCCTGGCAGGAAAGTGGATCTTTTAAAGTTGGACTGGAGAGACCACGGACTGGTGGACAATAGGCACAACTTGGTGGGTGAGAGGGAGGCAACTGAGAAAACTCAGGGACTGGGGAGAGTCTGCACACTGACCTTTGAAACTCCAGCCCTCTCCTACTGCTTGGCTGCCACAACTCTGACTACAGGGCAAGACTGGCTACAGAATTTGCAGGGCCCAGTGCAAAATAAAAATGTAGGGCTCCTTGTTTAAAATAAAATTTTCAAGATGGCAAAATTTCTCTTAAATGGTCCAATACTGTGATAAATTTAGTAAGAGTTAAATCTTGAATCCCAAATCTAAGTCAGTTACACAATTTATATGTTAAATTGGAATCACAGGCTAATCTATTTCTCTAATATGCCTTTTTTTTTTTTTTTTTTTTTTTTTTTTGAGCAGAGCATTAGAACAAGTGTGAGGTCCTTCTAAGAGCAGGGCCCTGTGAGACTGCATGGGATGCTGGCCCATGAAGCCAGCCCTGCTGCAGGTTATTCTTGCACAAGCAAGGGATTGAAGGACTGTTCTTGGAAACTGGACAATCTAGAGAAATGACCCACATATACTGTCATATGGGAATTTCTCAATAAAAACATCCAATTCTCATCAAATTGTCAATGTGGGTACTTTATGCATTTAATGGCAATTTTTTGCACACAGAAAAATTATTCAGAGACCAGTTTGTTCTTTTTAATTCATATTTTACCTATTGCAATTTTTAAAACCTAGTTCTTCCTTAAACTTTTAAATTCAATTTCCAGATCTGATTTGGTAGGTTTATAAAATCTACCAAAATGCAATATTAACTTTTAAGGGAATTTTTAGCATCTAATTAATTAATTCCCTTAATCATTTTTAAATCATGTTCATAAATGTAATAAACACCTGTAATCCTAGCTACCTGGGAGGCTGAGGTGGGAGGATTGCTTAAGGCCAGGAGTGCAGTGAGGTATGTTTGTGCCACTGCACTCCAGCCTGGGCAACAGAGTGAGACTCTGTCTCAAAAAACAAACAAACATGGCTGGGTGCAGTGGTGCACATCTGTAATCCCAGCACTTTCAGAGGCTGAGGTGGGCAGATCACTTGAGGTCAGGAGTTCAAGACCAGCCTGGCCAAATGGTGAAACTCCGTCTCAATAAAATAATTAGCCGGGTATGGTGGTGCATGCCTGTAATCCCAGCTACTCAGGAAGCTGAGGCAGGAGAATCTCTTGAACCCAGGAGGCGGAGGTTGTAGTGAGCTGATATGGCCTCACTGCATTCCAGCCTGGGTGACAGAGTGAGACCCTGTCTCAAAACAAACAAACAAACAAACAAATGAAAATTATTACTAGTGTATAATAATTTCATTTTCATTTTAAATTCTTCAATTGGCTTATAACAAAACTTCCCAAGAAAAGCTCCTACAAATAACTTCTCAAATGAAATGTCTCATGATAATTAAATTTATAAATACAATAAGACTTAATGTCACTTAAATGGTCCAATACTGTTATAAATTTAGTAAGAGTTAAATCTTGAATCCCAAATCTAAGTCAGTTACACAATTTATATGTTAAATTGGAATCACAGGCTAATCTGTTTCTCTAATATGCCTTTTTATTTTTATTTTTTTTTGAGCAAGGTACCGTCCAGGCTGGAATACAGTGGTGCTGTCATAGCTCATGGCAGCCTCAAACTCCTGGACTCAAGCAATCCTCCTGCCTCAGCCTCCCAAGTAGCTCAGGACTACATGCATGCATTATCATGCCTGTAATGAGAAAAACCTGGAATCATATAGAAAAACCTTCCCCCAAGCTGGGAGGGAGCCAAGAGACCAAACAATGACTCAGACAAGTCCAGTTTGGCAAGTAGATGAGTTTATTAGGACTTATATAGGAGGTACTCCCGGACAGCAGCAGGACAGCTTTAGAGGCCCATGCTGCCTCCCATCCCTATGCTGCTTTTAAACTAATTTTCTGGCTCTTTGCCTACTGTGTGTGTTATGGGACTTTTTTCCCAGGTAGGTTCTCAGATACTCTCTGGAATGTTTGGGTTCTCAGGGACACCTGCTCCTTGACAGGACAGAACAAGACCCCATCTCTAAAAAAAGAATAAAAAGGAGTACCTAAAATAAGGATTTTAACTAACATTTAATACCATATGTTTACTTTGTAACTTTTCTAAATTCTAAATTTCATAAAGTTAAAGAAAGTTGTTTATTTGAAGAAACATTGCCTTTCCACTTAGGGGAACATCATCTTCTCAGCTGGCTGAGTTTACTCTGACCAAACACTTCAGCTGAGCATGAGACTTGGAATTATAAGACACCCTGGAAATATTTCTTGTGACTCTGATTGCCGAGCTAAGTTCCTTTCTGTAGTCACTACATTCTGGACTCTAAAATCCAGTCCTTGAGTTTCAGTCCTAAATATTCCTTTATTCCTGGAGTTTGCAACCCCAAATAAGATTGTAGCTAGGACAGGCACAGTAATCCCAGCACTGAGAGGCCAAGGCGGGTGAATCATTTGAACCCAGGAGTTCAAGACCAGCCTGGGCAACATGGTGAAACCCTGTCTCTAATAAAAATACAAAAAATCTGCTGCGTGTGGTGGTGTGTGCCTGTAGTCTCAGCTACTCGGGAGGCTAAGATGGGAGAATTACCTGAGCCCAGGAGGCTGACGCTGCAGTGAGCCATGATCTGCCACTGCATCCAGCCTGAGTGACAGAGTGAAAACCTGTCTCAAAAAAAATATTGTAGCTAACATCTTTCATCACTACTTGGTTTTACATTTCTTCAATTATCCTTAGATATGTAATGTTTTCCAACTACCTGTAAAGATACTTATGGTCATTCCATTGGATCCTCAGGATTCTTATTTAAGTCTGTGTGCTAGTCAAGGTTCTCTAGAGGGACAGGACTAATAGGATAAATGTGTATATGAAAGGGAGTTTATTAGGGAGTATTAGCTCACATAATCACAAGGTGAAATCCCACAATAGGCTGTCTGCAAGCTGAGGAGCCAGGAAGCCAGTCCGAGTCCCAAAACCTCAAAAGTAGGGAAGCTGACAGTGCAGCCTTCAGTCTGTGGCCAAAGGCCCAAAAGCCCCTGGCAAACCACTGGTGTAAGTCCAAGAGTCCAAAAGCTGAAGACCCTGGAATCTGATGTTCAAGGGCAGGAAACATCCAGTACAGGAGAAAGATGGAGGCCAGAAGACTAAGCCAGTCTAGTCCTTCCACTTTCCTCCTCCTGCTTTTATCCTAGCCACCCTGGCAGCTGATTAGATAGTGCTGGCAGCTGATTAAGGGTTGGTCTGCCTCTCCCAGTCCACTGACTCAAATGTTAATCTCCTTTGGCAACACCCTCACAGACACACCCAGGAAGAATACTTTGCATCCTTCAATCCAATCAAGTTGACACTCAATATTAACCATCACAGTCTGTTAAAACCTTTTTGGAGTTGGTAGAATCCCAAAATGTTTTCATGTCCTTCTTCATGGTAGGGTCACACCCCTATGGACATTAAATGATATCCAACCGAATTCTGCATTATCATGGATTTGTCAGATAGTGCTAAGGTCATTCTAATGACTGTGAGCATTCTACAGCAAGGCCCACAGTAAACAGGCCCCAGCTAGTCACACAGTTTCAGTTTTTAGTGCTTCACTCTTAAATACAGGCAAACAACTAAATAACATCAGATATTTGAGGAAAATTTTCTAACACAAAAGACAAAGAGGACAACGAGCATTAAAAAGAACTTGGAAGAAATAGAGATCATATAGGGAGGAAAGGAAAACAATAATTCATATCCTCAAAGAAATTTAAGAAAATAGTATACCCAAAACCAAACAGGATGCTATATACAAAAAATAAAAATGAAAAATTAAAGCAGCATTCAAAGAATTAGGTTGGAAAACATAATTATAGAAATCTCCCAGGAAGAAATAAAAAAAGAGGCCAGACACAGTGGCTGACAGCTGTAATCTCAGCACTTTGGGAGGCTGAGGCAGGCGGATCAACTGAGCCCAAGATTTCAAGACCAGCCTGGGTAACATAATGAAACCCCATCTCTACAAAAAATTTAAAAAAAATTAGACAGGTGTGGTGGTGTGTGCCTGTAGTTCCAACCACTTGGGAGGCTGAAGTAGGAGGATCACTTGAGCCCAGGAGGTCAAGGTTACAGTGAACTGTGGTTGTACCACTGCACTCCAGCCTGGGTGACAGAGTAAGACCCTGTCTCAGAAAAAAAGGAAGAGGAGAAGGACGAGGAGGAGGAGGAGAAGGAGGAAGAGGAAGATTAGGAAGGGGAGGAGGAGGAAGGAGAAGAGGAGGAAGAAAGAAGAAAAAGGAAGAAGAAAAAATAAGAAGGAGGAGGAAGAGTGGGGGGGGAAGGGAAGAAAAACAAGAAGATGACAATGAACAACAGAAGAGAAAAGATAAAAGAATCAGAAGAGGTCCAATATATAAACAACAGAACACTAGAGAGAAAAGAGAAAATGGGGCAGAAGTAGAAGTCAATATCCTACCTCACAAAATATTAATTGTCTAGGTCAGTGGTTCTCAAAGTTTGGTTTGGAACTCCAAGACCATTTCAGGGAGAACATGAAGTCAATACTACTTTAATAATAATGCTAACTTGTTATTTGTCTTTTTCACCCTCTTTCACCAACAAATGTAGAAGGGAGTTTTCCAGAGTCTACCTGATGCGTAACGAAGTCATCATTGTGAGGGTTTATATTTTCTTGTGATTTTACATTTCTTAGTTCTAATTTCTAATATGGTAAATAATACATAGTTATAAGCCACATTAGAAAAAGTTCTTTAGGATCTTCAATAACTTTTAAGAGTTTGAGAACCACTATTCTAGGTGATCATTTATTCTAAATATAGCTAAGCACATTCCTTTGAAGCTCCTATACAACACCCAAAATGCAACCTATATTACTATTGTCTCCTCTTCCTTTTCTCTGAGCTTCCCACTAAAAATTCCACTCATATGAAAACATCAAAGAATTTACTGACTTTGTAAGGGTTGTGGATAAAGGAGTTTATATCAATCAGCATTTCACTTCAAACCCCCGCAAGACCTGCCTCTTCTCCCAAGTTTCCCTGTTTTTACTTTTCCCCCATGCTCTCTCTGGTTTTGTCTGGTGCAGTGGAGTACAGTGGCCCACTCAAGGCTCACTGCAGCCTCGACCTCCTGGGCTCAAGCTATCCTCCTACCTCAGTCCCCTGAGTAGCTGGTACTACAGGTGCCCACCACCACACCTGGCGAATTTTTGTATTTTTTGTAAAGATGGGGTTTCACCATGTTGCCTAGGCTAGTCTCAAATTCTTGGGCTCAAGCAGCCCACAGGTCTCAGCCTCCCAAAGTGCTGACACTACAAGTGTGAGCCACCTTGCCCGGCCTCCATCCTTTCTCTTAGTATTGCTATTTTCCTCTTACCTTTTTCTCTTCCCTCATATAGGAAAGTTTAATTTTATCCAAGATTTAGCTAAACTAGCAAAAATAAAAAACAAAAAACAAAAAACCCATATTACTGATATCTACCCTCAATAGAAGACAGAAAGAAAAAGAGGAATTATAGTTTCTGATACAAAGAAAAAATTTAAGTCCAGGTGCAGTGGCTCATGCCTGTAATCCCAACACTTTGGGAGGCCAAGGAAGGAGGATCACTTGAGCCCAGGAGTTCAAGACCAGCTGGGCAACATACGGAGACTCTGTCTCTACAAAAAATTTAAAAATTAGCCAGATGTGGTGGTATGCACCTGTAGTCCCAGCTACTCAGGAGGCTGAGGCAGAAGGATTGCTTTAGCCTGGGAGTTCAAGGCTGCAGTGAGCTATGATTGCACTACTGTACTCCAGCCTGGGCAACAGAGTGAGATCCTGTCAAAAAAAAAAGAAAAAGAAAAGAAAAGAAAAAGAAATTTTAATCACAAAAACTACTACATTCATTGGAGAAAAAGCAAAACACATATAAACAGAAAGAACATTTGAAAACAAATGATGCTGTCTCTCACCCAAAAATAAACATTATTAATATATTGGTATACCCCCTCCAGATTTTTTTCTCCATAGACAAACACCTATACCTAATTGTTAAAAAATGGGATCTTACTACATGCCATGTATAATCCACTTTTTTACTTAGCATATTCTAAACAACGTCCATGTCAAATACATTTATGCAATATTATTTTCCCAAACTTTCTCTTAAAACTTTTTCAAAACCAGGCATGGTGGCTCATGCCTATAATCCCAGCACTTTGAGAGGCTGAGGCTTGAGCCCAGGCATTCGAGGCTGCAGTGAGCTGTGATCATGCCACTGTACTCTAACCTGGGCAACAGAGAAAGACCCTGTCTCTAAGAAATGGGAAATAAAAAATAAAAACTTTTTCAAACTGAGAAAAAAAATTGACAGTTGCATCTAATGCCCTTCACATACAGTCAATGTTAGAAGAAGATTTACCCTGAACATCTCACTTTTCTGCATGGCTCAGGTCCTCTGATCGAAGGCAATTGCAAACAATTCAAGAATACTTATATAAGGAGACATCTCAGGATAGTAAAGCGTAGACATGTTTACCTCCCTGGAGATGGTCCAGGATAGTAAAGATAAAGAACTCTTCTTCCTCCCTTCCTGGACAAGACTTGCTTACATTCCAGAGTAAACTAAGGTTTCTCTCTCTCTGGAGAGGATGATGGGCAGGTCTCTGGCAGTTATATAGAAGATCAGAGTTTCCTAATTTTTACAGGGCTCCTGTCCTGTAATGCACCCCGCTGCATGTGCAGGTACCATCTCGCCCTCATGATGACCCTTGGAAACCAACATAGGATGTTGCTTGGGCTGCTGCTTTTGCTACAAATGATTAATTGTTTTTGTTTTTGACTCAGAAGCCTCATTTAAAAGTAAGTTTCTGCAAAACCATTTTTAATGGCTGAATATACTATTTTAAGCTTCCATCATAATTTAGTCAGTCTATACTGCTGGACATTTAGATTGTTTCCAACAGTTTGGAAATATTCTTATTGTAAATAGCATTGTGATGAATGAACTTTTATAACTAAATCTTTTTTCACATCCTAAATTCTTTCTTTAGGATAAATTCCAATGGCTGGGTGCAGTGGCGTGTGCCTGTAGTCCCAGTTATCGGAAGGCTGAGGTGAGAGAATCACTTGAGCCCAGGAGTTTGAAGCCAACTTGGGCAATAGAGCAATATCCTATCTCTAAAACAGATAAAAATAAAAAAGTTCCAAGAAGTGTAATTGTTGGGTCAAAGGACACGCATAATTTTAAAGTTTCAGTATATATTTATGTATTTCCAAGCTGTCTTCCAGAAAGTCTATCAATTTATACTTTCAATAGCAAAGTGTAAGAGCACAACTGTTCTTATACGCCTGCCAACAGGGTTACTGACATTTTGAGTAAGAAAAGAAAAAGAAGAAGACATCTATCTCATTGTTTTAATCAGTGTTTATTCATAAACGTGATTGAACTTCATTAGTGTGTTCATTAACTATTTGTAGGGAGACTATGGCCTGCAGCTGATCACAGCATCATCAAATACTAAGGCAACTATCACACAGCCTCTCACATGTGTCTCTTCTCTCCCCACATCTGCTGAGGGCTCAGTTCTTCCAAGTTCAGATTCTCAAAGAGATGAATCTGATATAGCCATTTCATATTAGGTTGTATCACCAGCCAGTCTAAGGCACCGCTAACTGGAAGTTTAGGGTGGAATTTAGAGTCTGATTCCTATCACCCATCCCTCTTTTCCTCCAGGGTTTTGCATGACAGAAAAACTAGATCACCAGCCAAACAAGAATCCAAATGTCAGCTGTCTTTTTTTTTTTTTGAGATGGGATCTTGCTCTGTTGCCTGCCCAGGTTGGAGTGCTGTGGTGCTATCACCATCCACTGCAACTTCAATCTCCCCAGCTCAAGCCATCCTCCTGCCTCAGCCTCTCAAGTAGCTGGGACTATAGACATGCACCACTACATCCAGCTAATATTTCTATGTTTTGTAGAGGCAAAGTCTTACTATGTTGCCCAGGCTGGCCTCAAACTTCTGAGCTCATGTGATCCTCCTGCCTTGGCCTCCCAAAGTGCTAGGATTACACCATGCCCGGCCCAAATGTCAGTTGTCTTCGTGGTTGGTCAGGCACCCAAAAACATACCCTTGAAGAGTTCTCTGATGCTGGCCAGTTTGGAGACAGCAGCAGGGTCACATCTCACCTTCCTGAATTGAAGATAGCTTCCTGGCCTGGCAGGACTGATCAGAATTCCACCCCAGTTCCCACTGCCAATCACAGGCAGAAAAACTAGAAAAGAGAAAGAGTGGTGCACTGCAAAGCAGAAGGAAGAGAAAGCCTGGCTGCCTTTCAGTTCAGTGACTGTGCAGAATCCCTTGTCTCCAAGTAAAAGCATGGCCCTGTGAATTTCACAGATCTTAACTGATCCTATTAATCTTTTCTCCTCGCTGTGAATAGGCAGAAGCCAGATATGTTTATTTCTAATATTCCTTGTGATAGGAGTTTTTCATTTTTGGCCTCCTAGTATCTAACACTTCCTATTTGGAAAAAAATCCAATAAAGAAGCTTAAGTATGGACAAATAGCCCCTTTTCCAGATCCCTTGTCTCTAGAATTTGGGCACAGGACCTTCCAATCAGACACTCCTACCTAAGACCTTGATTCTGGAGTAACAGAAAGAAGCAAATGGCACTTAGAATCTTTCCAGAGGTGGAAGAGGAAGCAATAAGGGTACTGTCCAACGTCTGATGGTGGTTGTGCCAATGACAGACGCAGTTGGATACTAACCAGATGCTTCCTGTGTATTGATTTGGTCTCTATTTCGGGCTGCCTAATTTCCCATGGCTCCTTTCCAAGTTCCAAGCCTCATTCTTCAGCTTTTCCATCAATTTTGTGAGCTATGTAATGTCCTTTCAATAAATTCATTTTCTCTCTAACTAACCGAGAGTTAGTCTCCATTATTTAGGAACCTCGAAATTTGGTTAGTACATATGTCTTTTTGTACCTTTTCTATGAAGACAAAAAGATAAGAAAGAGGGGTGCCCACCTCCAGTTCAGAAGTATCCACTATCCTGACTTTTGTGATAAACATTTCATGATTTTGCTTTATAGTCTTGGCATCTATGTATGTAGTCAGGGGAATGAGAATAATATGGTAGAAAATATGGCCCCTGTCTGTCAATCTCTTCCCTGAAAGAGATGGCAGTGACTCCAGTCTCTAACATTCTTATTATGTCCAGATTAACTATACGATAGCTTCCTAGATGACAATCCTGGTGCAAACCATCCTATTTCCTACTATCAGGATTCCTCTCTGCTTTTAATTTATTATAAATTTCTTATGCATATTTAACGTATAAGATGTATCTAACATATAAACTATATGTAAGTTATGAGCATAAAAATGAACACTCATGAATCCACACCTAACTTAAGAACATTACCAACAATGGTGAAGCTACCCGTGCACTTTTCCTGGATGTCATACCTCTGCCACTCCTTGTGCTGATCATTCCTTTGTTTAAAACAATTATGAAATATAACTGACATAAATATACACGTTGATGAAACATCATGAAAGGAAAACCTACAGAACCATACCAATGTGAGGAAATGAAACATTTCCTACTCCCAGAACCCCTCCTCATACCCTCTCCCAGTCCCTGCTCTTTGTCTCCTCTTGGTCATAAACTCCTCTCTCTTCATCAGAGGTATCCACTATCCTGACTTTTGTGATAATCATTTTCTTGGCTTTTCTATACAGTTTTACCACCTGTGTCTGTATCCCTAAACAACATCATTTCATTTGGCCTCATTTTGAACTTTAGATGAATGGATCATACTGTGTATATTCTTTTGTGCCTTACTTCTGTCATTCAATATTTTGTTTATGAGATTCATCCATGTTGTTGAGTAGAACTGCAATTTGTTCATTTGCATTGCTGTAATGTATCCCATCATAGGAATGTACCATGATGTATTTATTTATTTTACTGTGGATAGACGTTTTGTTGTATTCAGTGTGGGGTATGATGAACAATGCTGCTTTGAATATCCTGATGCATGTATCCTAGGAGATCTTTAAGATCATCGACCTGGCAGTAGAATAGCCATCACGGGATATATGTATCTTCAACTTTACTAGATAATGCCAAATTGTTTCCCAAACTGAACACACCAATTAATCAACAGCAGTCTGAAGAGTTCCTGCCGCATCACATCCTTGCCAACAATTGGTGTTATCAAACTGTTGAATTTTAGCCAATCTAGAGGATAGTTAATGGTATCTCACTGTTGTTATACTTGCATTTCCCTAATTAATAATGAGAGTGAGCATATTTGCATGTTTATTGACCATTTATATTTTCTTCTGTTCAAGTCTTTGCTCATTTTTTTTCAATGTGATTGTCTATTATTGATTTGAAAGAGTTTTCATATATCCTGGAGGCTATTCTTTATCAATTATACATGTGGCAAATATCTTGTACTCTGTACCTTGCTTTTTTGCTTATTTCATGCTATCTTTTGGCAAACAAAAGTTCTTTATTTTAATATAGTCAAATGTACGAATCTTCTCATTTATGGTTGGTGATATTGATAGTTTTAAAATTCTATACCTTTGAAGTAATATTCTTCTGCATTAATTTCTGTTTTTTAAAAAATTAGATATGGGAGTTTTCACTATGTTGCAAATGCCAACACCAGTTCTGTGAATCAGAAGCTAAACCTGGAACCATGGCAACATGAGGAAGCTGAAGCTCCAGGATCCTTGAAGCGCACACTAAAGTGGTCCGGATGCCATCTGGCTTTTAGCAGAGGTATATAAAAGTCCTTCTGAAGGAAAGCATCCCAAATGTAGGCCCTTGGAATTTCCATTGATTTAAATTCAATAAAATAAACTCACAATAAAAAATTACAGGGAGATTAAGCCACCATGAGTCAGTGAACAAAAACAACAACAAAAAAAAAATGATTTAGTCCCCCAGAAACTTCAAATATTGGAATTATCATATAGGGAAAATAAAATAAGCCTGTATAAAATATTCAAGAAAATAAAAGATGAAATAAAAAACATAATTTATGTCCACATAAAAACCTGCACATGAATGTTCATATGAACTTTATTCATAAGTGCCAAAATTTGGAAGCAACCAAGATGTCCTTCGATTGGTGAATAGGTTAAAAAAAAAAGAAGGTACATCCAGACAATGGGATATTATTCAGTGATTAAAAGAAGTGAGCTGTCAAGCCATGAAAAGACACAGACAAACCTTAAGTGCATGTTGCTAAGTGAAAAAAAAAAAAAAACAACAGAAAGGCAACATCCTGTATAATTCCAACTATATGACATTCTGGAAAAAGCAAGACTGTAGAGACAGTAAAAAAATCAATGGTTACTATGGGTGTGGGAGGAGGCTGGTTTGGGATGAATAGGTAAAGCACAGATTTTTAGGGCAGTGAAACTATTATGTACAATGTGCCATGACAGATACATGGTATTATATATTCATAAAAATTCATATAGGCAAGGAACAAGGGATTATTAAAAATGACCAGACAGATTTGAAAGGTTTATGTATTGTTTAGGAAGATGATAAAGTACTGATTAATATTAGACTTTAATGAGTTAATGATCCATGCTGTAATTTCTATGGTAACCAGTAAAAGAAGAGAAGCAAGATGTACAAATTCCAGTAAGTAGAGGGGGAAGAATAAGTGATATTTTAAAAATTATAAATGCAAAAAAGGAGTGATACGGTTTAGCTGTGTGTCTCCAACCAAATCTCATCTCAAATTGTAATCATCACGTGTTGAGGGAGGGACTGGTGGGAGGTGATTGGATCATGGGGATGGTTTCCCTCATGCTGTTCTAGTGATAGTGAGTTCTCACGAGGTCTGATGTTTATAAGTGTTTGGCAGTTCCTTCTTTGCTCTCTCTCTCTCTCTCCTGCTGCCTTGTGGAGAAGGTGCTTGCTTCTCCTTTGCTGTCCACCATTGTATTAGTCCCTTCTCACACTGCTATGAAGAAATATCTGAGACTAGGTAATTTATAAAGGAAAGAGGTTTAGTTGACACAGTTCTGCATGGCTGGGGAGGCCTCAGGAAACTTACAATCATGGTGGAAAGGGAAGCCAACATATCCTTCTTCACATGGCAGCAGGGGAAGTGCCAGATGCTTATAAAACCATCAGAGCTTGTGAGTCTCACTCACTATCCCAAGAACAGCATAGAGGTAACCGCATCCACGATTCAATTACCTCCCACTGGGTCCCTCCTACAACACATGGGGATTATGGGAACTAAAATTCAAGATGAGATGTGGGTGGAAACACAGCGTAATTGTATCAACCATGATTGTAAATTTCCTGAGGCCTCCCAAGCTATGCAGAACTGTGAGTCAATTAAACATCTTTTCTTTATAAATTACCCAGTCTCAGGTAGTTCTTTATCGAAGTGTGAAAATGGACTAATACAGAAGATTGGTACTGGGAGTGGGGCACTGCTATAAAGATACCTCAATATGTTGAAGCAAGTGTGGAACTGGGTAACAGCAGAGGTCAGAACAGTTTGGAGGGCTCAGAAGAAGACATGGGGAAGATGTGGGAAAGTTGGGAACTTCCTAGAGAATTGTTGAATGATTTTGACCAAAATGCTGATAGTGATATGGACAATGAAGTCCAGGCTGAGATGGTCTTAGATGGAGACGAAGAACTTATTGGGAACTGGAGCAAAGGTCACTCTTGCTATGCTTTAGCAAAGAGACTGACAGCATTTTGCCCCTGCCTTAGAGATCTGTGGAACTTTAAACTTGAGACAGATGATTTAGGGTATCTGGTAGAATAAACTTCGAAGCACCAAAGCATTCAAGATGTCACATGGCTTTTTCTGAAAGCAAACGGTCACATGCGTTCACAAGGAGATGATCTGAAATTGGAACTTATGTTTAAAAGGGAAGCAGAGCATAAAAGTTTGGAAAATTTGCAGCCTGACCATGCAGTAGAAAACAAAGACCCATTTTCCAGGGAGATATTCAAGCAGGCTGCAGGAATTTGCACAAGTAACAAGGAGCTGAATGTTAATAGCTGAGACAATGGGGAAAAATGTCTCCAGGGAATTTCAGAGATCTTCAGGACAGCCCCTCCCATCACAGACCTAGAGGCCTAGGAGGGAAAAATAGTTTCCTGGGCTAGGCAGGCCCAGGGCTCTACTGCTGTGTGCAGCCTCAAGACATGGTGCCCTGTGTCCCAGCCACTCCACCTCATGGCTAAAAGGGGCCAAGGTACAGCTTGGGCCATTGCTTCAGAGGGTACAAGCCCCAAGCCCTGGCAGCTTTTATGTGGTGTTGGGCCTGCAAGTGTGCAGAAGCCAAGAGTTGAGGTTTAGAAACCTATGCCTAGATTTCAGAGGATGTATGGAAATGACTGGATGTCCAGTCAGAAGTCTGCTGCATGGGCGGAGCCCTCATGGAGAACCCCTACTAGTGCAGTGCAAAAGGGAAATGTGGGGTTGGAGCATCCACACAGAGTCCCCACTGGGGCAATACCTAGTGGATCTGAGAATAGGGCCACTGTCCTCCAGACCCCAGAATGGTAGATCCACCAACAGCTTGCACCCTGGACCTGGAAAAGCTTCAGGCACTCAACTCCAGCCCATGAAAGCAGCCTTTGGGACTGTACCCTGCAGAGCCACATGGCAAGAGCTGCCCAAAGCCTTAGGAGCTCACCTCTTCAATCAGCATGCACTGGATGTGAGACATGGAGTCAAAGGAGAGTATTTAAGAGGTTTAATATTTAATGACTGCCCAACCAGGTTTCAGACTTGCATGGGGCCTGTGGCCCCTTTGTTTTGGCCAATTTCTCCCATGTGGAATGAGAACATTTACCCAATGCCTGTACCCCCATTGTATCTTGGAAGTAACTAACTTGTTTTTGATTTTACAGGCTTGTAGGTGAAAGAGACTTGCCTTGTCTCAGATCAGACTTTGAACTTGGACTTTTGAGTTAATGCTGAAATGAGTTAAGACTTTGGGGTACTGTTGGGAAGGTATGATTGGAATAGCATGTGCAAATTCCCTGAGGCAAAAAAGGAGTACTGCTCGATGGAAGACCTAAGATGAGGCCAGTATGACTAGGAGGGGCATGGTGAGACTGAGGAGGCAGGTAGGGTCTAGTCTATGCAGATTTTTGTATACCATATTAAATATTTTATGCTTTATCCTAAGTGTCATCAAAAGCCATTTAAATATCTTCAGGGGTGGGGCAGAGGAAGGTAGTAGACACGAACAAGGTTGTATGTGGAAAAGATCACTTTGGCTGTACTGTAGAGCAGGGGTCCCCAACCTCTGGGCCACAGACTGGTACAGGTCCATGGCCTGTTAGGAACCCAGCCACACAGCAGGAGGTGAGCAGCAGGCAAGTGAGCATTACCACCTGATCTCCACCTCCTGCCAGACCAACAGCGGCATTAGATTCTCATAGGAACACGAGCCCTATCATGAACCATGCAGGCGAGGGATCTAGGTTGCAGGCTCCATCTAATGCCTGCTGATCTGAAGTGAAACAGTTTCATCCTGAAACCATTCCCTCCCCAGTCCATGGAAAAATTGTCTTCCATGAAACCAGTCCCTGGTGCCAAAAAGGTTGGAGATTGCTGCTATAAACAACAGACTGGAGTTGGGCCTAAGTGACTGCAAGAAGATACATTGAGTTTTAAACTGATTTCCAACTGAACAGAACTTTATGCATTCCTGCCTCCTCCTACTTTCCCATTAAGTAGATTATATTGAAAAAAAAATCAGTCAAATGAATGAAAGAAGCTTTTAGATGAATGATTATTTGGTTTTGTAAAATGGTTCACTTCTTTATTTCTTTTGCAAAGAAATTTTTTTGCCCTCTGATCACAGTGTGCAATTTGGGCTCACCAACTTGCTCTTTGAAAAATTCAGGAAGGTCGGGTGTGGTGGTTCATGCCTATAATCCCAGCATTTTGGGAGGCCGAGGCAGGTGGATCACCTGAGGTCACGAGTTCGAAACCAGCCTGGCCAACATGGCAAAATCCCGTCTCTACTAAACATACAAAAATTAGCTGGGCGTGGGGGCAGGCACCTGTAATCCCAGCTACTTGGAAGGCTGAGGCAGGAGAATTGCTTGAACCTGGGAGGCGGAGGTTGCAGTGAGCCAAGAGTGTGCCATTGCACTCCAGTCTGGGGGACAAGAGCAAGACTTCGTCTCCAAAAAAAAAAAATTTCAGGAAAACAAGGCAACAGAATCTCTGAACAATCTGCCATGGCGGGAAAGGATGGGACCCTGACAATTGTCAACTTATGCCTCTCACTTCATCTCTTGAGGTCTTGAAACTTCTTTTGCAAAAATTGTAACAGTGAGAAAATTATGACTGAGAGAGATCTGATCTAACCAGCCCCCACCTTGACTCTGTAAATCAAAGAACACGATCAAGGCAAGTCTCAATCATTTTAGGAGGTTTATTTGCCATAGTAAAGGATGCATGCCAGGGAGGCAGGTATATGCCTATCTCCAAAGATGATTTTGAGGGCTTCAGTACTTAAAGGGGAAAGGGTGGATACTGGGGGAAGAGAAATTTTTTTTTTTTTTTGAGACAGAGTCTCGCTCTGTCACCAGGCTGGAGTGCAGCGGCGCAATCTCGGCTCACTGCAACCTCCAACTCCAAGCGATTCTCTTGCCTCAGTCTCCCAAGTAGCTGGGACTACAGGCGCGCACCACCACACCCAGCTAATTTTTGTATTTTTAGTAAAGATGGGGTTTCACCATACTGGCCAGGCTGGTCTCAAACTCCTGACCTCCTGATCTGCCTGCCTGGCCTCCCAAAGTGCTGGGATTACAGGCGTGAGCCACCACGCCCAGCCAAGAAATATTTTTAAATTGTGTCAGTAGATAAAAAGATAAAACAGTTGCATCCTTTTGAATACACAATTTTCATGTGAGTGGGGAGTGGAGGAAATATTCATGCCTTAGTCTGGCTCAGTTAATCTGTATTTTTACATAAGATAACGTAGACAATAGGGCAGAGGAAGCAATCAGATATGCATTTGTCTCAGGTGAGGAGAGGGAAGACTTTGAATTCTGTCCTATGTCCCATACCTGTGAAGATATCAACTTACATTGCCAGGTTGAAATTCAACAGAACTGTTTTAGAGTAAAGATCTTTGGGCCTAAAAGGAATTTCCTTGTGGGTAAAATGTGAGGGAAGTATATAGCTTTTATCTTTGTAGCTATCTTATTTAGGAACCAAATGGGAGGCAGGTTTGTGTGACCCAGTTCCCAGCTTGACTTTTCCCTTTGGCTCAGTGAATCTGGGGTTTTCCTTTCTCATCTTTAACCTCCAAAACTGCCCTTGGTCATTCCTGGGCTTGCACCAAGCTAACTTTGGGAGAAACTTAGTTTACAGTTTAAGCGATAATAGCCCCTCCCCAAAACTAAACCACTTTTGTAAAACTAATGAAAAGCCACCAGGTTAGAAGGATAAGAGGAGCTTGAATTCTGCTAAGACATAGGCTTTGTTAAGTTAAATGATTACCAGCCACTATTCCAGAGGTCACTAGATTTGCAGCTTCCCCAGTTCACTACTGTAGAACCTAAGATTGGCCTTTTGAGATAAACTTTCAGGCTTCTGCATTTCGGATGGCTGACGACCCCACTGAGACCTTTGACTCTTGGCTCAACCAGTCCTGTGGCCTCCACCCAGAAGCAGGCTCAGTGCAGGGGGACCATTTTCCACACCCCTATAATTGCATTCCCAACCAATCAGCAGCACCCATTCCTCCAGCCTCCTGCCTGCCAAACTGTGTGTGTGTTGGGGGGGGGGTGGGTGTTTTGTTTTGTTTTGTTTTGACTATAGCTCTCAGATCTTAGCCAAACTATTCTTGAAAAACCCTACCCTCTGAATTTTGGGGGAGATTTGGAGTAATAACTCCATCTCCAAGACCTATCTCATGTCAATTAAATTCTTTATTGCAATGCCATGGTCTCTATGAATTGATTTTGTCTGTGCAGTGGGAAGGAAGAACGTATTGGGTGATTACAGTGTCATGGATTTAAATACCACCACCACCCTCAGAACTCTGAGAAAAGATAATACCTCAAACAGCTCTGAGCTGTCTGAGCTATGTGAAGTATGCAAAAATTTATCAGGCCCAGAGACAAGAGTTTGCCTGGGGGCAACTGTTTAGACATTTTGTTCCTGACTAGCAGCCTCACCCATTATCTTCATGTTCCTGGAATCTGTGATACAAAGAATAGTTTATAGCCAATCAATAGCTAATGTAATTTTAATGTAAATTCTTAGTAAACAACTTAGAAGCTGCCTCTTTTTCCTTTAAAAACCCACTCATAACCGCTGCTAATCAGAGTGTATATTTAGGGTAACTTGAATCTATGCTCCCAGGTAGCCATCTTCAACCTTTATGCTTGAATAAACTTCCTTTAAACTAGATTCTTACCTTTTTTATTATTTTAGGTTGACAACTCTCAAATTTATATCTCTAGCCCATTGGACTTCCTTCCCGAACCTCAGGGTCTAAATTTAATTGTCTATCCAGCCTCTCCACTTGGATGTTTAATAAGGATTTCAAATTCAACATATAAAAAACAAAATTCCCGACTTCCGCCTTAAAAATGGTTTCTTACAAGTTGCTCAAAACGCCTTTGACCTCACACTCCAAAACTAACATATCCACAAATCTTATAATTCTACTTCTAAAATACGCACAGAATTCATTGTTGTTTTCATCACCTCGATTTCCACCACTCTGGCCCACACCACTATCACCATGGCTGGATTATTGTAATAACTTCCTGATACCACTTTTCACCAACTAATACGAGCATTTTCGTCTGGTTCCCTCAGGGGTCCTTAAGCCCCAGGCTGCGGATAGAACCAATCCCTGGCCTGTTAGGAACCAGGAGGCACAGCAGGAGGTGAGCAGCAAGCAAGGGAGCATTACCTCCTGAGCTCCGCCTCCCTCAGATCAGCGGTGGCATCAGATTCTCATAGGAGCGGGGAACCTATTGTGAACTGCGCATTGGAGGGATCTAAGTTGTGTGCTCCTTATGAGAATCTAATGATAAATGTAATGCCTTTGAATCATCCTGAAACCATCATCCACCCCCCCACCACGAAACCGGTCCCTGTTGACCAAAAGGTTGGGGGCCGCTGCTCTATATAATCCCTGGGAGACTGACGACTTTGTCTCTTTCACTTAGTGCCATGAACTCCAGGGCAACTTTGTGGACGCTCCATAAACACTTGCTGGAATGAACCCATAAATATTTTATACTACCACATATACAGTAATACATTTAAGGAGCTGCTTGGGTGTGTAAAAAATTGCAGGGGACGTTTACAAATAAAGAACCTCCTGAAACAAAGCAATGAATGGAAAGTGGGATCAGCTGGTTGAAGCAATGCCCACAAGCTGCTCCAGCTTCCCAAAGCAGAGAGGTTTTCCACCTAAGCCAACATCCTTTTATTTTTAGTCACTATAGCTATAAATCTACTCCCTTACCCCGCACCTCACTCTCAGCCGACAGCCCAATGGGCTTATCCTCCTCTCGCCCTCACGATGAGCGAGTCCACGCGGTCTCAGGCTGGAAGATGCACTTGAACACCAGCCAAGCACTCACGGACGACACTGGATTCTAGGCCGCCTGGGCTTCTCCACTGTACTAGGAATGTAAAATCAAAAGTCAGAAAGAAAACTTCGGAGGTGGAATCTCCAACCCGGCAACGGGTTAGGAAGCAAAGCGCACCTACCAAAGGGCTGGTCCCTGCAGCCTCAAGGGCTGATGGGAAGTGAATCCACCGTCAACCGCCCTGATCCAAAATGGCAGGATACCGGAGCAATAGTGTTCAGGTGTGAAGATAGGGCAATTGAAGAAGGGAGAACGAAAGCATAATTGTTTTGATTCAACATGGAAGCAGTGATTATAGGAGGGCGAATAGCGAGGGACGACGCAACATCCAGCTGGCAGAAGCAGCGGGCCTGGAGAGGGTGGCTACATTGAACTAATCCAAGATGGCGCCGAGGTTGTAACCGGGAGCGCCCAAGAGGCGGGAATTACCCTGATCCAAGATGGCAGTGGCAACTGAGGCAAGCCGAAAGACGGGAGCGCCAGGAGCGTCTTTGCCCTCAGCCAAGATGGCGGCTGCCGTGGACCCTGTCCCGGCTCCGCCCCGCGGCCCTGGCCCCGCCTGCCCCTCGTCCCTTCCTCCGCCCCCTCTCCTCGCGTAGTCCGGCCCGAGCCGCTCGCGCTAGGAGAGCGGGCTTCGGGCACTTGACATGGCGGCAGTGGCGGCGACTGCAGCAGCGAAGGGGAATGGGGGCGGCGGTGGCAGGGCCGGGGCCGGGGACGCCAGCGGCACGCGGAAGAAGAAGGGCCCGGGGCCCCTGGCCACGGCGTACCTGGTCATCTACAATGTGGTGATGACAGCCGGGTGAGGCTGGGGCTCGGGGAGGCGGGGAGCCAGCGCGGCCGGGGAGGGAGCCCTGCGGCCAGCGGCGGGGCGGATAGGATCGGCGCGGCCCGCCGCAGGCAGTGCATTCCCGGCGGGGGGTGCCCGGGACCCGGTACCTGGGCGCTGAGGGCGGCCGAGCGCTGAATCGGCCCCGGTGGCTGCCCGCGAGCTCCCTCCTGCGCTGGGGGTCGAGCCAAGTTCCCAGGCACTGGGGCGCGGGGACGGCTGCCGGGCGCTGGCTCGCGAGGGCCGCGGGAGGAAAGGTGGGGCTGGCCACAGGTGCGGGGCCGGGGGCAGCGGCCGGACTACCTGCGGCGCGGAGCCCGTCCTGGGCGGCCAGATTCGGATGTTGAACGGCGCCAGCATGGGGAGTGGAGGAGCTGTGGCTGCAGAGTGACCATTCATTTGGGCGGCTGTTTTCAAAATCTGGGCTGCGCTTTAATCTGAAAGGTATTGGGAAAGCGTTCAAAGTTTTTGGCCAGCGACATGAGCAGAGCTAGGCTTTAGATGAGTTTAGACTTTTAGGATGGGTTGGGGTGGGGAAGAAACTGGGGAGTAGAAGGCAGAGTTACTGGAAAGGGGGAGAATGGACCCTCGAAACGGTTTTACCCATCTTCTGTCTCTTTCATTTCAGTGCATCCCTTATCCCGGCGGGTTTTTAGTTCAAGCTCTGCCACTAACTAGCTGTGTGACTTTGGATAAATCATCTTATTTCTCTAGCCTCCGTTTTTTCATTTGTAAAACTAAAGGGTTGGTCTGGGTGATGAAGGTTCCTTCAGCTCTGCAATTCTTTATCTTGTCATTTTGGTGAGGAGGATCACAGCATCAGACAGTTATATATTTTTAAGTTATCTTCATTTGTAATTTTTTAAGAAGTCCTAACATTTTATTATGAAAAATTTCAAACATACAGAAGAGTTGAAAGAATTGTATAGTGAACATCCATTTTTATTTAAAGTAGGTGATACATTGTTAGGGTTAAAAATGAAAAACATGAGGGAATACAGTGAAAATCTTTCCTCCCACCTTTCCCTTCTACCCAGCTCCCCTCCCTCGAGGCAGTTAATTTTGTGTATCCTTAAGATGCTGATGCAAGCAAATATGTTTATACATCCCCCTATCCCTTTTTAAAATAAGACAAATGCCAATATATTAATATTTTTACAGTTCAGCACCTTGCTTTTTTTTCACGAAGAAGAAAATATATCGTGGGAGGATCATATATGTATTGCTAGTATTAGAAATGGTAGGTGTTGGAACCTAGGCTCAGAGAAGTTGTGACTTGCATGAGATCATAGAACTTGTTAGTAGAAGTTCCAGATCTAGAAATCATTTCTCTTGACTCACAGGTCAATGAAGAACTAGTACAGATACAAGCTTTATATCACATCAGTGGTCACATAGATTGATTTTTAAAAAAACATCCAGGAATCTCACTGTGTGTATTAATATTTATATATAAAATTCTTGTTGTCTTAGCAAGAGCCGGTGAGGGCATTGGACTGGAGAGGGATTTTGAGGTACATTGGTAAGAAGAAAGAAGTCTATTCCTGAGCAATGAACATAGAGAATGGGGTGGAGGGTAAGGAGTGGTATCTTAAACCAGGAAGATAAATTGGGATTGTGAGAGCAAAGTAAGCTTTTTTTTTAAGGCTGTTAATGGTTGTACCAGTTACACCATTAAATAATTTCTTCTTTTACAAACTCTTACTTGATGTCCTTATGTGATAGTTTTTGGAAATAGCATAGACCACACACACCCCATTGCCTAGTTGATACTATACATTTATCTAAATCCTTCCAGGAGACATACCTTAATAAAAAGGTCCATTTGTTTTATTATGGAACTTAACAAAACATTGTGTTTATTTTTGAGAAGGACAGTGGAACAAAAATATAACATTCACAGCTGTATGCTTAAGTGCTTTCCTGTTTCGTGGTTTGTATTGATCTGGCTTTCATTTCTGCATTGATTTTAGGAAATTTGGCTAAAAAACTTTTTTTTTTTAGCAAGAGCCCTTTATTCGTAATTTTAAAAGGATAGATTTTAAGGTATGGGTAATTGTTCCAGTGAGACAATTATAACAATAGTTTAAAGCATCTTCTTTCCACCCTGTAATTATTAAAAACCCTTTAACTGCACAGGCTGTTTAAAATTTTCCTTTAACTGTTTTTTTCTCGTCTTAGATTTTCTTGGCACCTGATTTAGTGGCACAAGGACCATTTTAGCTTATTCCTTTCCTTTTGGCCTTGATCTCAATAGCAAAGTTGCCAAAAAAATGAGCTCCAGATGGGTGAGGTGCCACTATGCTTTCACTGAGCCCTCTTGGTAAGGTGCTGTCGGTGTTGCAACATTTCAGTGCATTACAGCTTGGCATTTGAGAGCTATCGTCCATAAATCCAGGTTACTCATGCTTGAGGTCACCTTTAGCAATATCTTTTATTGCCACAGCTGTGTGTTAACCTAAATGCTACTTTTTTTATTTTTATTTTTTCCTGATTGCTGTTTTCTCTTTTACTAGGTGGCTGGTTATAGCGGTTGGTCTGGTCCGAGCATACCTGGCTAAGGGTAGCTACCATAGCCTTTATTATTCAATTGAAAAGCCTTTGAAATTCTTTCAAACTGGAGCCTTATTGGAGGTAGGTCCTGAGATTTATTGTTGTTATTGATTTCCATTGGTATGAAGAAAAACATGCAACTAAATTATATTGAAGTAGCATACCCCCTTTGGATTCATGTTAAATTTTGAAATTTTGCCTCCTCACATACTAAAGTGTTGATACCTAGGCTTTTTGATGTTCTAGATTGGGTAGAATCTCATTTAACTTAGGTTACCTTGAATGTATTTTATATTCGACTTTTTTGGGAAATCAACTGAAGCAAGCTTATATTAGGATTTTTAAAAATTCTAGGGACATCCTGGGGAAGCACTGGCAAAATCAGATGCTTTCAGGGTTTATGTAATAGAAATAGTGAAGTTGGTGGGTGTAGGATATTGGAAGTGATAGATAGAAGACATAATAGAGAGCCTGTCTAGAGGCGTCCAAATTTTAAAAATTTAACAAAAATGTATTGATTTCCCTGCATTAAGGGCAATGTATATCCAGCCCTCTCTCTTGGGGTAAGTATAGATTAGGATTTTGGAATTGCAAGGGACAAAAACCCAATTCAAACTATTTTAAGCAAAAAAGGAATTTTCTGGCCTCTGTAGTTGATACAGATACAGGATTAATTTACAAAGAAACTAGCTCAGGAATGAGAACCAAGGAGCTGACACTGCCAGATTCTCTTGCTTTCTCTCATTTCTGCTTGTCTGTTTCTCTTTGAATGTTGGTCTTGGGCTCTCCACATGGTGGGAAACAGGGAGGGTGTTTATTTTTCGCAGCATCTGTGTCACACAGTTCCCAGAGAGGATTCTGGTTGGCCCTACTTAGACTATGCCAGTGATGTGAGGTGCTTGATTAGCCAATCTTAGGACACATGCCCATTCTTCTGTCCAAGGGACTATAGACTTTGCTTATGGAAAAGAGGGATGGGGATAGCTTTGGGCACACAAAATCAATAGCCGCCATAGTTCGTATATTTCATTATGGTGAAAAACCTTCAGATTGCAGGGAAGATCTGGTTCATTTTGCTTAGCCTCCAGGCAAGACCATCATAACATTTATACTTTACTGGCAACTTTTAAAACCTGAACTATGGAATGATACTTAAGAAAAAATCATTTATCTCGCTGGGCACGGTGGCTCACGCCTGTAATCCCAGCACTCTGGGAGGCCGAGGCGGGTGGATCACGAGGTCAGGAGATTGAGACCGTCCTGGCTAACACAGTGAAACCCCGTCTCTACTAAAAATACAAAAATTAGCCGGGTGTGGTGGCACGGGCGTGTGGTCCCAGCTACTGGGAGGCAAGGTTGCAGTGAGCTGAGATCACGCCACTGTACTCCAGCCTGGGCAACAGAACGAGACTCTGTCTCAAAAAAAAAAAAAAAAAAAATTCTTTATCTCATGAAATGAAGTGTGATACCTCTACCTTTCATTCTCAATTTTTTTTTTTTTCTTGAGACAGGGTCTTGTTCTGTCGCCCAGGCTGGAGTGCAGTGGTGCCATCATGGCCGTGGCTCACTGCAGCCTTGAACTCCTGGGACCAAGCAGTCCTCCCACCTCAGCTTGCAGAGTAGCTGGGCCCACAGGCTTGCACCACCATACATGGATAATTTTTAAAACTTCATAGAGACAGGGTCTCCCTGTGTTGCCCAGGCTGGTCTCAAACTCCTTGGCTCAAGCAATCTTCCCATCTCAGCCTCCCAAAGCACTGAGATTACAGGCGTGAACCACTGCACCCAGCCCACTCTCACTTTATTTATTTATTTTTTTGAGAGAGGGTCACTCTGTCACCCAGGCTGAAGTGCAGTGGTGTGATCACTGCTCACTGCAGCCTTGACTTCCCAGGCCCCAGCCATCCTCCCACCTCATCCTCCCAAGTAGCTGGGACCACAGGCGTGCACTACCGTGCCTGGCTCATTTTTATATTTTTGGTAGAGGTGAGGTTTGGCTGTGTTTCCCAGGCTGGATTCACTCTCACGTTCTAGATCAGAAAGTTATCCATTTTGCTTTTGTTTTTTTCTCTTAGAAGGCAGAGGAATTTCTTTTTTTCTTTCTTTCTTTTTTCTTTTTTTTTTTTGACACAGGGCCTTACTCTGTTGCCCAGGCAGGAGTGCAGTGGTGGGATCTCGGCTCACTGCAACACAGAGGAATTTCAATAGTGTCCAAACTTAGGCATTTTAAGTAGGTGGTATGATGAAATGAGCTTCCAGCTGGAAGCCTGAGTACCTTTTTATTTTAAGTATAATAGTTTTCCCAACTGACTCTATAGATTTGGGCAAGTCTTTTCTCTCGTATCCACCTCCTTTTCATTTGTAAATAATTAGGTTAAAGTAGATTTCTAAAGTCCCTTACTACCCTAAATTTGAGTGTGAGGAAATTTTAACAAATCCTAATGTGAACCATTTTTTAAACTTAGAGGCTTGAACTTTTTTTGGAAGCGGACACTAGTAAATAAGTAGTACTTTCTCTTTCAGAACCTTGGCCAGTACAGTTCCCACAAGCTACAGAGAAGCAAATTTGGAGTCAAGACCATCAGACTTCCAGTACTTGATATAGTAGGGGGTTGTCCCCATTTGGAATACTTCAATAATTTAAAGGGGTTTCTATCTCTTTAAGACATCATAATATTAGAGCTGAGCACAGTGGCTCATGCTTATAGTCCCAGCAATCCCAGAGCTTTGGGAGGCCAAGGCAGGAGGATCACTTGAGGGCAAGAGTTCGAGACCAGCTTGAGCAACATAGCAAGACCTCATCTCTACAAAAAAAAAATTTTTTTTTTTTTAGCTGGGCTGGGTGGTGGGTACCTGTAGTCCCAGCTACTTGGGAGGCTGAAATGGGAGGCTTGAGCTTGAACCCAGGAGTTTGAGGCTGCAGCGAACTATGATTGCATCACTGCAATCCAGCCTGGATGACAGAGTGAGACCTTGTCTCAAAAAAAAAAAAACTTGGTAATGTTAGAAGTATAATTTTTAAAATTTAAGTATATCTTATGGAAGGTAGGGACATTAAACAGTGTCATACTTTAAAATCCACTCAGGAACCAAGTCTTAGACTTTGAAGGATTAGCCTGTTTATCCTTATAGAATTTTTAATAGGGATTTAGGAAAATATCTTGGATTTTTGGTTTTATCTCTGTTATCCCCACTAAGAACCAATTAAGTGACAAATCCTGGATTTGATTTTGGGAAAATGTCTGTGCATAAGGAAGTGAAGACTCCCAGGAACATGCAGGCAATTAACGTTGCAAAGGTCAGTGATGGAAGTAATCCCTTGGACTGGGCGATAGAGCAGGCTTGCTAAAACCACAATTTCTGTGGTTGAGGAGTTTTTCATTGCCTACCCCATCTACACTGTGTAATAATTAGATGTGTGTGGTATTGTTTAATTACACATAAGTTATCCTGATGGGAATTATTAGTGTTGACATATATCCTGTTTACAGGAGGAGAAAATGAATCCAGGGAAGGCAGCTACTCATTTATATCTCTTTATGCTAAATGTTATTCTTTATTAGGTTCTGTGGGAGTTTACTTAAAAAGGAAATCGAAATTACTTGTTCTCCAATTTCACATCTTCTTAAGAAAATAATAACACTTTGCTTTTTAAAAGACATAAAAACATTTACCAAGCAAGTACAAAGGAGCATGTAGTAGCAAGGTACAAAAGGAAGCCTGGCTGAGTACCATGGCTCACACCTGTAATCCCAGCACTTTAGGAGGCTGACATGGGGGGATTGCTTGAGGCCAGAAATTCAAGACCATCCTGGGAAACATAGCGAGACCCCATCTCTACAAAAAATTAAAAAATTGGCCAGGCATGGTAGCACATGCCTGTAGTCCCAGCTAATCAGGAGACTGAGGTGGGAGGATCACTTGTGCCCAGGAGTTCAAGGCTACAGTGAGCCATGATCGTGCCACTGCACTCCAGCCTGGGTGACAGAGCAAGACCCCATTTCCAAAAAAAAAAGTATCTATAAATAAAATGCTACTCATGGATAAAATGTGGTCTATGGATATAAACATTCATAAAATTAATAAAGGCAAATGAATTACTGATATATGCCTGGATAAATCTTGAAAAAATGCATGTGAAAGGAGGCAGATACAAAAAGTCACAAATAGTATGATTTCATTTATAAGAAATATCCAGAATAGGCAAATCCATAGTGACAGAAAGTAGAGGAATTGTTAGGGGCTGTGGGGAGAGAGAGTGGGGTGTGACTGCTAATGGTACAGGATTTCCTTTTAAGGTGATGATATTGTTCTTGAAATAGTGGTGGTGGGTGCACAACTCTGTGAACATATTAAAAACCACTAGATTGTACAGTTTAAAATTGTGAATTTTGTGGCATGTGAATTATATGTCAGTTTTTAAAAAACGAGTTCCTCTGTAATGAGTTGTGGGTGTTTTCTACTTTATTCATTTTTGGAGTCCATGATATTCATTGATGAGGCAGATGTTATCTTTGCATATTTGTCAAGTATAGTTAGATTAAAAATTAGTGGACTAATGCAGTTATGGCAGTTTAAAATTATGTTTGAGAGAATTTGGGTTTCTAAATATCTTTGGTTAACATAAGACTGTAATTATAGCAAAGACACTTTCTTTTTTTTTTTTTTTTTTGAGACAGAGTCTCACTCCATCGCCCAGGCTGGAGTGCAGTGGCGCGATCTCGGCTCACTGCAAGCTCCGCCTCCCGGGTTCACGCCATTCTCCTGCCTCAGCTTCCCGAGTAGCTGGGACTACAGGCGCCCGCCACCACACCCGGCTAATTTTTTGTATTTTTAGTAGAGACGGGGTTTCACCATGTTAGCCAGGATGGTCTCGATCTCCTGACCTCATGATCCGCCAGCCTCGGCCTCCCAAATTGCTGGGATTACAAGTGTGAGCCACTGCGCCCGGCCAAAGACACTTTCAAATACTCATGATTGGATATGCCTCTGTGATTGACAGTGAGATTTCAAATGGGTTAAAGATTGCTCTGCAAAGAGGTTAACTGTTGAGATTGATACAGGCTATCTTCAACATATGTACATTGCTGTATATGACATTTACCTACCATTGTGCATCTGGGACTTCCTGATGGACCACAGGAATTCCCTTTTCTTCCCATTCTCTTCCAGATCTTTCTTCTACTTGAAACCCCTTATCTACAAAAATGAATAAACAACCCAATCTCATTTCTGATCGTGTCCTGGAATTGATCTAGGGCAAGGTCTGGAGAAGTGGTGGGAGACAGCAGACAGCTTTTGTTAGTCTTCTAACCCCAGCACTTTCTCAGCCTCATCTGTGTGTTCCTGTCTCACTCTGCAGACCTCACTTCACAATGCTCTTCAGATCCTTTAATGAATAGGAAATTGATTTTGGGTATTTCTATAAAATACAGCAAAGTCTTAGAAACTTGCAGTGTCCTTAAGAAGAAAGATCCCTTCTTATCTCCCTGCCAGTTTTTCTTTCTTTATGGCTCAAACACTAACTGATTTTTGCCATGGAGGTATTGTGCTTCAGACTGCTTTTGTGAACTGGTTTGAGGACATAACCGTTGTCTGTTATATTTTTCCTTCTTGTGGAAACATTCTGATTTCCCAGTAATAGTCTCAAAAAGGAACTTCTGAAATGCAAGCTACATGCATGTGTTAGGCTCCTTTTATTCTGGACCCATTTTGAGGAAACACATCTCTAAAAGAGGCTTTTGAAAAGCTAGCAAGAGCAAGTTATAGTGTAGATATCTAACACAAATAGGAATGACAACAAATCCCAGAAAAACCAGCTTCTCAAACAGTGTGAAAACCAGAGGAAAACTCTAACTTGATTAAAATTAATAAGTGTCACAACATTAGAAGGGAAGAGAGAGCTGGAAGGAAACAGGAACCCACCCACACAGGCCTCACTGCTTGGTGACTCAAGCAAATAGAAGCAAATTGATGTGGTATTCAAAGAGGTACAATAGCTAACATCTGTAGAAGGGAATGTACTGAAATTAAAAAAAAAAAAGAACTAAAAATATCAATGGTGGCAATATAGGGCACGAAGGAGCCACAGTGCAAGAAATAGGTGATACTGAAGATTCAAAAAAGGCGGGAGTTTCCACTCACGTTCTCATATAAAATGAATTGCAGAACAGAAGTCATAGGGAAATTTTCAAAGTTCACCATGTAAAAGAAACATTACAAAACATTATAACAGAAAAACAATATATATAGAACCAATGTATCTAGAAAACCTGATGAGGTTGTATAAGCTTTCAAAAAGTAAGACTACCAGAGGAAGTAGAAAAGGTTGGAATATACAGCTTATAAATAATCAGGGAGAAAAGTTATAGAAAACTTTGCTGAACTGAAAGGCCACCTCACTATGGTTAGTGAGAGTTTATGGTGTTCCACAACAAAAAAATTTCTTCCCTTCCTGAGTACTTAAACAATTTCCAGCATAAAAGAGCAGATTTTAAAATGTAATAGTTAAAAACAACTTGGGACCTTAAACTTGAAAGAAGAAAAAATCCCCGTGTAGTAGGAAATATTAGGTTCCTGGATAACAGACCATGCAGTTTCCTAAAGCTGGAAACATTTTGAAAACACTTAGAAAAGCTAATGGAACTTTGAAAGCACCTTACCAAAGATTATTTAACTTTAATCAGAGTAGTTAGCTGTTATCAAAGAGTAACTGTTATATAAATAAATAAAATTAACCAAGTTTTCAGACTAGCACTGTCCAATAGGACTTTCTGCAGTGATAACGTTGGAACGCTGTCCAAAACAGTAGCCACTAGTCACTTAAAATGTGGCTAGTGGGTCTGAGAAACTGAGTTTTTAATTTTATTTACTTTTGGTCAGGAGTGGTGGCTGACACCTGTAATCCCAGCACTTTGGAAGGCCAAGGTGGGAGGATCGCTTCAGGCCAGGAGTTCAAGACCAGCTTGGGCAATATAGCAAGACCTCGCCTCTGCAAAAAATTTTAAAAATTTAAAAAATTAGCCGGATACAGTGGCGCATATTAGTCCTAGCTACTCGGGAGGCTAAGGCAGGAGAATCGCTTGAGCCCAGGAGTTTCAGGCTGAAGTAAGTTATGGTCACTCCACTGCACTCCAAGTCTAGGAGACAGAGCAAGACCCTGTTTTCCAAAAAAAAAAAAAATGAAAATTCTTTACTCTTTATTTAAGTTTAAATAGGCACATATGGCTAGTGGCTGCACAGTATAAGCCTTTAGACCACGGTACAGAATGCAGTGTGATCATGTGGAATCCCATAAGATATTTCAGATTTTACCAGGATAGAATGAAGTGGGAAGGAGGATAAACATAACGATGTAAATTTTGTATCACTCCAGAGTTCATAAATTTTTAAATTGATAATAGAATAGTTATATGCTGATGTTTTCAGATTAGGAAAATCAATAGGGAATAAAAGCACAATTGCAGATACTGAAAAAGGTATGGAAGAGTATATATCAAACTGTTAATTAGAGCTTACCTCTGGAGGGGCGTGGTATTTTGGGGCAAGGGGGGAGTAAAAGATTACCACTTTTAATATACTTTAGTATATATTTATATATCACATGAAACATGTAATTTTTTAAAATAAAATTCTATATTATATGTAATTGAAAACAAGATGAATGAGGAAAATAAGATTTTAAAGTTTTTTGAAAAAGGAAGACAATAGGCAGCTTATTTTATTTTTCGATTTAAAGAGAAATAGAGTTTTACATCTACAAATCCTGTTAATTTTTTTAATGGCAGGAGAATAATAAACCTATAGCATAATAGAGTATAGTAAAAATACATCATTTTTTATGTTTATACAAATGGACTGATTAAATTTATCAAGATGAAAAGATGAAATGATGGTTACTGGTTAAAAACTAAAGTCTAACAATCTGTTGTTTATGAGACTGACTTTAAGTTTACTAAGGGACAAACCAGCTTGCCATGACCAAGTGTCAAGAAAAGCAGGACTACCCAGTTACAGCATAAGATAAAGTTGATTTCGGAGCAGAAGCTGAAGAGAACCTTAGTTCACAGTTTGTCAGTAGCAAGAACATGGGAGACACATGTTGGTGAAATCATATGATGAATGAATGATTATCTGAACAGAGAAACAAAATATGTAAAAAGCTGGCAGAAATGCTATAGAAGTTAAAAAATAGAATTGTTCTTAAGAGGTGTCACAGTTTGGGTATGAAGACTTGGTTTTGCCATTAATTAGCCCTGTGACCTTGATCTTAACCTCTCTCGCCCTCGATTCATTATGTGCAGTGAATACACTGGATTAGGTGACCTTACATTTTTCCCCACTTTTAAGTTCTGTGAGACTTCAACATTTCACTATCAAAATATGAAAATTAAGCAAATAATGAATTAGTAAATTATAGGGGTGGAAATAGCAAGAAAGGTGAAATTAAGTGATAAAGGAAAAATAATGATAATTGAGGAATCTTTTTACCTATTTCGTCCTTAAAAATTGGATGTAAAAGGATTTTGAAAACATGTTTGGAGTCTGAGGGAGCCCAGTGAATAACCAACACCCTTTTGCTTGTTTATGTTCTGAACATTGAGCAGTAACTCAAAGGAGTTACATAAGGATCCTAAAAATCACCTTTATTAGTGATAAAGGCTGAGGACATGCTTTAGTGTGCGAGTCAAATGGGTTTGCTAACTGAACTCCACAGTTAGACTCACCACTCACCCTGTCCTGAGCAGCAGCAGATGGGCTGTCTTAGAAGAAACCATGAAAACTTGAGGTTCTCTATGAAACCTCTCTAGTGGAGCTGAATTGAACACACCCCATTTATTCTTCCCAAATTTACGCTCAAATGAGTCATCCTTTCCAGAGGTAAAGTAATTAAAGGAGACTAGTACTATGTGGTGGAAATCCATCCTTATAGAAACCAGAAGAGAGTGGAAAGGTGTTTTCCCCCAGTAATAAGTACTATATATTCATTGTAGAAAAAATTCAGATGCAGAAGAAAATGCATAGCAGTCATAATCTAAAGATAACCACTGTTAACATTTTGGTGTCTATCCTTGAAGACTATATATTATTATTATTAAGTTTTAAGCAAGAATGAAATCATATATGTGTAGAATATGATAATTCCTAAAACAAATCAAATATTGGTAGATGTAACTCAAATTGGTTATGGACCTCTGCACCGTAAAACAAGTGTCGTGGACATGTCTGTGGAGCTGCCCAGCTCAGCGTATCCTCTCTGGAATTTGTCTGGTTCTCAAGGCTGGACCCTTAGCAGCTACATCTCTATTCCCTGACTCTGCATCTTAGGCCATAGCTGGCTGATCCAGGGGTGCGTAACTGAGCCAGAGTGGGCTAGTCAGGTTTTTTTTTTCCTCCCAAGAATTTGGAATTTTGAATTGAAAGACAGAGATGGGGAATCACTGTAGATGAATCACATTAAGTCCATGGGCTGCAGCTGAGGTCTTGAAAGCTGCTTGGGTTTCTGTTCCCTTTGAGACTTCTTAAACTTTTTGGGGCTTTGTTGTTATTGTTTTACCTTGGATTAAAAATGAAATTGAACAGAATTGTTGGTAACCTACAAAAATAATTCCCCTAGTTCAAATTTTAGAAACTTTGAAAAGATGTTTCCAAGTAATTTATTGTGCAAATGGCAATTTTACATTGAGGTTAAATTTTAAAACTAAAATCAGTTTATTGCCAGTGGAAATGGAAGGGACACAAGAGGAGAGAGGAGTTTATGGTTCATATTTTCTTTTCTTTTCTTTGAGACAGGGTCTTGCTCTGTTGCCCAGGATGGAGTGCAGTGGCATGATTGTAGCTCATTGCAGCCTCAACCTCTTGGGCTCAAGTGATCCTCCTGCCTCAGCCTTCCAAGTAGCTAGGACTACAGGCACATGCCACCAGGCCCAGCTAGTTTTTAAAATTTTTTGTAGAGCTGGGGGTCTCACTGTGTTGCGCAGGCTGGTCTTGAACTCCTGACCTCAAGTGATCCTCCTGCTTTGGCCTCCCAAAGTGTTAAGATTACAGGTATGAGCCACTGTGCCTGGTGCAACATGTATTTTCAAGGGAGATTTTGAATATGGCAAGTCATCTAAATTTTTTTTGATGAGGTGTGCTTATTCTTATCCAGTGATTCTTGGTGGACCTCAACAAAGCAGTGCCACCACTTCACTTCACCACTTCAGAGTGCATTTTGGAAAATTGTGAGAGTATTTCAATTGCCACAATGACTGGAGATGCTACTGGCTAGATGTCCTACGATATGTAGACAGTCCAACTTCATGAAGATTTGTTCTGCATCCTCCTTGGCTTCTGCATATCTCCCCAGGCCAACCCCTCTACAAATATAAATGGACCATTTTGTAGTACATATTAATACTGAAAAATCTTCAGGAAAAATTAAAAAGCTTATTAAGTTAGAAGAAGGTTGTGGTCTTAGTTTTTGTTGCTGTAAAACAAAAATACCACAAACCTAGCAGCTGTGAAAACAATGCTCATCGATTAGCTCATAGTTTTCTAAGTCAGAAGCTGGGCTTGACTGGGTTCTTTGCTCGGGGGTCTCATAAGATTGAAATCAAGTTGTCAGCCAAGCTGGCTGATTTCTTATCTGGAGGCTCCAGGGGAAGAATCCACTTTCAAGCTCATCCAGGTTATTGGCTGAATCTAGTTGTAGGTGTGAGGTCTGCATTTCCTTGCTAGCTGTCGGTAGGAGGTTACTCCTCATTCCTAGAGGCTGCTCTCCAGGCCTTGCACGTGACTCCCCTGCAGCTTCAAAGCCAGAGTGGCCTGCTGAATCCCTCTTGTTCTTTGAATATCTCTGACTTCCCCTTCTGCCACCAGCCAGAGGAAACTGCTTTTAAAGGGCTCATCTGGTTGGGTCTGGTCCACCCACATAATATCTGTATCTTCAAATCAATTGACTTGAGACTTTAATTACACTTGCAAAATCCCTACACTGCAGTACCTAGATTAGTGTTTGATTGAATAGCCAAGGAACAGTAATTGTGGGGGATCGCCTTAAGAATGCTGCCCTACCACCATCATTGGTATGAAACGAGAAGCTTAAGTGAAATGAAGGTATTGTCTCAAAATAATTAAGTAATTTATTCTCTCTGCACATTCTGTTCTGTAAGCATTACAGCATTTCTAGTTTGCATATTTAGTTGAAAAGGATTTCAGCGCAGTAGTGAAAATCATTGAAAATCAGTTTTGAGATTCCTGTTTAGACTTCAATTATTAAATTATTGGAGACACATGATATGTAGGGATTTCATTGTATTTCTTTCATATAGACTAATATTTCATATTATTGCCTGTGTGTGTGTGTATGTGTGTGTGTGTGTGTGTGTGTGTGTAATGGTATGAAATCTAGGTTGTGAAATGTAAATTTTATTTTGGGATAGCTCGTCTTCTGTTTTGTCCTAAAAGTATCCCCTGTTAAACAATGGCTTTATTGCCTCTTGCATTACAGTTTTTTTACATCTAATTCCTCTCCTATTCCTTGTTGCACCATTTAAAGAATACGTTTTCAAGGTCTTTTTACAGACCGTACACTGATTGTATGTCTCAATAGGATTTCAAAGCAGAAGGATAGATTTTCTGTGATACTTTCCTCCGACCCCATCCCATGACATAACCTAGGAGATTATTTAGATTATTTTGACACTTTATAAATAAATAAGACCTAGCTGATTTGAAATAGTAATGTACTCCTTCAATTTCTCTACTTTGACTGTTACTTACTTTAGCATGTTATTCCAACTTTGTATAAGGTTACTTCTTTATTTCTATTATTAATACTCTTTTTTCCAAGTATTAGGCTGTACCTCTACATCTGCCCTTTTATTTTCCTGTGCTTGTCCACAGTGGTTTCTGTTACTCTAATTTTTAAATCCAAACTTATTTTCATAATTTACTATGTACATCTGACTACATCATTATGTCCCCATTTACAAGTTGAAATACGTATTTTGAAAAATAAATTACTTTATTTCTTCTTTGTGTATCAATTGGGACATTGTATTTATTTGCTTTTGAAAATTTTGTGTAGGTAGGTCATTTTATCTATGAATTTCTTTTCAGAATGGTAGAGGAGGCATTATAAAATATGTGTGATTAAAAAGGGGAGAGTGCATCTGAGGACTGAGACCTACTGCTCTGTCATGCAAAGAAGACATGCTAGCCATTCATTGCTGTGTGTCCTCTCCTGCAGTGTCCTGTTGCTAATCAGCAGCCTGGATGTCTTTTTTTTTTTTTTTTTTTTTTTTTTTTTTTTTTTTTTTTTGAGATGGAGTGTTGCTCTCTCGCCCACGCTGGAGTGCAGTGGCGCAATCTCGGCTCACTGCAACCTCTGTCTGCTGGGTTCAAGCGATTCTCCTGCCTCAGCCTTCTGAGTAGCCGAGACTACAGGCATGCGCCACTATGCCCAGCTAATTTTTTGTATTTTTAGTAGAGATGGGGTTTCACCATGTTGGCCAAGCTGGTCTCAAACTCCTGACCTCAGGTCATCCGCCTGCCTCGGCCTCCCAAAGTGCTGGGATTATACGCGTGAGCCACCATGCCTGGCCAGTCTGGGTGTCTTGCTGCATACATGGATAGAATAGGTTTTCTGGGCCGGGTGCAGTGGCTCATGCCTGTAATCCCAGCACTTTAGGAGGCCAAGGCTGGCGGATCACTTGAGCCCAGGAGTTCAAGACTAGCCTGGGCAACATGGCAAAAGCCTGTCCATACAAAAAATACAAAAATTAGCCAGGCGTAGTGGCAATTGCCTGTAGTCCCAGCTACTCAGGAGGCTGAGGTGGGAGGATCGCTTGAGTCCAAGGAGGTTGAGGTTGCAGGGAGCTGTAATTGCACCACTGCACTCTGCCTGGGTGACAGAATATGATCCTGTGTCCAAAACAAATGAACAGGTTTTCTGTCTAGGTACTGTCATCTGTCTTCTTGTTTCAAATAATGTTTTTCATTCCCCATTTTGATCTAGATCTGTCTTTTAGTTCTCCTGAACTTTGCAGCAGGAGGTGTAGCTTATCATATTTACACTTTAGTATCTACTTAACAGTGTTTTCTATTGAAAAAGACTGTAAGATTTGCAATGTGGTAATTATTTTGTTCTCCTGTCAGTTACCAGCAACATTGTGCAGCTTGATTTGTTTTTTTAATCCAATCTCCCCACATCCCTCCCCCACAAATTGAGTGAAATAGTAGTTTTTGATAAGGCACAGAGCCTTATCAGGCTCAGGCATGTTTTAGATAAGCTAAGTCTTGTCAAGTCTGACTCTGTAGATCTCTCATAACTAATGCACAATGAAATAATATGATAGAATAGAAATAAAACCTAAGTTCTTGGTCCTGACCATCATTTACTGCCCTGGGCAAGTTGTGTGGCTTCTCTGAGCCTTGGTTTTCTTGTCTGCAAGTAGAGATTTTCTGTCCTGCCTATCTGCCAGGTAATTGTTAGGATCAAACAATATAAAGACTGCTAGAGAAATGTAAAAATTCTGAAATGCCCTACAGTAGCTGTTAGGTTATATCACCTAGAAAAGCTTTGGTCATTAAATCAATCTTATAAATGGCTTCAAATTACTTTTTTGCCACCACCACCCCCAGAGTTAAATCACTGCTATATTAAGGATGAGTTGGAAGGGGATTTAGAAGGACTTAATTTGCCAGTTGGATGGCCATTGAGATGGAGTGGAGATGGCAGTCTCACTCAACGCACTGGAAATAAAAATGGGGAAGACAGACCCCAGAATCGCCAGCAGGACTTAGAAATGGTTGTACTTGAGGATGAGGGGAAGGAAGGACTGTTGAACCCCAAAGACTGGGAGGCTGGTTATCAAGAGGGATAACGGGCGGAATGGAAGGAAAGCGTGTGCTTCCCACTGAGGCTGTGTTTGAGCCGCTGCTGTGGCTCCCAGATGGAGCTGTCCAGAGGCAGCTTGGGATGTAGGCCCAGATCCCCAGGAGACAGGGTTGGATTGGACCAGAGAGCACCTCTGCAGTGAGATCATTGAATGAGGCAAGATGGGGACTGAGGGTGGAACTTAGTAGAATGAATGTCTGCATTGAAGGGCCTGCCAGGCAAGAAGAGCCAACAAAGGCCCTTCTCACCCCGTGTTCCGGAGTCCGTGGTGGTTCTGTTCTATAGCATATGGGACATGGAGATGCTGTACACTTATTGCTCTTACAAGTTTGTGCATTATGAAAGAGCCCTTGATATCTGATAAGCTACTGAGTGGGAAGAGTAAATCCTCCTCAGAAAATCCTTCAAAGATACACAAACTAAAAATGAACAAACAAACAAAACTGAACAAGAATTTACATTTTGTTAAACAGCTTGTAGCCAAGTTTAAAAATGGAATGTTCATTTTTCATATTTAATACTGCTGGCAGACGCTGCTCTATTCTTACTGAAACATTAGTTTATATGAAATAAAACTTTAATATCTTGATTCTTACTAATTCTCCTCTTTTTTCCCCTTTTTTCCTCTAGATTTTACATTGTGCTATAGGTAAGTATGGATATTCCCCCCTACTATGTACAGTGAATTCTGCTTATTTAAAAAGTCATAGATGATAGGCTTTATTGATTTCTGTTAAATATTGAAAAAATGAAATGATTTAGTCATCATGTATGAAATTGCTGAAATTAGAGTGGCTTTCAGTTTCTGAAATCATAGGTACTATTTAGATGTCATGACTGAACACTTTATTAAAGTTCACAGCTATTTTGTTCTGTTAATTTAAAAGAGGTGTCTCCCACCTTCTCAGTGTAAGGGTAATAGAAACATTAGCATTTTTGTAAAAATGTGGCTGGAGTTCTGGTGCTGGGCTGTGTTGAAAAGCCCTCTCTGTGATCACTTAAATGGTATCATTCTCTCTCCTTATCTTTCAAATGGGAGTATTGCCTACCTCCCAGGTGAATATTACATGTTTGTGAGAGGGATTAAAGAAGTACTACGTATAAAGGGTTATACAAATGTAGGGGATTTCTACTAAAAGCAGATACAATATGTTTTATTTTCCTTTTTGTGGGGAGGGGCGAGTCATCAAATATTGCTGTGGAATAGAGGCATAACGTCTAGTTTGGGGTGGCTAGAACCTTCTAATTGAATAAAATCCAGTCTTGGAAAGTTGATAGACCCTATAGAGCAAGACCGTAGTGATTGCTGTGCACTCCAGGTATGTCTCCCAAAGGGAGGATTTGAAGTTGATACTTAGAAGCACTGAAAGTCAAAAAATTTGAGAACTGCAAATCTATACCGTTATGGCCCCATCAATTTAATCCATAACTAAAGTGGGTAGTTGCTATATTCAGGGAAACTTACAGTTCAGATGGGCGCACAGGTAGAGAACACCAGACTGTCCACTGTGGGTCTAGCAGAGGTCACTGTGATATCTGGCTCCATTACCTTCTTTTTTTGTTGTTTTAGGGACAGGGTCCCAGGCTAGAGTGCATTGATGCGATCATAGCTCAGCCTCCTGAGTAGCTGGGATTACAGGCGTGCGCCACCATGCCTGGCTAATTTTTGTATTTTTAGTAGAGATGGGGTTTTACCATGTTGGCCAGCCTGGTCTCAAACTCCTGGCCTCAAGTGATCCACCCACCTTGGCCTCCCAAAGTGCTGGGATTACAGGCATGCAGTCACCACGCCTGGCCAAGAACCTTATTATAAAGAATTGCACCTTGGGCCAGGTGTGGTGGCTCATGCCTGTAATACCAGCACCTTGGGAGGCTGAGGCAGGAGGATCACTTGAGGCCAGGAGTTCGAGACCAGCCTGGGCAACACAGGGAGACCCCATCTCTACAAAAAATAAAAAACGAGCCAGGTGTGGTCGTGCATGCCTGTGGTCCCAGCTACTCAGGAGGCTGAGGTGGGAGGATGGCTTGAGCCCAGGAGGTTGAGGCTTCAGTGAGCCACGATCACACCATTGCATTTTAGCCTGGGAAACGAGTGAGTCTCTGTTTAAAAAATAAAAAAAAAAGGATTTAAAAGATTTGCATCTCTGCTGGTTTCCCACTTCTTACCTGGGATTACGGGTAGAGAGTCCAGGGACCCCCTCAAATGATGTGCAAAATTTTATACGTATGTTTCTGTGTTTATTTGGAGGGGCGTGTAGGGAGAGAATTCATAGCTTCAATTAGATTCTCTGAGGAGTCTATGATTCCCAAAAGGCTAAGAAATACTGCTTAGGACCTTTGAATGGTAGATTTGAAAGTGGCTTGGGGGCTCATCTGTCCCGTGGTCTGCTTTCCCAGAGAAAACTAGTGATCTGGCCCAGCTCATACAGCTGGTAAATGGGGAAGCTCATTTGGAGACAGGTCAGTCTGACACCTGCCTGATTTCATTTTATGATGAATGGGTATTAAACTTTTGTGCAGTCTTACACGCATTTCCTTTTTAGTCCTTTTTAATTTTGAAATGAAAAATTTTATCCTTTCATAAACGGTTAAATAAATCTTAAGCACATCCTAGCAGATTGGGGGATATATTTGGCCAGAGAGAGTTCTGGAACCTCTCAGGCCTTCTCCACATGACTGAACCCTGCCTCATTCTTCCTCAACTCTCTT
Source organism: Homo sapiens (assembly GCF_000001405.40). Classification (NCBI taxonomy): domain Eukaryota; kingdom Metazoa; phylum Chordata; class Mammalia; order Primates; family Hominidae; genus Homo; species Homo sapiens. Next base: position 123,565,701 of record NC_000003.12, on the reverse strand, counting down.
AACCTTCAGCTGTCTCTGTATAAAGCTCTCAGATGCGTCTTTTCCAAGTATCTTAGCCGGTTCTGGCTGCTGTAACAAAATACCATAAATTGGGTAGCTTATAAATAACAAAAATTTATTTTTCACAGTTCTGGGGGCTGGGAATTCCAAGATCAAGGTGGTGCTGACAGATTCCCTGTCTGGTGAGGGCCTGTTGCTCATAGACAGTAGCTTCTTACTGTGTCCTTGTATGGTGGAAGGGGCAAGTGAGCTCCCTTGGGCCTTTTATAAGGGCACTAACCCCATTCATGAGATCCCTTGTGACCTAATCGCCTCCTGAATACCCCACCACTTATTACTTTTGCAGTGGGCATTAGGTTTCAACATAGGAATTTTGGAGGGACGTAGACATTCAGGGTACAGCACCAAGCATGTGTACTATGATTTTTAGTTAATGTTAGTTTTATTTTAATACCCCAAATCCCTTTATCTGTCTTAAAATATACCCTTATATGTCTTTATAAAATTTCTCTACACCTGGAAATAAAGTTTCTGACAAGTATATTTTTTCATTCACACCAAGAAAATTATCGAACGCCTAGCACGTGTGCATACCAGGTGCTGTTGGGCAGTGGGAGTAGAGAGGTGAATGGGCTCAGACCTAGGTCCAGGAAACCCACAGTCAGATGGGCATCCCCTGAGTTCCTCTGGTATAGTCCATCCTGAGGACTGGTGTGCACATCACATGCTGCTCAGAGGGTTGGCAGGTTTGCTTCCCCCTCAGACTCTGAGCTCCTCGAGGGCAGATTCTGTTTCATTAAGCTCTGCATCCCCAGAGCCCAGCGGCAGGATCCTTCTTATATCCTCAAGGACCTTGTTCTGTCTGTACATCTCTTGCTCCTGCCTCATCACCCTGTGCTATCTGCCTTTTCCTTCTCAGTGCACAAAATGCTCAGAGCACTCTGTCTTAAAAATCTTTTAACCTGGCCATTGACCCTGTATTTCCCTTATACTACTATATAACTGTTCTCCGTCCCTTTTCCCAGATTTATGGTAGGCTCTTTCTACTTCCTCATGCCCATCGATACCTGAACCCTGCAGTTGGGTGTCTGTTCCCCTTGTTCTACAAAAAATCACCCTCTGGTCTAAAGTCAGCAACAATGTCTACTGGATTCTAAGGACACTGTTGGAAGTTCCTGGACTTAGCTACATGGGGCACCGCTGATGACTCCCTCCTGGAGATCCTGCTCCTTCAGCCTTCGTTGGACTGAGCCCTCCTGAAATACCTTATCCTCTGTGGTCCTTTTCTTTCTTTGGGTGCTTTTCTTTCTTTCCTTGTCCCTTAATCATGAGTGTTTCTGGAGTTCTGTCTTAGCTCATTGCCCTTCTGACTGAACATAACCTCTGTGGGTGATCTCTTCTCATGGCATGAGATATGCATACCTTTCCAATTCCAAGCCACACCTGCATCCCAGACTCCAGCCCTGTCCACTGATTTCCTGGATGTCTGCTCCTGGGTGCACACAGGCACCTCCTCAGCATGACCCACACTCCCAGACTCGTTCTACCTCACTATTCTGTCTGTCAGGGCTGCCGCCGGCCACCAGCCATTCAGTCATTCATCCCAGACGAGACCTTGTCGATAGTGTATGCTCCTCTCTCACCGGCATGCCTGTAGCCAGGCAGTCATCAGGTTTTGTCAATTCAGTTTGCTGGGTGTCTTTCAGGTTGTCTTGTTTCTTCATCCCTACTTGGGACCTCAGTACGTCTCATCTGGATTCCCATGTATCTTCCTGAATTTCTAGGCTTATAGCAATAATAATAATAATGAGCCACCATTTCTTAAATACTTACTGTATTCCAGTGCTTTACATTCATTATCTCATTTGCTTCCCATCTTCCAGCTGAGACTGAGGGTTAGAAGGTTTCCTGTCTTTGTTCTTACCACAAATAAATGTGTGAGGTGATGCATATGTTAATTAGCTTGATTTAGTCATTCCACAGTATATTCATATTTCATAACATCACGTTGTACACCATAAGTGTGTGTGTGTGTGTGTGTGTGTGTGTGTGTGTGTATATATATTTTTTTGTCAATTCAAAAAAGAAGAAATGTATCATGTCTTGCCAAAGTTCACACAGCACTAAGCCCTAGCCCAGGACTTGAACCTATGGCTGTGTGGCTCCAAGTCCATGCTCCACACTGCTCCTGTGGGTTTAGTTATAGGACCATTCTGAGCATGTCATTTGCCTACTTAAAACCTTTTGCTGGTTTAAATTTCTTCATGATCTGTGCCCTGCCCACTTCTCCAGTCTTTCCAGTGCCTACTCCCTGCCTCCCACTCCATGCTCATCTGCGCTGTGCCCAGGCTCTGCTCTCTGCCTGGAATGAGCAGCCCAGCCCCTTCAGCTGGCCAGCTCTGTGTGTCTCTTCCAGTAAACTTCCCTACCACCCACAGCTAGAGTAGAGACTCTTCCTCACTCTTCTATAATACCTTGCACCTAACTCGGTATTATACCTTCACAATGTATTATGTGTGTGGTCTGACACCGCACCCATGTCCCCACCAGTACCACTGAATATTTTTAGAGCAAGAGCTATTTCTTATTGATCTCTGTATCCTGGTAAGTACAGTAAGTACATAGTACCTAGCAGGAGTTTGGTGAATATTTGATCATCATCTTACCAAATTCTGGTGGGAATTTCCAAAACTTATTTCAAAGTTATTTCAGTTCCTTAAAGGAATTAGAGATAACAATAAGGAGTAAGCTGTTTCTAGCATTAACCTAAAGGCAATGCTTCATTTTTACTTAGATCACTTAAGTTTATTTGTGGAATGATGGTTTATTTTTCGGTAGCATTCTGAAAGTTTTCATTACAACAACTTAGTCTTCAGAAACTTATTTTAAAGCCTTGAGATACCTTTAGTTTACATATTGTTGATGAAAAGTATAGACCTGAGTCAGACTAGGGTTACTCACTAGCTGTGTGATTCCAGGAAGTAACTCAATTTTTGTGCTCATTTAATTCTTCATCAGTAAAAGGGGGATAAGAATACCTACCTCACAGATTGCTGTGAAAATTAAATGGAAAAATGCATGAAGAACACTCAGCACAATATCTGAAACATGGCTGTATTGAAAATTGCCCAATAAAATGGTAGCTCTTATTATTACTTAAGCAACATAATCTCATAGAATAATATTAAAAGATTATTGTTCCTCTAATGTTCAATATTTAGATATATATAAATGTAACTCTTTCATATTCTTAATTTTCTTAAATTATAATTTCTTTGCAAGTGAGCACTTCAGGGCCCTTCATTCTTAGTATGAGTTGGGGTTGCGTCTTGCTCACGGTTGTGACAATGCAACTTGGCAAATACGGCCTCCAGAAACAATCAACTAAAATCCATGGAGGGGCTCATTTCTGTGTAGCTGTAAATGAGTTCCCACACCTCAACTTTTTCAAAGTAGGTGGTTTGTTTTGTATTGATAATAGAAGGATGGGATTTCTCAAATGCTGTGGCTGCAGCCCTCAATCTAAGATTTGCAAAGCTTTTATATTTATTCAGTGTTTTTCCTTTTAGAAATGAGAATTTTAAAAAATAGGCCAGTCGTGGTGGCTCACACCTGTAATCCCAGTACTTTGGGAGGCCAAGGCGGGCAGATCACCTGAGGTCAGGAATTTGAGACCAGCCTGGCCAACATGGTGAAACCCTGTCTCTACAAAAAGTACAAAAATTAGCTGGACATGGTGGCAGGCGCCTGTAGTCCCAGCTACTTGGGAGGCTGAGGTGGGAGAATCACTTGAACCCAGGAGGCGGAGGTTGCAATGAGCCGAAATTGTGCCTCTGCACTCCAGCCTGGGCGACAGAGTGAGACCCCGTCTCAAAAAATAAACAGACACCAAAACCCACCCTGAGATATGTTTTTTTTTTTTTCCGTAATACTGCAAAGAAGAGTTGTGGTTTTTTATTCATGTGGTGTGATTTGTGTTGAATGAAGTATTAAGAAGTGTTATATCTTTTCTGTGTCGTCTTCAAGATTAGATTGTGGAAGAGGCATGGGGGCTATGGTTCTCAGCTGACTCTGCAATATGGTTCCCCTCTTTATGGATGGGGATTAGAGGTGCAGGTAGTGGAACTGAAGATACTCTTGGTAAGATGTGACACTGTGCATTTAGTGAACTTTCATGTCAGAAATTGTACTACCAACTCTAGAAGTTTTCTTTTGATAGAAAATTGTAGCTCAGTCACAGCCCAGAGAGTTATATCTAAAGCTTAGTATTTGCACTTTAATTTCATCAACAGGCAGGGACAAAAGACCTTTCACTTAGGATATCCTGGATTTGTGGTTTCAGATATTTGCTGTGTGTGCCAGCTTGCACTCCTCCCTCAAACAGAAGACACTTTATTAAAAAATTTTAAGTGAATTCCAAAAAAATCATAATCACCTTAATATTCATCGGTAGCGTATGGCTCCAGACTGATTTTATTAGGTAACAAAGGTTGCCAGGTAGGAAGCAGAGCAGCCGCTAGGGAGACCCACCCCTCTTCCTACCAAAAAAATCTTTCCAGCCCACTAATTAGAGCTAACTGAATCCTCCCTTGAACTGTAACACTCCCTCCTCTGCCCCCCCGCTACTTTGAGAGGGCCAAGTTTTTATCAGTCATTCACAATGCAGTATTGTAAAGGAACTGCCATCACTTATTTTTAAAACCAGACACAGAACCCACCAAATTTTAGCAGAAGAGAACTCTGGAAGGAGAGCATCTTAGAGGGAAGGGGGGAATTCCTCCAAATTTCTCTCTCCTGGAATTCTGCTTTCACACCTGTGCCCAGCCTTCAGCAGTGTGGCTGGGCACAGAAACATTACTGCATTGTTTCCACTTAGCTGACATTTTAAAAATGAACCTTACCAAATTGTAAGAAAGAGACAAAAAGGAATAATTACCCAAAATACAGACAGTACAGTATAAAAACCACCATCCCCAAAGAACAAGTTTCTAATCCAAAGCTCTAACTCCCTTTTAGTTTCTGGGGGCTGGCGCAGCTTCTACTGGCTCTCTTTAAGCCTTGTTCTTACCGGGACCCCTGTCACAAATATGGATAACAAACATTTCTTATTCAGATTTAAATATTGCTTTCTGCCTGGGAGCATGTTTAGTGGTGGTGATGGCAGGGGGATGGGGGAGAAAGGGATGTAACCTAGCCAGGCAGCTAGCCTGTCTCCCCTGCTTAGAGGTTTCTAAGGCTGACCCCTGGAGAGCCGCCTGGGGAGATTGGAGGCCTGGGTAGGAGGTTGCCAAATCCAACCTTCCCCTCCTTTGCAATTAATTCTGCCTTTGTCATTTATTCAAATACAGTAGTTTTCCAGCATCCTGACAATGGAGCTCTAACGGTCAAGACCATAAGTGGTCATATTCAAACTTTAATCTTTCCCAAATCAGTTAAGCGCTTCAGACCAGACCAGCTTAGTAGCCTCCCTCTGCCTTAGCTCTGGTTCATTCTGTTGTCTCCTGATCAAATGTTCCCTGCTCCCCTCCAGACAAGGAGAGAAGAAAATGCACCTGCATCTTGTGCTCCTGATACACAAAGCTTCAGCCCCTGTTCTCTGAATAAACCTTGCTTTTTCACACCTCCATAATTTTGTACATATGGTTTCCTTGGCGTGGAACACCAAGCTCTGTTAGTTGTTCCCTGCTCTGTGTGAATGTAACTGAGATGAAGGAAAGGAAGAGAGAAATAGAGCATGCTCATTTGTAGCCTAAAGAGCCTGAGCAGGGAGGGTGGAAGACTTACCCAGGTATACACCACCTGGTACCTCGCACTTTGCAAGCACTCAGTGAGCAGCACCCAAGTATGAGGCAAAAACAGTCCCCGAGGATTTCTGTGCCTAGTTGGAGTTCAGAAGGGAAAGCTATGAAGAGAGCCCAGATCAGGGAATTTTATCCTCTGCTGTCCCTGCAGGAACAACTAAGTCTTTCTTTGGAATGGAAACCTATTATTGAGACCTTAAGGTGCCTTCTCTATGAGATAGTATTAGCTGGCTGTCCAGTCCGTCAGAAATCAACCCAGGGCACACCCTGTTGGAAACATTACTAGTCGTTTGACAAGTCAGACACCTTCCCTCTGGGCCTAGTTTCCACATGTGAAAAACGAGGGCATTGGACTGAATACGTGATGATCTCTATCATTCCTTACAGCCACTCGTTCTGAAATTCTGTGAACCTGTAAATGTGATGTTGCTTCAGAAATGAATGTCAATGATCTGAGTAGTGATGTAAAAGGAGGGTACGCTAGATGTTTAAACGTGCCAAAGTATGAGTGTTTGGAAATTCATTTCAAGTACAGTAGTTCTACTACCTTTTTCCCTCTAGATAAATTTTGAAAGTCCCATCAGAATACAGAATTGAGAGAGGACACACACAACACGTTTTCTGTAACAGACGTTTACTATGGTCACCACTAGATGGCACCCTTGTATTAGTAAGGAGATTTTTCTCAGAAATTATAGGGCTTCGGGATGACTTCTAATAAAAATAGATAGTAATTAATCAATAGCTGAAACTGAGGAATGAGCAAGTTAAGCAGAGAAAATAGAAATGGATGTTTTTCTATCACTGTCTGATGACTTGATCCTTAAGATTCGAGGTAAGGAAAAGCTGGAGCTGTCTACATTGCCCTGATGGAGATTATTTTATAAATATTTCTTAATTGTAAAGCATAAGATACCTTTAAATCCAACATGAGTTTGATTTGCTTGATGAAAATGGGTGCCATATTTCAGCAGTTCTTTGGTGCGATGGTTTGTGATAGTCTGAAGTCAACCTTACACCTATTCTTAGCTTCAAAAGCAAGGTTAGTCCTGCAAAGTTGGGAACACCAAGTAGTTACCAAGTTGAGTAAATCCTGTTGAACCAAAAAGTGAAAACTTGAGTCATCTTTTAGCCAAAGAATAATTTGATTTATGCTTCTGTGGCAGGAGTTGAACAATGTGTTAAAAGGGAGCAAGAAAGCTTCGGAAAATTTGTATGACCGTGATATGTCATTTTTATAGTTCAGTTTCCTTTTCTTGGGAGAGGATTTTTTTTCTCTTCATTCACTGTAAACATCTTTCCATTAATTTTTAAAAATATGCTATTTTTTTAGAGCAGTTTTAGGTTCACAGCAAAATTGAGAGGAAGGTACAGACATGTCCCATAGGCCCCCTTCCTCCACGCATGCATAGTCTCCCATTATCAACATCCCCAACCAGAGTAGTACATTTGTTACAATTGATTAATGTACATTGACACATCATTTTTGTCCAAAGCCCATAGTTCACTCTTAGCATTGTACAATCGTTGGGTTTGGACAAATTTATAATGACATATATCTAATATTATACTGTCATACAGAGTGTTTTCACTCCCACTCTGGGGCTTGTCTTAAAAATCTTCTGTACTCTACCTGTTTATCCCCCAGAGCCCTGGAAGCCATTGATCTTTCCACTGTCTCCATGGTTTTGCCTTTTCCAGAATGTCATACAGTATGCAGCCTTTTCAGACCGACTTCTTTGACTTAGTAATATGTGTTTAAGTTTTCTCCATGTCTTTTCATGGCTTGATAGCCCATTTCATTTTAGCACTGAATAATACCCCGTTGTCTGGATGTACCACAATTTACCCATTCTCCTAGTAAAGTACATCTTGGTTGCTACCAGGTTTTGCCAATTGTGAATAAAGCTGCTATGGACATTTGTGTGCAGGTTTTTGTGCAGATGCAAGTTTTCAAATCCTTTGGATAAATACCAAAGAGCATGATTGCTAGATTATATGCTAAGGGTATGTTTAGTTTTGTAAGAATCTGCCAAACAGTCTTCTAAAGTGTCTGTACCGTTTTGCTTTCCCAAGAGTAATGAATGAGAGTTTCTTATTCCACATCCTCTGCTGCGTTTGGTATTGTCAGTGCTCTGGATTTTGACCCTTCTAATAGGTGTGTAGTGGTGTATTGATTATACATGACGTAGAGCATCTTTTAATATGCTTATTTGCATCTGTAGGTCCTCTTTGATGAGGTGTTTTTTGTTGTTTATTTTTTTGAGACAGTCTCACTCTGTCATCCAGGCTGGAGTGCAGTGGAGCAATCATAGCTCACTGTAGCCTTGAACTCCTGGGCTCAAGTGATCCTCCTGCCCCAGCCTCCCAAGTAGCTGGGACTACAGGTGTGAGCCACCATGCCCAGCTAATTTTTTTAATTTTTTGTACAGATGGGATCTTGCTATCTTTCTCAAGCTGGTCTTGGCCTCAAGTGACCCTCCCACCTCAGCCTGGTAAAGTATCTTTTAAGGCAGCGGTCCACAACCTCTTTGGCACCAGGGACTGGTTTCGTGAAAGACATTTTTTCCATGGACTGGGGATAAGGGGAGGGGGTGGTTTTGGGATGAAATTGTTTCACTTCAGATCATCAGGCATTAGATTCTCATAAGGAGCACTCAACCTAGGTCCCTTGAATGCACAGTTGACACTAGGGTTCATGCTCCTATGAGAATCTAACACTGCTGCTGATCTGACAGGAGGTGGAGCTCAGGCAGTGATACTCACTCACCTGCTGCTCTCCTGCTGCGCAGCCCAGGGACTGGGGACCCCTGTTTTAGGGTCTTTTTAAGTTTAGGATAACAGTCCTTTGTCAAATATTATCTTTTGCAAATATTTTCTCCTGGTCTGAGGCTTGTCTTTTTATTCCCTTTACAGTATCTTTTGCGGAGCAGAAATTTTTAATTTTAGTCAAGTCCAGTTTGCCAGTTTGTTGGACTTCAGACATTCTAATAGGCGTGTAGTGGTAGTTGTTGTTTTAATTTTTATTTCTCTAATGACAAATGCTATGGCACATCTTTTCATATGCTCATTTGTCATCTTTTGGGGCAAGGTGTCTATTCAGGTCTTTGCTCATTTTTCAGTTGGATTGTTTTTTTGTTGAGATTTAAGAATTCTTTCTATATTTTGGATACAAATTCTTTATCAGACAGGTGTTCAGCAAATATTTTCTCTTGCTCTGGGGCTTGTCTTTTGATTCTTTTAATAGTGTCTTTGAGGAAGCACAGATTTTTAAATTTAATAATGTACAACTTAACCAGTTTTCCCTTTCATGGATTGTGCTTTGGTATTGTGTCTGAAAACTTGTTACTATAGATATCTCGATTACCCTGATTTGATCTTTACATATTACATGAATATGTCAAAATATCACATGTACCCTGAAAATATGCACATCTATTGTATATCATTTTTTTTTTTTTTTTGAGACGGAGTCTTGCTCTGTCACCCAGGCTGGAGTGCAGTGTCATGGTCATGGCTCGCTGCAGCCTTGATCTGCAGGGCTCAGGTGATCCTCCCACCTCAGCTTCCCAAGCAGCTGGGACTACAGGCGTGCACCACCACACTTGGCTAGTTTTTGTGCTTTTTGTAGAGATGGGACTTCTCCGTGTTGCCAGGGATGGTCTTGAACTCCTGGGGTCAATAGATCTGCCTGCCTTGGCCTCCCAAAGTGCTGGAATTACAGGCATGAGCCACTTCACCCGGCCTCAATTTATTTTTTAGAGATGGGGTCTTGCTGTGTTGCCCACACCAGTCTCAAATTCCTGGCCTCAGGTGATCCTCCCGCCTCAGTCTGTGATCCATTTTGAGTTAATTTTTGTGAAAGGTGTCAGGTCTGTGTCTAGTTTTATTTATTTATTTTTTTACATATAGTCATCCAGTTGTTCGGCACGATTTGTTGAAAAGTCTATTCTTTCTCCATTGCGTTGTCTTTATGCCATTGTCAAAGATCAGTTATTGCTGGATCTATTTCTGGCCCCTCTGTTCTATTGATGTATATGTTTATTATTTTGCCAATACCAGGATTACCTTGATTATAAGTCTTAAAATCTGGTAGTAGAAGTCCTCTAACTTTATTCCTTCTTTTTTCAGTATTGTATGGGTCTTTTGCCTTTCCATATGAACTTTGGAATCTTTTTGTCAACATCTACAAAATAGCTTCCTGGGATTTTGAGTGGGATTGTGTTGAATCTATAGAGCAAGTCGGGAATAATTGACACCTTAACAATATTGACTCTTTCAATCCACAGACATATAATATTTCTCCACTTATTTAGATCTTTGATTTCTTTTATCATTGTTTTGCAGTTTTTCACATAGCAATTCTCTGTTTTGTTAGAGTTATATGTGTTTTTATTTGGTGTTAGTATAAATGATTTTTTTTTAACTTTAAAATTTTGGTGGTTCATTGCTGGTACAGAGAAAGGCAATTGACCTTCATATATTGATCTTATATCCTGTGACCTTGCTATACTTGCTTATTAGTTCTAGGATTTTGTGTGTGTGTGTGTTTGTAGATTCTTTGAGATCTTCTATATAGATAATCATATCATCTTTGAACAAAGACAGTTTTATTTCTTGCTTTTCAGTTTATTTACCTTTTATTTCTTTTTCTTGTCTTACTGCACTGGCTAAGACTTCCAGTATGACATTCTTCATATTCTTTACTCAATAAGATAAAATTATTCCTAGCTCAGTTTTCTCCCCAACCAATTTTGAAGGCATATACACTTTCTACTTCATTTTTACTATCAGGGTATAAAATTCAATGTCTATTTTTTTAAGTTCTTCTGTATCCTTACTTATTTTTTTGTCTGCTTGACCTGTCTTGCACTTAGAATGATAATGTTGTTAACATCTCTAAGTATTAATGTGTTTCTAATTTTCCTTGCATCTTCTATAGCAATTGCTTTAGCAAAAGTTGTTGCTATGTTATTTGATGCATAAATATTTATAACTGTTATTTCTTCATTGTCAGTTGTGACTTTAGCATTTAAAAAAGTCTGTCAGATTTAATGCTTTTTTGTCTTAAATCTTACTTTATCGGAATCAAAATCATGACCCTCTACTTTCTTTTGTTTCCATTTGCCTGATATGCCCTTGTGCATTCTTTTATTTTGTGTCCCTTAATCAATCACTTTAATATTAGCATAGAGTTGGGTTTTGTTTTGTGAGCCAGTTTGAAAATCTTTCATATAATAGGTGAGTTAAGCTCGTTCATAGTTTTTGATATGACAGGTATGTTTATCTTACTCTGTTACATTTATGTTATAATTGCTACATACTCTGTTATATTTGCTGTATTTGCCTACCTGATGTGTTTTCTTTATTTTCTTTAATTTTTTTTCGAGAGATGGGGTCTCACTGTGTTGCCCAGGCTGGAGTGCAGTGGCTATTCACAGAAGTGATCATAGCACACTTTAGCCTTGGACTCCTGGGCTCAAGTGATCCTTCTGCCTCAGCCTCTCAAGCAGCTGGGACTACAGATGTGTACCACCATGTCCAGCTACTGATATGTCTTTATATCTTTTTAAATGCCCTTAGTCCTCTGTTTTCTTATTTAATTTTTTACTCTCAAGCTTGTCAGTTTTTAAAGGTTGTCTTTTAACTCCCACCTATTGCCAGTATAACAGTGAGCTTATTCTACTTTCCTCTTTCCCTTCTCCCATTTTTAAACTTACATTGTTTATAGCTTGTCAGAACATATAACATTTATATATTATTCTTTTAGTTGGATGAAGGATAATATATATTATATAAAAGAATAATATATATTATTAGTTTGGCATCAGACTCCTCAAGGGAAACATAAAAACAAGGTGACAATGCAGCAGCATTTTCAAGAAATTTAAGGGAAAAAAAAGTCAAGGGAAGAATAATATATATTATATAAAATAATAATATATATTATTCTTTTAGTTGGATGAAGCTCATTCTCTAGTAGTGTCAGGAACTGTGACACATTGGAGATGTCACCTTACTCACAAGCTAGTAAGTTTGTTAGCATTTCATGGATCCTGACAGAAAACATGAGACTCTTGGGCCAGATACAAATATATTGCCATATTACTCATGGGAAAAACAATAGCCAGAACACCCTCTTCATTTGCATCAGTTCTCCATGTCCCCCAAGTCCCATGGGGATGACACATGTGCGTCTAGATGAATATCTAAATATGCAGTGGTTTATATTAGAGCACTTGAGGAATCTAGTGTTTTTATAGTAAATGGAAGCTCTTTGGGAATCAATGCTGCCTTATCCTTCCAGGTTGCTCCTTGAAAACACAAGCCTAAGAAATGACCTGGGAAAAGAGCAGTCAGGAGCTTGCCTTTTTGGCATACCTAGCAGGAATGCCCAGGGCCCATGGCAGAATGCCTGTCCCCAAAAGATTCCCAAGAAGGGCTGTGGGCATAGTATTCTCTGAGTCCATCCATGTTTAAGACTTTTTCTGTAGCCTTGATATTTGAAGGACTGATTTGCTAGATACAAAATCCTTAGTTGACTTTTTCTTCCCTTAAATTTCTTGAAAATGCTGCTCCATTGTCACCTTGTTTTTATGTTTCCCTTGGGGAGTCTGATGCCAACCTAATTATCTTGCCCTTTTGAGATATGTGGTCTTTTTATCATAAAACTCTGAGATCTTTCTCTCTCTCTGTCTCTGTAAATATACATACTTTTTAAAGTCTAATAGTTTTACTAGGACATGCCTCAATTGAGCTTTACAGGGTGATTTTCCCAGATACCCAATAGGCCCTTTCAGTATGTAGATTTGGGCCTTCTTTTGTTTCTGAAAGTGTTATTAGACTATAGTTTTAAATTTTACTTCTGTTTCATTATTTTGTTTCTCTTTTAATTTAAGGATTCCAAACATATGTGTGTTGGATCTTCTTTGCCTCCTTCCCTTTCAACTGCTTTACTCTGATCCCTCTTCTTTGCTTATCCTATTTTCATTCTCATGGTTATTTTGCTTTTATTATTCAATTTTCTTTATTACATTTTTATTTGAATCTGTTCTCCTTTGGGTGCTTTGAAATTTAGTCTTCATTTCAGATATAATTTTATCTTTTTCTTTTTTTTACTGAATTTAATCAATTTTTTGTTCAGTTCTGCCCACTTTTAGTCCATTTCTATTTTCAGTTTTTGAATTGATTAAACATGTATTTTTTTCATAGCCCAAATGCCTATTTAAGGATATTTAATTCAGTTTGGGTTATTGTGTTAAAGTTTCCTTTGTGATTTTTTGGAGGGCATTTTCATTAGCTGAAATGTTTTGATCTTCTTTTTCTATTTTCTCCTGAAAATGGTTTTGTATAGTTGTAAACTACTTGCATCTGCTCCTTTTGTAGACAAGATTGGAAGTTTGGGTTGGTTTATAAGATCCCTAGTTTGCAAACACTGTAATGCTTAAATGCAGTGAAGTATAGTCTCTTTAGTGGATGGCTTTTTGCTTGAAGAGGTCGGTGGGGGAGGAATTATATGACCCTGATTGTTTTACCTCACCTTTGTGTTACAGGAATCTAAATTTCCTCCTGCCTCTTTCTCTTTCCCTATCCAGTCACTAGAGGGCACCTCCTCTCCCTTCTTTTTTACTCATTTCTTCCTTAGAAGCAATGCCGTTTTCAGATTGCCATAGCATCCCACAGACTCTGTCTCTTCCCTGTGGTTAGTGCTCCAAATAAGATGTTTTTCAGTGTTTTTATAATTAGGGTAGACTGTCTCTTTCAGGAGTGATTTTGGCTCAGATTTAGGCCTTCTGTTCTGCTCTTCTCTCTTCCATGCCATTTTTCCAAATTCTCCTCACTTTCCACAAAGATTTGCAGTGGGACCTCAGGAGATAGCTGTGCTTGGAATTTGCTGTTTATTATTTTTACTTACAGGTGTATTGAGTCTGTAGTCTGTGTCAATTAATTGTGCTGAAGATGTGAGGTTTGTATGCTTGTATTTGTTACTGTTGATCTGTATAGATTTTTGGAGGATTTCTAATATTCAGCTATATAGATATATTGTGATTTTTAACCAGTTGTCTATTTGTTAAATATGTTGGTGGTTTTAAAGTGTGCAAATTATAACTACTTGTAGCTTAATGTTTATACAGCTGTGATTAATCTCTATAGATAAATTTCCAGAAATAGGTCAAAAGTTATATATTCCAAGGCTTTTACTAATATAGACTTCCCAGTGTCCCTCCAGAAAACCCACAAGTATTTATTATTAATTTTTCTTTTTTTTTTTCTTTTTTTGAGACAGTCTCACTCTGTCACCAGGCTGGAGTGCAATGGCACAATCTCAGCTTACTGCAACTTCTGCCTCCCGGGTTTAAGGGATTCCCTGCCTCAGCCTCCCGAGTAGCTGGGATTACAGGCACTCGCCACCATGCCTGGCTAATTTTTATATATTTTTTTTTAGTAGAGATGGGGATTCACCATGTTGGCCAGGCTGGTTTCGAACTCCTGACTTCAAATGATCCACCCACCTTGGCCTCCCAAAGTGCTGGGATTACAAGTGTGAGCCACCGTGCCCGGCCTATATTTATCATTTATCGAGTTTCTACTGGGTGGCAGGCGTGGCACTGACAAAGCACTGAGGATACAAAACTCAGTCTGACCCACACCTGCCCTTAAGCCTAGGAGGTAAACATGAAGCACAGAGGGACAGTGTGACAAATGTTTCGCCGAAAGGGTAAGTTCAAAGAGGTAGAGGAACACAGAAGGAAGGCCACAGGGCTTTCTGGAACCCTTTTCCATGATAAACAAGGTCACCTCTGTCCTCACAGAGTACGAACATCCTCAGTTTCTTACCTTACTGAAAACCTGACTACTTGAGGACATTGCTGCCACTCAAGGTGAGTGAGACTGTTCACTCTCCCACACTACCAGTCTCTCTCCCAGCTCTCATCCTGCACCTTAGTCACCTGCCTTTGTCCTGAGATTCCCTCATGGGTTCTTCTTTCTCCCTGCATCCTGCAAATGGTGCTCCATGTGCTCTGGCCCATAACCTTTCTCTTCCCCTCTGCAGTCTCCCTGTATGGTGCCACTGTACCTTCCCACAGCTTCAGTGGCTCCCACATACCACTTCTGGGCCACATCCTTCTCCTGCATCTCTGTCCCAGCTGCCCACCTGGACATCTCCACATGGTTCCTCTGCAGACACCACAGACTCAACATGTGCAGAAGCCACCTCATCATTGTTCCCCGACCTGCTCTCCTCTGTACTCTGGATCTGCTAGTGGCACTACCAGTTTCCACCTCGTTCCTAATCAGGAACCTGGGGTGTCAGCCTTTGTCTTCTTCACCATTTGCCCTCTGCTTCTCTGTCTACCTCTTTTCCTTTCAGGGAACATCATTTCTCTGCCACTTGTGTTTCTGTTCTTTAAAACAAAAAACAAAGCCTCTTTTGCCTTCATCCCCTACTCTAAATCTCCCCCTTTTCTCTTCCCTCTTGCCCTTTCTTTCTCTGTATTTTTCTAGCCGCTTCATTGCTGCTCATTTTCTCCATTTCTCTTTTTCCTCTTGCTTCTCTAGTGGTTCCTTCTCATTCCCTATTCACATTCTCTTCAGTCCTCACTGCGCAGATACCAATCTTGATCCTGCGCCTGTTCTTTTTCCTTTAGGGGATTTGAGTTTCGATGGGACAGCTTGAGGCTGGCCATTGCTAAAGCCTGGGGCATGGGAGAATGGGGTAAGCAAAGTATCAAATACTTCTTTTTGTTGTTGTTGTTGAAACAGGGTCTCACTATGTTGCCCAGGCTGGTCTAGAACCCCTGGCCTCAATTAATTCTCCTGCCTCAGCCTCTCAAAGTGTTGGGATTATAGATGTGAGCTACCACACTCAGCCTTAAATACTTCTAGACTAAAATCCAACTTACTGTTTCTCTTTCCCTTCTACACCAAGAGGTAGGCCAGTATTTGTCCTCTGAGCATACCTGGATTCCCAAATGACAACTCTGGGGTGCCTTGAAGACTGCAGTTATAATTTTGGGGCAGAAAACACCCCCAGAAATCCTCAAACCTAATAAAAGATATCTGAATGATCAGGAAGAAGGGCTTTAGAGGTATGTCAGTCTGCAAGCAGCAGCTGATCTTTGTGGTGTTTTTGTTGTTGTTGTTGTTTTTGGAGACAGGGTCTTGCTCTGTCACCCAGGTTTGAGTGCAGTGGTGTGATCACAGCTCACTGCAGCCTCAACTTCCCAGGCTCAAGCAATCTTTCCACCTCAGCCTCCCAAGTAGGTGTGACCACAAGTGCATGCCACCACGCCCAGCTAAGTTTTGTATTTTTGGTAGAGACGGGGTTTCGTTATGTTGTCCAGACTGGTCTCAAACTCCTGAGCTCAAGAAATGTGCCTGCCCTGACTTCCCAAAGTGCTGGGATTACAGACATGAGCCACCGCTCCCAGCCCTGATCTTGGTGCTTTTGATGGTGGCTCTTCTTCACAGCCTTCTTGAGATGCAGTTCATCTTTAGCAGTTATCACACTGTAGCCTTGAGAAGTGTGACTAATAACTTCAGGAGGCAGTTGAGTTCAGTAAAGAGTATTTTGAACTCCTAAATTGTTCTGTTAATGACGGCTGCTCAGAAAGGAGTCAAGGGTCTATAAATAATGGCAGATTAGCACCTTGAATAGACAGCTTGTTCTTATAGATTTTTGGAGGTGGAATATATTGTTTTTTTATTGACTTAAGCGAATATGTGACAATTTAAGGCAGGAATAATCTTTTAACCTTAATATACTCCTTGTTTAATAAAGTAAGTAAGGTAGAATTTCAGATATTAATTAGTTCTATTCATAAGCTTTTGAAGGGACATAAAGGATATGTTGTTCTACCCTTCTGCAATGGTCAAAATGGTATTGCTTTCAGAGAGTGAACAAACATACGAGATCATTAAGTAATTACACAATTTATAGCTTATCTAAATATGATTTGATATTGAAAATCTTGGGCTGGGCACAGTAGCTCATGCCTGCAACCCCAGCACTTTGGGAGGCCAAAGCTGGAGGATCACTTGAGCCTAGGAGTTCAAGACCAGCCTGGGCAATATAGTGAGGCCCTATATATACAAAAAAATCAAAGAATTTAGCCAGGCATGGTGACACACACCTGTGGTTCCAGCTACTCAGAGAGGCTGAGTCAGGAGGATTGCTTGAGTCCAGGAGGTGGAGGCTGCAGTGAGCTATGATTGTACCATTTTACTTTAGCCTAAGTGACAAGCGAGACCCCATCTCAAAAAGAAAAAAAAACTGGCTCTGATAAAAGGTTCTGCGTGTTGTAATCTATTTTTGGATAGTAGTAGTAGTAGTTTTCTATTGATACATTAAAACATATCTTACAACTTAGTTGCTTAAAACAAAATGTTTCCAATCTCTCAGTTTCTGTGGGTCAGGAATTCGGGAGCGCTTTAGGTGAGTAGTTCTGGCCCAGTCTCTCATGCAGTTGCGGTCAAAGTGTTGGCTAGGGCTGTAGTCATCTGCAGACTGGACTGGAACTGGGGGATGGCTGTTGGCAGGGGGTCCTGGCTCCTCACCACGTGCTAGAATGTCCCTTGTGACATAGCAGCTGGTTTTCCTCAAGGAAGAGAAGAGGTCTAAGAGAGGGCAAGGAGGAAGCTGCAGTGCATTTTATGATCCAGTCTCTTTTAAGTCACATACCATTACTTCTGCTTGTTTTCTATTTGTTAGAAGCAAGTTACTAAGCCCACATCACGCCCTAGCAGAGAATTAGGCTCTGCCTTGTGAAGGGAGGAGTATCAAAGAATTCGTGGACGTATTGTTAGCACCACCCACCACAGGCTTGTTTTTCCTGATTTTTTTCTTCCTAGGTTGAAGGTGGTACAGCTTAGTAGTTAAGAGCATGGTTCTGAAGCCAGACTGCCTGGCTTTGATTCTGGTTCTTCCACTTGCTTACTGTGTGCTTTAGTAAGTGTGAGTTGCCTTCTCTGGACCTCAGTTCCCTCATGTATGCGTTGAGGAAAATGGTGCCTACCTCACAGAAGTGTGTGAGAAGTAAATTAATTAATATAAGTAAAGGATGTAGATCCGGGCCTGATGCATAGAATGCTCTTAGTAGATGTTAACTTTTAGTATCGTTATTGTCGTTTGAACAGCAGTATAGCCCAGTTTGTTTCTCCCTTTATTTCTATGTAATCTAACGTAATGCTTGGTCTAACATATACCACCTCATACAGGCTCTGGTCATCCTGGTAGGTCATACATGGTAGGAGCCAAGTGGGCTGATGACTCTCAGTGCAGACTCCACCTGTAGTAGTATAGCATGTGAGGGCTCTTAGCTTCTTGTTGATACATGGTAAGGAATATCCCTTTCCCTTCCAGAACTCTCACTTGGAAAGGGCTTCCTCCTAAACTTGACAGGAACCTGCTCTGGGACCTGTGAGCTGTGTTCAGTGTTCTCCACATTCACTCACACTTTCAGTCCATAAATATTTATGAAACGTCCCTGGAATTCAAAGCAAAGTAATTCCCACAGTACTTTATCTACTGTGAAGAATCAAGGGGAATACATATGTCCTAGCTCTTTAGAGTTTATTCATATAACATTTTCATCTTAGATCTGGGGCTGATTTGCTTAGTTGGTTAGAGTATAATGCTTATGGGTGGAAATTTTTTCCTTAAAATAATCTGTGTGGAGGAAGGCGTAATCACAATTCCAACACTTTTAAAGGAAAATTATTTATTAAAGGGCAATCAACTATTTATAATAGTTAAGTACGTTCGTTAAATACTTCATTTATATCTGGTAGATCTTGACCTGACATTGAGTTGCCACATTCTTGGCTCTAGAAAGATGTTTTTAAAAGATGTTCATGAATACTACATGTCAAAATTGTAAGAGAAAGCAGATTTTTAAAATTTTTGGACATAATATACTAGCAAATTTTTTTAGATATGAACTCTGTTTTATAGATGATTCAGAAGATTGTTTACCAGAAAAAAATTATTACACCAAATTTCCACCATATTTTTTCTTATTGATGTCATTGCTTTCCATGACTGAAAAGTGTAATTGAAATGGCTTCTTTTAAAAGTGTTGCCTTGTCCTGCACTCTGATGGTTTGACTTCTTAAGTCCACCCAGATTCTCTTCAGATATTGAGTTCATTTTCTCAACTATAAAAGGATAAGTAGGATTGCATTTGGTTATGCATACCAGAATTCTGACTACTGTGGCTTTAATCAAGTAGGGATTTATTTTTCCTATATAACAGGAAGTCTGTCTTTCTGCTCTACTATCCTTAGTGTGAGACTTCTGTCTTTGTACTTGTAGTCTTATGGTTATAAGACGTCTGTGATGAGTTAATATGGTGTCATGTTTACATTCCAGGCAGAAAGTGCAAGGCTTTCCAGAAACTTGGTTTATGTTTCCTTGGTCAGAACTGTGCTAGGTGGCTTCCTCAAGTTGCATGGGATCCCAAGAAAGCTAGTGTTTTAGCAGGGTACATTGCTAACCCAGATGAGATCAGTGTTCTGTTAGTGAGACAGAAAGGGACATTGTATAGTGGGTAAGCAAATGGTATTGTCTGCCACAAGGGTTTGGATGGTTGCTCAAGTCCTGAGCCGATAGAGCAATCCATGAGTCCATCCACTTGGCAATAGCACATAGTGATAGTACAGTACTCAGTGTAAGTAATGAATCGGCTCTATATCTTTAGTGTTGGAATCCAGAAGCAAAAACACAGAGTAGTTTACCCCTAGGTAATATACGTGGTCATAAATCTCAATAATGATCTTGTACGTGATCTTGTTTTCCTCCCATTAAAGTCCTCATTAATAATAAGGGGTACTTGAATAAATAAACTCTTCCAAAAGCTGTTTCCATTTAGATTTTTTTTGATATATTTGAGCCAGGCACGGTGGTTCATTCTTGTAATCCCAGCACTTTGGGAGGCTGAGGCATGCAGATTGCTTGAGGTCAGGAGTTCGAGACCACCCTGGGCAACATGGTGAAACCCCATCTCTACTAAAATACAAAAGTTAGCTGGGCATGGTGGTGCACGCCTGTAATCCCAGCTACTCAGGAGTCTGAGGCAGGAGAATCACTTGAACTCAGGAGGTGGAGGTTGCAGTGAGCTAAGATCGCACCACTGCACTCCAGCCTGAGCGACAAAGGGAGACTGTCTCCAAAAAAAAAAAAAAATCTTATTATTATTATATATATTTTTGGTAAGATGATTGTAAATAAGTTGTATATGAAAATGATTGTTGTATATTGTTTCAGTGGAAATTGTACCCATTTTTATTTTTAACAGAATTGGCAATATGGTGACTATTAAATCAAGTTGTGGTCTTTTTTTTTTTTTTTTTAAAGTAAAAAGACTTTATTTCTATTTATTTATTTATTTATTTATTTATTTATTTATTTATTTTTACTGAGACTAAGTCTCGCTCTGTTGCCCAGGCCGGAGTGCAGTGGCATGATCTTGGCTCACTGCAACCTCTGCCTCCTGGGTTCAAGCAATTTTGCCACCTCAGCCTCCTGAGTAGCTGGGATAACAGGCATGTGCCACCACGCACAGCTAATTTTTGTATTTTTAGTAGAGACGGGGTTTCGCCATGTTGACCAGGCGAGTCTCAAACTCCTGACCTCAAGTGATCTGCCTGCCTTAGCCTCCCAAAGTGCTGGGATTACAGGCGTGAGCCACTGCGCCTGACCAAAAGACTTTATTTCTAATATAAAGTAACACATACACATTGTTTAAAAAAAAAAAAAAAACAGCTAGTACCAAAGTACTAAAGAAGAAGGTAAATAACACCCTTGATCTCATTACCCAGAAATAATTATATTTTTACCATCTTTTTTTTTTTTTTTTTTTTTTTTGAGGCAGGGTCTCTCTTACTACAGCTTCGACCTCCTGGGCTCAAGCAATCCTCCCACCTCAGCCTCCCGAGTAGCTGGGACCACAAGCATGCACCACCACATGCTGCTAGTTTTTGTATTTTTTGGAGAGACAGGGTTTTGCCATGTTCCCCAGACTGGTCTCAAACTCCTGAGCTCAAGCATTCCTCCTGCCTGTGTTACCATCTTGAAATACATTTCTGTGCATAACAAAAATGGCATTTGAAATTTAGAAATTATATTTGGAATTATTTGTGAACATAGTTCAGTATGAATAAGTATATTAGCTGAGATATCTCTTGACATAAAAATTTGGAAAACTTTAGATAAATAATTCCATTTAAACCTTCAAAAAGTAAATAAAAGTTAACATTTTATTTCCATTATTTATAGCTGGAAATTTTTTAGGTAGCATTTCTGAAAAAACCTGACATTGATAAATTCTTATTGATTTTGATTTATCTTCTAACAAGAAATAAAAGCTTTCACTCTGAGCCTAGCATTTCCTTATTCCTTCTTGAGGCCATTTATTTATTTTGGGGCATGACAATGGAAATATCAGAATATTACAGAAGATTGATATGAAAAAATATCTTTTTTTGCAATGACCATTTAATGTTCTGTGTGGGTTGGGTCTTCTTGTACCTGAACATTCATTTGCCTATCGTTTTCAAGCTGCAGATATATTCCACCTCTCCAGTTAAATTTAGCTGAGGAATTGTTAGGTGCGGGCTATAATTGCTCTTTCTCTTCTCTTCACTTTCCCAGCCTCTGCAGTACTTTGACAAGCTTCACTCCTCCTGCGAGCAGTGTTTTCAGTGTGTGTCTTTTATGTGCTGTCGACAGGCTCTTTCCATGTTCTGTGGGCCTCCTACTCGGGGAACGCCACCACTGCCACCACCCCCGTATTAGTACAGGATGGGAAAGCAGAGCTGGGCAAAGTCATTTGTACTTTTAACATCTGTGTGAACAGCACTCAAGAGTCCCTTTTATCCTTCTTGGATCTTTTGCCTGCACTCAGAGTTGTTACCCCCAAACAGTTCTTGGTGCCTTGATTATGGGCTCAAGATTCAAAAAGCCAAGATTTCCTAAAAGTATAAATGACAGAAAGGGAAAAAAGACTGTATTTTTCCATTTAAATGTCACTGTAACATTACTTATTAGACAAATAAATTATAAATATAGCAACGGAATTCTTTTTAATGAAAAGAAAAAAATCCCCCATATTCTGCAATGCTGGTCAATAATTTTTATTTTTCTGTGTTTCCTTTTAGACCTGGTCTGTATGCATATCCAGTGTCTACATTGTTATAATTCGAGTGGCTATCATTTGGATTCTGACAGTTTTTTTTCCTTTAATATAATCATTTTTCCATTTTGTTATGTGATCCTTTATAGTGACACTTTAAATGAGTTTATTTTTTTAATAAGTAATTCATTCACATGGTATAAAATGCAAAAGCTATAAAAGGGTATGCAGTGGAAAGTGAGTCTCTTTCCCACCCCAGTCCCCCAGCCATCCAGTGCCCTTCCTCAGAGGTAACAGTTTTTCCTCATTTCTTGTGATATAACAATATTCTTTGTTTTTTTTACTTTGATTCTTTCCCTTGATTTACGAGTTTTCAGGATAATGTGTTGGTTTCCCGGAATCCTCTAAAGAAGACCAGTGAAAGTGTGTAGGGTTTCTTTTTCCATGTAAAATGTGTTTTATTGGTTTCTTTAAAAAAAGGTTCAGGGTTTAGTTTGAAATCAGACAGCAATACCTCTCATCCGTTGACGGTCAAATTGGCTTCAGCTACCAATACTTCATTAACTCTAAAAGAAAATAACTGTTTCCATTTTGAGGGGGGGAAATCCAGTTTAAATTAGTTTTACATTGGTCTGTAATTTAAAACGGAATGAGGGCTAGTGTTTCCTGTTGCTTTATACAGCCCTCTGTTCATACAGAACCTGGAATGTAATATTCCCAACTCAGGCAGGCACTAATACTGACGTATACACACACCCTTCCCCCAAACAGCAAGAATCAGAGTGTCAAAGGGACAGTGAAGGTTTTCATTTTATTTTGTCATAATCTCATAGCTTTTAACATATTTGATGTGATTCCATCCATTTTAACGATTCTTTCTGATGCTCATATTAGCCCATTCTTGGCCAGTTGGAGCATCTTCAGATTATCTTCTGAGTCCTTTTTGAAAGGACCCCAGTGATCTTTAATAATGTTCTGCTTTCTGATACGACAGAATGTTTCGGCTCATCTTGTATTCACTAATACTTCTAAATTACTACAAAATACCTGATAATGAGATGTATCATCATGTCTCTCTCAGTGGAGAACAAGTTGTTCTCATTTTTAAAATATTAGAAATAATTTTTCAACCAATGTCTGTGTCGATATATACACTCTTTAGTCTTTGGCTTATGCCGTTGGCATCTCTGTTGATAGATAGATGTTTTAGTCTTTGGCTTATGCGTTTAGCATACATCTTTATGTGTAATGACTAATTCAAAACATATGAATATTCTTTTAACTCTTAAATAATATTACCAGATTGAATTCCCAAAGGATTGTGCCCATTTGTAAAATGTGAGTATGGTTGTTTCAACATAGTACCAGCATTTGGGTATTATGATTCTTTTTTAATATTCACTAAGTTACTTATAGAAAAATCATAAGTATTAATAGTTTCTTTGATGCGCTTTATTGCTAATTGTGGAGTTGAATATAATTCCATATATTTGTTTATTAATTGTGGCCATTTTTGTGTGAATTGTCTATTTATGCCCTTTGCTCATTTGCCTATTAGCATCTTGATTTTTTTAAAGATAAAAACAATTTGTATTCTTTTTTTTTTTTTTTTTTTTTTTTTGAGACGGAGTCTCGCTCTGTCGCCCAGGCTGGAGTGCAGTGGCGGGATCTCGGCTCACTGCAAGCTCCGCCTCCCGGGTTCACGCCATTCTCCTGCCTCAGCCTCCCAAGTAGCTGGGACTACAGGCGCCCGCCACTACACCTGGCTAATTTTTTGTATTTTTAGTAGAGACGGGGTTTCACCGTTTTAGCCGGGATGGTCTCGATCTCCTGACCTCGTGATCCGCCCGCCTCGGCCTCCCAAAGTGCTGGGATGTATTCTTTATATACTTTAAATGTTAATCTGTTGTCATATTGGTTGCAAGCATTTTACATTGTGAACATTTCAAACATTGGTTGCAAATATTTGATTTTGTCCTAGTTATATAAAGACCATTAATTTACCTTCTTAGAGAGTGACCACCAAATGTTAAACGTACATACCAATTTGTTATATTGAACTATCTATGTAAGCTTGGCAAGTCACTTTACCTTCTCCCAACCTCACATCTATCAAGTGTTGAATTGAACTTGATTGCTTGGATCCTTTCCAACTCTGACAGCCAACATTTTCTTAGTAAAAAAGCACCATATTTAACCCCAGCAGTTCCTTGCTCTCTTACATAGAGAATCTTTCCCATGGATGCCTTTTTTCACAACCTTCTAGTACAGCTAAATATTATCTCCAGTCTTCTTTCCCTGCCCCACATAGTTTGGTAGAACTCTGAAGAAGGAACATTGCCAATAGGAGTATATTTCTTGGTTTGCTTAAGTGAAATCCTGCGATCGCTGGTTTAGTAGAGTCAAGAGAAAATGACTTATTCTCTCAACCTTGTTGTTTATTAGATCTTGTGTTATTTCAAGAAAGTGGCTATTAGGTTGGGTTTAGCTTTTTTTTTGGACAGAGTCTCACTCTGTTGCCCAGTCTGGAGTGCAGTGGTGCAATCTTGGCTCACTGCAACCTCCGCCTCTCAGGCTCAAGCAATTCTCCTGCCTCAGCCTCCTGAGTAGCTAGGATTACAGGTGCGTACCACCACACCCGGCTAATTTTTGTATTTTTAGCAAAGATGGGGTTTCATCATGTTGGCCAGGCTGGTCTCGAACTCCTAACCTCAGGTGATCCACCCACCTTGGCCTCCCAAAGTGCTGGGATTATAGACATGAGCCATCGTGCCCGGCTGGGTTTAGCTTTTTGAAAAAGCTTTGCATAAAAAAGTTTTCAAAAGTATATTGAAACAGTATTTGATAAATTTTTAAAATAGAAATACTAATAATTTTTTTATCCAGCATTCAAGGTACTTATGGGTTATTAGTATAAGTTAGCAAAAAGTGATGATATATATAATAGTTCAACTGTTTTTTAAAAGTTCAATTTTGTTCGGCCCTGACAGTTTTACTAATTAAAAAAAAACTGTCTGTGATGTGCTCTTGCTGGTGAAATACATATGAACCATTCATATTTCAAGGCTCTAATTAACAATCTGGTTTAAAACACTGGTATTCCATAAACAATAAAAATAATAGGGTGGGAATTTCCTATTGGAATGCTAACTATAATACAGAGATTTGAGTAAGTTTCCATGACTTACAATTGACTCACTGTGTCCTCTCAGAGAATGACATCTATTATCTTCACATTTTCATCTTTTTCAAAACGTGACACCCTTTTAAGTTATCTTCAGAAAGGAAATATGTGTCATTTATTTCATGTCTATATTTTGCTCTCATTCAGAGGTTAGACTTTCAGAGTGGAGACCTCAAAAGTAAACAAGCAAGTGAGGAGGCTCTGAATGTTCGAGAAAGCTTTCAAAAAAGTCATTCCCTTAAGAGGTCTCTGGGCCCTCTCTTGAAACCAATTTATTATTTTTTACCTGTAAGAACTTCAATAAGTGGATGAGTAAGATGCTAGTGGCAGATATTTGGACAGCTGGCCGTCTGAAATGGAGGAAGTAGAAAAGAAAATGAATAAAGTACATCCAGTGAACTAGAAACCAGTACAGCAAAGTCATTAATATATAGGAACACGGCTCAAAAAACCAAGCACCAGGATTTTTTTCTTTCTTTTCTTTTCTTTTTTTTTTTTTTTAGACAGGGTCTCACTCCGTCCCCTAGGCTGGAGTGCAGTGGCGTGATCATGGCTCATTGTAGCCTCAGACTCAGGCTCAGTGATCCTCCCGTCTCAGCCTCCTGAGTAGCTGGGATTACAGGTAGACACCATTATGCCTGTCTTTTTTTTTTTTTTTTTTTTTTTTTTTTTAGTAGAGACGAGGCCTTGCCATGTTTCCCAGGCTGGTCTCAAACTCCTGAACTCAAGTGATCCTCCTGAAGAGTTGGGATTACAGGCATGAGCCACCGCGCCCAGCCCAGGTTTTATTTCTTTCATGGACCCTATGAATTGTACAACTGGATTATTTTCTCTCATTGTATTGGTTGTAAAGGAGCTCAGAGCCAAGTTTGTGATCCACCTCAAACAGGTGCACAGGCCTTCTCTGCATTTGTTTAGGTATTAATTTCTCTCATGATTTTAAATTATTGTTTTTACCCTTATTTTCCCTGAGCCTGACTTCTACCATACGTTTTTTTAATTTTGTTTTTCTTTGAGACCGAGTCTCACTCTGTTGCCCAGGCTGGAGTGTAGTGGTGAGATCTCGGCTCACTGCAGCCTTGCCCTCCTGGGTTCAAGTGATTCTTGTGCCTCAGCCTCCCGAGTAGCTGGGACTATAGGCACACACCACCATGCCCAGCTAATTTTTGTATTTTTAGTAGAAATGGGGTTTCACCACGTTGGCCAGGCTGGTCTCAAACTCCTGACCTCAAGTGATCTGCCCACCTCGGCCTCCCAAAGTGCTGGGATTACAGGCGTGAATCACCAAGCCGGCCCCATATGTGTTTTTTATTATGTATTATAGTGCTCTTTCAGCTTTTCTTCCCAAGTTTTCTAAACACCAATGGGGAATATAATTTCGCCCCAGAAGGTTTTGAGAGTAAAGGCAAGGTAGCCTTCCTTAAATGAGACACCTTTGGGTCCCCTTTTATCTATTTAATGTAAAAATGGATTTCCCCCAAAGTTTTCAGGGAAAATCAATATTCCATGAAGATATACTGTATATATCCAGTGGCTATATCTTCTGAAGTAGAATTGCTTATGTAGGGGTAAAATTCCTATGAAAAATACCTTAAATTTAAATTACTCGTACATCACAGTGCAACTTAGTATCAGCTCCTAGTAAGTCTAGCACAGCTGCTTTATTCTCCAGTTGAAAGTGTTCGTTCTTCCTTCATTTGAATGCCATATGATATAATTGGCTCTCATTTAGGAACTATATTAAAATTACATTATCCAAAGATAGTATAAAGAACAGTAACATCACAATCATCATGCTGAGAGGCCAGGGGACCTAAGACCACCATTCATTCTGGTGCACATACTCACATCGTAAAATGCTGGGTGCAGTTGCTCACACTAAGTTATTTTTCTGTTCATTTTGTTTTGGTTGAGTTCATATAGCTGAGTTTGAGTAAGTTGACCACTAGTAGGATGTCACTGGATTGGACACCACTGTTACATCTTTTGGGTATGCATGCCCTAGTTAGAGAAGCACCTCTGTACTTAGTTTTGTCACTTAAATGGAAAAGATTTCAATCTAGCCCCACACTTCTTACCAATGATGACACCTGAAGTATCAATATACTTGATTTCTTATGTTTCTCCTTTAATATTCATTTCTGTTTCATTACAATTAAGCATGAATATATGTAGTAACACTATCCTTTTAGCACAAAGAAAATATAATGCCCTTTTAAAGTTTAGTACATATTTCAGAATGCCAACTTCAAGGAAATCCACAGAACTTATAAATACCATAGTTTTGCTATTGATTTCAGTCTAAGACAAATTTCTTTTGTCGGAACCCAATAACCTAAGTGTGGTTATGTGAAATTTATTGAATATTGCTTTCTGGGGGTGGTCGGGAGCTGCAACCCCAAGAGACATGGCCAGTTTTCTATGTTCTGGGAAAAAAGAAAAGAGAATTGCCCTCTGTCAGTCCCCTGAAAACACCAGCCATCCTCTTTTCTGAGTCCCATGGTGTTTGAATCTGCTCCGGCTCCTGTTTTATATCCCATCCTTCTCCATTTTGGTCAGAAATATTTTCTGTTACCCTGAGATTAGCTTGTACTCTAACAGAAAGAAAGAAAATTCCTGTTTAAGATTATAAGTGGTTCACTTTTAGAATTATCTTTTTGCTAGTGCCAAAAGTTTAATTTATTGTTAAGAATAATGATTTTTTTAATTTTGAAAATTTAATTTGTGTTCTTTAAAAGTAGGCAGTGTGGAAAAGTATAAAGAGGAGAGTTTAAAATTATTCTAAATTCTATCAATAGGGCTAATCTTCATTAGTATTAGTTAAATGTCATTCCAGAGAGCATTCTCTTCACATGTATATTAATATGAGAAAGAAAAAGTAGGCAGACAGACATAGCTTATACTATCATGAAAAAGACATTTTTCATTAAAAACATTATTCATCAAAAAAAAATTTTAAAACTTTTTTTTACCGTGTGTGTGTGTGTGTGTGTGTGTGTATGTGTATTTGTTGTTGTTTTGAGATAGGGTCTCACTGTCATTCCAGGCTGGAGTGCAGTTAGTGCCATCATAGCTCAATGCAGCCTCAAACTCCTGGTTCAAGCGTTCCTCCCACCTCAACCTGAGTAGCTGGGATTACGGACACATGCTACCATGCCCGGCTATTTTTTAAAAAAATTTTTGTAGATGTGGAGTCTCACTGTTATCCAGGCTGGTCTCAAACACCTGGACTCAAGTGATTGTCTCACCTTGGCTTCCCAAAGATCCGGGATTGCCATGCCTGGCAACACTATTTGCTAAAAGATATAAGAAAAAAGTTATGAAAATTCTAGATTCAAATTATGTTTACCTATATTTTCATTTTACATAACATCTCTTAACTCTATTAAGGACATTTAGACAATATTCTTAATTCTGTTAAGGAAATTAGTATCTCTTCCCTCACTCCTATTTTTAAATTGTTATTAATTTATTATTGTTCATAGCATTTATAATATAGTCTATGACCATAATTACCAGAATTGTTTAGTCTTAATATTATATTTGAATGGATTTAGTGCCCACCATGGGCATTTTTATTATGACTTCTCCATTCCTGAGTTCTTTATTTTGATTTATTTCATTTGGCTGAGTTTCTGACAGCTTGTGTTTCTCAAGGTCACATAAGCATTATACGTGAAGTTCTTTCACATTTGGTGATGTCTACCTTTTGCCTTATTGTAGTATTGAAATGACCTCTTGAGTGGGTATGATATCCTCGAACATACTCTCTTTGACTCAGACCTTTATAGTGTTGCTTCATTGCCTTCTTACTTTGGATGTTGCTATGGAGAAGTCTAAACTCAGGCTGAGTTTTTACTACTTTATAGGTAATTTTTTTGGTCTGGATCTCTGAAGTATTATTTTTGTAACCAAGAAATTTCTCAGTTTTAGTCATTCACTATCAGTTGTTATGTGGAACACGGTGTATTCTTTCAGTGCAGATTTAGTTTTTTCATTTCAGGTTTCTGTTCCATGTTGCATCCCCGTCGTTGGGGATAACAGTTATCCTTATGTTGGGTTGTCTTCGTTTTCCATAGTATCTTCCAGTTGCTTTAATCTTTGACTTTCCCCCTGGATGCAATGGGTGGTTTCCTTTTGTTTCCTTGCTTTCTTGTATTCTGTTTGTGTTGTTGCCATGTCTCTTCATCTTGTTGAAGTGTTAGCAGTTCTGTCCAGCAATTTTATTTGCTCTGATAGAGGTATTACCAAATTCTCCCTGCCTGCATTTCCACAGTATTGAAGATTCAGTTGTTCTCCCCTCTGAGCTACAATTTAAGGATTTGAATTTTTCTGTTTTACACATTTTTCTACACCCTGAGGACATGGGGGTACAGGTTAGGAGAGTGTATGGTTATGAAAACATTATAAAGCCTCAGTCATTAAAATTTACATATTGATATAGGAAGATCTTCAGGATAAATTTTAAGGGAAGAAAAGCAAGGTATAGAAGAATGTGTATAAAATTCTTCCTTTATATAAAAAATTGAAAAAAGAATGTATATAAATATGTCTTTATACATTCACCTACATATTTGCTTTATATACTTTATCTCTGAATGCTAGACAAGGAATTAATAATTGGTTACCTGTGGAAAAGGGACCTGGGTAGTGATGGGATTGGGAGGGAGAATTTTCTCTGTGTATCTTCTTATACTTCTTGAATCTTAAGCAACATGAATGAGCTATGTATTAAATATGTGGGCACTGCTTTCTGTTCTGAGATTTAATTGCCCTGTTGTAGGATTCCTCAACCCTGAAGGAAGTGTCCCTGGTTCCCATAGAGAATTTTATATCAGTCTCCGACTCAGTGTGGGGCCTGGAAGGCTCAGCATGGATGAGGTGGCTGCTAGTTAGTCACTTCCCCCACTTCACCATTGCTGTTCAGCCTCCAGTTCTGTCACACTCTATCCAGAAATTTGTATTTCTCTCCAAATCTGGCTCATTAATAAACATTCAGGATTTTGTTGATTCACCAATATTACTTTTGGGGGAAGAGACTGTGCCATAATCTCTTTCTTGTCCTGACTAGCATGTTTTAAAATACATGGCATTAAGTTGTACCTATTGCTTTTTGGTTGCTGCTGGTAATTTTTGTAGTTGTTGCTGTTGTTGTGATTTAATGTTATTACTTTAGATTCAGTATATTTTGTATTTGGTTAGGGAGATTCTGTGATCTGATTTCTCTTGTTATCATGTTAGCCTACTACACACCTAGGCCATATGGTCTAGCTTGTTGCTTCTAGGCTATAAGCCTCTACAGAAGGTTACTGGACTGTACGACAGGTGTAGCACAGTGGTATTTGTGTATCTACACATAGAAAACGCACAGTAAAAGTATGGTATACAAGATTTAAAATGGCACTTACCATGAATGGAGCTTGCAGGACTGGAAGTTGCTCTGGATGAATCATTGAGTGGTGAGAGAATGTGAAGGCCTAGGACATTGCTGTGTACTACTGTAGACTTTATGAACCCTGTACACTTAGGCTACTAAATTTATAAAATATATTTTTCTTTCTGCAATAATAAATTAACCTTAGCTTATTGTAACCTTCTTACTTCATAAGCTTAATTTTCTTTAACTTTTTTGCTTTTTGTAAAACTCTTAGCTTAAAATACAAATACATTGTATAGCTGTACAGAAATACTTTACGTCCTTATTCTATAAGCTTTCTCCTATTTTTAATTTCTTTTTTTACTCTTTAAAACTTTTTTGTTAAAAACTAAGACACACACACACACAAGCCTACGTCTACATAGGGACAGGATCATCACTATCACTGTCTTCTGCCTCCACATCGTGTCCCACTTTAAGGTCTTCGGAGGCACTAACACACATGGAGCTGCCATCTCCTATAACAATGCCTTCTTCTGGAATACCTCCTGAAGGACTTGCCTAAATCTGTTTTACACTTAACTTTTTTTTAAGTAAGTAGGACTATACTCTAACAATAAAAATTATAGTATAGTAAATACATAAACCAGTTACATAGTCGTTTATTATCAAGTATTATGTACTGTATATAATGTACTGTGCTATATTTTATATGACTTTTATATGACATGCTATATTTTTATATGACTATTTTTATATGACTAGCAGCACACTAGATTTGTTTATACCAGCACCATCAGAAACATATGAGTAATGAGTTGCATTATAATGTTAACAATGGACATTACTAGGTAACAGGAATTTTTCAGCTCCATTATAGTCTTATGGGACCATCATCATATATGCAGTACGTCGTTATCCGAAATGCCATTGTGTGGTGCATGACTGTACTCAACTGTCAACCTGGTCTTTGTCAGGTATAGCCAGTCTCCCAACTTCACTAACCTGCCCCATCTGAAGGTTGCACCAGGCAGGGAGGATTTCTAGTGCTGCTCAGCTTTGCAGGGCTCAGTGGTTTGGGGAGTCCTCAGAGCACCCTCATTCTGGGGAAGCAAGCAACCAATTGCCAGATCCCCTTTATACAGCTTTTGCTTCACACACACACACACACACACACTCCACTATGTTTCTTTTATCTGCCAGTGTTTTTGCTTCAAAAGTTCATTGCCCTTTCAACATAAATTCCCATAACTATTTCTCAAGTTATAACCTTGCCTTGCCAAAGATTTGCACTGCTGACAGAGATATCTTTCTGAAACCAAGTTGTAATCATGCTGTCCTCCTGTTTACAAATGTTTGGTCACCCCTCATCACCTTCAGGAAAAAGTCTTATTTTTGAGAACTACGCTAAAACATATCAGTCATAGCCTGGGAGTGTGAGCTCACCAGGGACACTGTCTTCCCTTTGCATCCCCAGTGTGGAGAGTGGTATCTGGCACAGAGTAGGCGCTCCACAAATATTAACAAATAGTAGATGTCTGGTACATCTTTTTTGAATGAATTTTAGGCTAGTGAGAGTTTACTAGTAAGATTCCAGAATGTCTCTGTCATCTGTAAATAACCAATTTAAGTAGCCAACAATAAAAATATCTGTAGTTTTGGTTTTAACATGCTATGCCATTGTGTTCAAATAAGAAGTAATGGCATGTAAATGCAAAAACAGTGGGATTGACTGCAAGAAGTGCCAGAAAGAAAGAGGATCTATCTGCCAGGCACATGCCTGTAATCCCAGCACTTTGGGATGCTGAGGCGGACAGATCACTTGAGCTTAGGAGTTCGAGACCAGCCTGGGCATCATGGCGAAACCCTGTCTCTGCTAAAAATACAAAAATTAGCTGGGCGTGGTGGCACATGCCTGTTGTCCCAGCTACTTGGGAATCTGAGGCAGAAGAATGGCTTGAACCCAGGAGGTTGAGGCTGCAGTGAGCCATGATTGTGCCACTGTACTCTAGTCTGAGCAACAGAGTGAGACCCTGTCCAATCAAAGAGAGAATCTAGTCTGTCTTGTCTATCTATATTCCACATTCTACAACGATTTGTGGTAGCTCATACACAAAATATCACACTATAGTATGCTTCAGATCTAGCGTGAAGGTTTCTGGCTACCAAGTTAAAGAGGGTGACAGAGTTATATAATTCTTATTATTGGAAAGGAGCAAACCTTTCTTAACATTGAGCTCTAAAACAAATTTCCTACCTGTATGAGAGGCTTTGAGTGATAGGGTGGACATTATACTGTACACCATTCCTACGGCAAATAAGGTAATATTAATACTGTTTGACAGTCTTTTTTTTTTTTTTTTTTTTTTTTTTGAGACGGAGTCTCACTCTGTCACCCTGGCTGGAGTACAGTGGCACGTTTTCGGCTCACTGCAAACTCTGCTCCCGGGTTCAAGAGATCTCCTGCCTCAGCCTCCCGAGTAGCTGGGATTACAGGCGACTGCCACCACGCCCGGCTAATTTTTGTATTTAGTAGAGACGGGGTTTCACCATGTTGGCCAGGGGCCAGGTTGGTCTCAAACTCCGGACCTCAGGTGATCTGCCCACCTCAGCCTCCCAAAGTGCTGGGATTACAGGCGTAAGCCACTGTGCCTGGCCTTAGTTTCTTATGAAATTCACCTGATAATAATGATAAGCCCAACTTGGTGATGCCAGCTCTGTTCAGAGCTGAGATAATGCCCATCTATGTGGCCATCTGTTCTTTAGCTTAAATTCAGGGATAGAGCTCTTGGCCTTTTGACTGGTCCAGTAGAGCAGGCATTTCGAGATTGTGCTGTCAGGTGAGGGCCTGAACTGCTGTTTGCTGGGTGACTGGTTGAAGTAGTTGTCTATGCTACAGAGAAACTAAGTGACAGTTGGTCTGAATGACATGATTTGGGGAAAATTAAGGTGTCTAAGTAGGCGAGTTCACTGGATAGAGAACGGTAGAAGCACCTGCAGGCAAGGCCAGAAACATCTTGACATCTACTTCAATTAGAAAGTATTGATCAGCTTTTTGTTCACTACTTATTAAGATTTAAATTTACTGCCAAAGGTGTGCTAAGACAGGCACTTTTGTATATTGCTGGTGGGAGTATAAATTGGTAATAAACTTCTTAGAAAGCAGTTTGGCAATACATTTCAAGAGCCTTAAAAACATTCATGCCATTTGACCTAGTACTTCTACTTCTGGGAAAATGTCCCAAGGAAATAATCCTTTTTTTAAAAAAAGGTCTAAGCCTCGAATTTTGAGTGTTATTTGTAATGCTTCATTACTTCATTTATAGTATCAAGAAATTCGAGGCAATTTAAATGTCCCACAGAAGGAGAATAAACAAACATATTAACTCAAAGGAATATCATGATTTAAGCTAAAATCTTTTGAAGAAGAGAAGGAAAATTCTTAAAATGTTAAATGAGAAAAGCAAAAACAATATAAACAGTAGAAGTTAAACTGGTTTAAAATATGCTTAGAGGAAAAGACTGGTGAGAAATACACTAAATAAATCGTTGTGTGTGTGTGTGGATACTAAAGCATTTTTAAGAAAAACACTGTTGACCAGGTGTGGTGGCTCACTCACACCTGTAATCTCAGCACTTTGGGAGACCGAGGCAGCGGGTGGATGACCTGAGGTCAGTTTCAGATGACCTGAAACTCCGCCTCTAACAAAAATACAAAAATTAGCCAGGCATGGTGGTGCATACCTGTAATCCCAGATACTCAGGAGGCTGAGGCACAAGAATCACTTGAACCTGGGAGGCGGAGGTTGCAGTGAGCCAAGATTGTGCCACTGCATTCCAGCCTGGGCGATAGAACAAGACTGTCTCAAAAAAAGAAAAGAAAAGAAAAACACTGTTAATTTATGTATGGCATTTTTGAAAGGGAGACAAATACAAATTTATATTCCCTAGAGAAGGGTGATTTATAGTGGAGAGGGAATAATTAATAAACCTGTGTTCAGCTGAATTGCAGTTTTTGCCCCTAGACCTTCTAGTTCCATTTGTTTAAAGTTACTCTTAGCGCCTGTAATCCCAGCACTTTGGGAGGCTGAGGCGGGCAGATCACGAGGTTAAGAGATCGAGACCATCCTGACCAACATGGTGAAACCCCGTCTCTACTAAAACCACAAAAATGAACTGGGCATGGTAGCGCGTGCCTATAATCCCAGCCACTCGGGAGGCTAAGGTAGGAGAATCACTTGAACCCAGGAGGCAGGGGTTGCAGTGAGCCGAAATTGCGCCATTGCACTCCAGCCTGGGCGACAGGAGTGAAACTCCATCTAAAAACAACAACAACAACAACAAAAAGTTACTTTAGCTGGGCATGGGGGCTCACGCCTGTAATCTCAGCATTTTGGGAGGCCAAGGCAGGAGAATTGTGTGAGCTTAGGAGTTCGAAACCAGCCTGGGCAACATAGCAAGACGTTGTCTCTACAAAAACTTTAAAAAATTACCTGGGCAGGCCGGGCGCAGTGGCTCACGCCTGTAATCCCAGCACTTTGGGAGGCCAAGGCAGGCGGATCACAAGGTCAGGAGATCGAGACCATCCTGGCCAACATAATGAAACCCCATCTCTACTAAAAATATAAAAATTAGCCGGGCATGGTGGCTTATGCCTGTAACTCCAGCTACTCGGGAGGCGGAGGCAGGAGAACCCCTTGAACCAGGGAGTTGGAGGTTGCAGTGAGCTGAGATCGCCCCACAGCACTCTAGCCTGGCGACAGAGCAAGACTCCGTCTCAAAAAAAAAAAAAAAAAAATTACCTGGCACACCGTGTGGTCCCAGCTACTTGGGACGCTGAGGCGAGAGGATGGCCTGAGCCCAGGAGTTTGAGGCTGCAGT
This sequence comes from Homo sapiens, assembly GCF_000001405.40. Taxonomy (NCBI): domain Eukaryota; kingdom Metazoa; phylum Chordata; class Mammalia; order Primates; family Hominidae; genus Homo; species Homo sapiens. The sequence continues at coordinate 123,530,325 of NC_000003.12, read as the reverse complement.
GAGAGATATGATGGCGTCATGTACTCCAGCCTGGGTGACAGAGTGAAATCTGGTCTCTTTTTTTTAAAAAAAGAAATCCTTTAATTCTCAGTTCTTTTCTTTTTACTTTTTGTTTGTTTGTTTGTTTGAAATCAAAGAAATCAAAGGCTTCCTCTATATGGGTGCTTTCCTTACAGGTGCCTAGGTAGTTATTGCTTCAACCTCATTAATCCCCCTCTCCCAGCAAAATGAAACTTAACATGTTAATAAGCAAAATATGATTTTCAAAATAGGTCTATTATAATAGAAATATGGAAGAGTACAATTCTGCCATTTTCCTAAATATTAAACATTATTTTACAAGAATGGCTTAAAACATAAGCCTTGTTTTGCAGTATATGAGCTTTCCATCTTCAATATATTTTTTTTTTTAAATTGGTTTCTAGAGGAAATCCACAACTGCATATTGTCCCATCTAAGTGTGATCTGGCTAAATATATTCACTAAATGTTTGACTTACTAATTAGCTCTGTTAGCTGTATTACACAATTATATAACCAGGTTTTATAATTCATTTATACATTTATTTATGTATTTATTTACTTTTACTCATTTATTCTGAGACAGGACCTCACTCTGTCACCCAGGCTGGAGTGCAGTGGCATGATCACAGCTCACTGCAGCCTCAACCTCCCAAACTCAAGCAATCCTCTTGCCTCAGCCTCCCTAGAACTGGTACTAGAGGCGTACGCTACCATGGCGAGCTAATATGTTTTTTATTTTTAGTAGAGACAAGGTCTCGCTATGTTGTGCAGGATGGTCTAGAACTCCTGGACTCAAGCAATTCTCCTGCTTCAGCCTCCCAGAGTGTTGGGATTACAGGCGTGAGCCACTGTTTCTGGCCATTTATTTTTTTAGTAACAGCTTTGTTAAGATATAACTAACTGCCAGGTGTGGTGGCTCACACCTGTAATCCCAGCACTTTGGGAAGCCGAGGCAGGCGGATCAGCTGAGGTCAGGAGTTCAAGACCAGCCTGGCCAATATGGTGAAGCCCTATCTCTACCAAAAGTACAAAAACTTAGCCAGCGATGGTGGCACATGCCTGTAGTCCCAGCTACTTGGGAGGCTGAGGCACAAGAATCACTTGAACCTGGGAGGTGGAGGTTGCAGTGAGCTGAGATTGCACCACTACACTCCAGCCTGGGTGACAGAGTGAGACTCGGTCTCAAAAAATAAATAAAGAAAATAATCAAAGATGATTCCAGTGTTATAACTTGAGGACATTGGGAGGATAATTGTGCCAGGGCTTGTAATGAACAAGGTGATAAAAAAAAAAAAAGGTTTTAAAGATAGTCTTTTATGTTGTTATGCTTGTTGGCAAAATATTCAAGTAGATAATAAAAGATACCTAACTTAACCATTAGATAGTGTATCAAGTCTGATGTCCATGAGCTTCCAGCACTCATTAGACACAAATAGGATTGATTTCTCATCCTTTGTTTCCTATTTGTTTTGAAACCCGTATTGTAAAATGAGTCTTATTTTAAAGATTAGGTAGTGGTTTTGCTTTCTCCATCTATACAGTAAGTGTAAAAAATACTGTACTTGGTCAGTGGTTTTGAGAGGTTTAAGAAAGGTACCTGGATCCCATGGTTTTATAATACCATTAAAAATATTATTGTTTTTAGGGAGAAAACTTTGTTTTAATGTGGACTACATTGAAAACTTAGTCTGTGTAACAATATAGACACCTTTCAGTTGCTCAAGACCGTTTTGACTCTAAACATTTAAGTTGGAATGTTTTAGAAAATATATTATATATCGAAACTTAGTACAGTACATTTATTTATCCATCCCAAAATTTCTTTCAGGAATTGTTCCATCTTCTGTTGTCCTGACTTCTTTCCAGGTGATGTCAAGAGTTTTTCTAATATGGGCAGTAACACATAGCGTCAAAGAGGTAAGTGTTTATATAGACCAAAATAATGTCAACACTAACAAACACTAGTCAACTTTTCTGATTCACATGTTTGTTATGGCTAAAGAGTTCCAGGTCAGAGTTCCAGGTCATGTCAATATAGCTGAGATAAAGCTCACATTCACTGTAGGAACTGGGTTAATAGTGGGAAACATATCCCAGATATGCAGTGTTGTTAAAAAGAAGACTGATTAAATGGTAAAGTCCTGTAATCTGAGTTCTCATGGAGGTTCAGATGGTGTGGATGTGGTCTGCAACTCAGTTATATTTTTCTGATATCTTGTTCGTATCATGTTGCCCAGGCCGCTCTCGAACTCCTGAGCTCAAGCAATCTGCCTGCCTCACTCTCCCCAAATTCTAGGATTTCAGGCATGAGCCACCACACCTGACCCAAGTCATCATTTTAAACCTATACAGTAGTTCCCTCTTATCCAAGGGGAATACATTCCAAAACCCCCACTGGATACCAGAAACAGCGGCTAGCACACAACCCGATTGCTGCTGACCGAAACACGTTTCTGTTTATGCCTTCTACCCGCAAATGTAATGCCTTTTACATATTTACTAAGCATTTATCATGCCCTGTGGCCGCAACTTTTGCAGTTTGAGGTTCACCAGCAAAACAAGCACAAATTTCTTTTTCCTTCACAATTTCACAAATATAAGATTTGTTCCTACTGTAGGACTTAGCAACTTTAGCATACAGTTTGTTTTGTTTCGTTATTAAGCTGAGAACTTTTACTGTCTCGCTTCAAGGAAGTTCTTTATGGCTCCTCTTTGGCATATCTGAATTGCCAGCATCACTACTCTTGCATTTTGGGGCTGTTTTTAAATAAAATAAGGGTTACTTGAACACAAGCACTGATAACCAAGTTAGCTACTAAGTGATTAATGGGCCAGTAGCATATACAGTATGGATACACTGGACAAAGGGAAGATTCGTGTCCTAGGTGGGATAGAGTGGGACAGCATGAGATTTCATCATGCTGCTGAGAACAGTGTACAACTTAAGAATTAGGAATTGTTTCTTTCAGGAATTTTCCATTTAATATTTTTGGACTGTGGTTGACCAGGTGTAACAGAAGCTACGGAAAGTGAAACTTCAGATAAGCAAGGACTGCGATATTTCTTCCTCTCATACTTTTGTGTAGATACCATTTCCTTTTCATTTTAACCAACAACTCATAATTTTATCTTCCAATAGTCTCCAATGACCTAAAACTTCTTCCTAGTAGTAACTCATTTACATTCTTAAATAGATAATTAATGTACTTTCAGTAATTAAGTGCTAGGTACATGAAGTCAAAGTATTGTTCACTATGAAATATCCAATCACTTTGCCAATATAGTCAAATATTAATTGTCCAGGTGCTAATCCACCAGTTGATAGATTCTTCATGGGCTCTGCTTCCTCCCTTCCACTTAGTGACCACTCCTCAGCTATGAGCACATCTGCCAAAGCAGGTAGACAGGTACGTCAAAAATGCTTTACAACTCAAATCAGGCAATTCTATTAGTCAAGTTGCTGTTAGCAACATTTGCCAGGATTTCCTGTGTAGATCATTGAAACTGGTTGGCTTGCAAAGCTATTAAATGTCTCTGTGGATTATAGGTACATGGACTTGGTGTCATCCTCCATAACCATGCTGCCTGCCAGATGCAAAGGACTTAACATATAACAGACGGTTTCACATACATTATCACATTTGAGCTTTACAGTAATTTGTTATATACTCATTACATTTCCATATTCAAAATTGTTTCTCTACAACCAGAGTGACTCAATTTCTGCTAACATTAACATATCATTTTCTTTACCTGCCAAAAAAAAAAAGGAAAAGAAAAAGAAAAGGCATATCATTTTCTGAAGTATGTAGTACATTCTTCAGTATATTTTATTGTCTTCCCATCGCCTCTTGGATCCTCTTGTTTTTACATATGCACTGTTGATGAATTGACTTACTCTTTTCACTTGTAATTGGACTTCAGCGTTTCTGCTGTCCTAGGATCATGGTTCTTTTCTCCTCATTCTCTTTTTCTCTGCACAGAACTCCTCATTCATCGTTTTGTTTAGAGCAGTAGGTGCCCTCCATCCCTGCCCTACGTCTTCGACAGCTAACTTGAAAAGCCTGTTGCTGTGGCCCCTCAGAGGCCAGTACTTGCTATATGTCACCTTGAAAAGCCTGTTGCTGTGGCCCCTCAGAGGCCAGTGCTTACTATCTGTCACCTTGAAAAGGCTGTTGCTGTGGCCCCTCAGAGGCCAGTGCTTGCTATATGTCACCTTGAAAAGGCTGTTGCTGTGGCCCCTCAGAGGCCAGTGCTTGCTCTCTGTCAACTGTTCCCTGGACCCTTCTCTTGGCCAAATGCTATTTTTCCTGCCTTGGAGTTTCATATTAGCTATAGTTCAATTTGTTCTGTATAACATCACATATGACTTCTGTTCTTCGATTTCCTGAAGCATCTTAAAAATGTCTTTATTTTCCTTAATATTCAACTCTGCTTACTTTAATGGTGGGAACTGTATAATTAATGCATAAGGAAATTGACCTTAGAAATAACTGCTTAATCACATATATCTCACTTTCTTGTAGTAATGTTCAAATTCTTTTCACACTACTATCATTTCTCAGTTTCTTTTTATATCATATTCCCCTCTAAAGTGGACAAGAATTCTTCATTTTAATCACATTACATGTGAATTTGGACTCCTGCTCCACCCCCTCTGCCCTGCGTGTTTCCTTTGCTCATCTCCCTTGTTTTTCTGTACCTGTACATGATGTGCTAGGGTGTAGCCTATATAACCTTTTCAGACTAGACTCTACTTTTTTCACGTGAGGTATATTTCCTTTTAAGAAGCCCTATGGGACATGCATCATTGCTTGTCATTTTAATTCTCTACCCTTTGGAATGCTAGTCACATAAATGTCATCACGTACATTGTGAAACTAAAAAGTGATCAGATGGTTTTCTCTTATGTGTAAGGATCTACCCATCAGCTAGTGTGACACCTTGATCAGCAGGATATTAATGAAAAAATTTGAATCAATACACAGAGGCAAGAAAAGAAAAAAAGAATTGTGATCCGTATGCTCACATGCTTTTCCTTGACCTAACATAGCAAATACCCCATCCACCTTTTTCCTTTCCAAGAGACCATATAAATGAACAAACAAAAGCTCTGGCGAAACAAGCCAGCTGTGTCCCGCCCCCTTCTGGCTTGCTGCTGGGCTTTGTGACACTTAACTTACATTCTCACCAACTTTTCAGCAGGATGCTTGCGAAAATCTTGTTATTAGTGTTTAAGAAAGTAACCTCCTTTATATTTTTTACAATAGCATTGGTTTTTGTTTGATATGTTATAGTTTACAGAGGGCTTTATTAAAGTACGTTATGATCATTCTCTCTTAACAACCATGCCTTGAGATAGGTAGCTTGTAGTCTCCATTTAGAGTTTGGAAGCTACAGCAGCAAAGTGACTATTGCACACCCAATAAATGGCAGAGTCAGGATTGGATTCTAAATCCAGGGTCTTTCTGCTGCATCAGAGCTGCCACCTTCTCACCCTTTAAAAACATGATGGTGGCCGGGCACAGTGGCTCACACCTGTGATATCAGCACTTTGGGAGGCTGAGGCAGGAGTTCAACACCAGCTGGGGCAACATAGTGAGACCTCATCTCTACAAAACAAAAAACAAGAAAACCTGACGTAAACATAATGTTTTTAACTTTTGTTGTGCTGACTTCTCTCACTCCCCTATGGAGTGGAAATGCCTGTGTGAGATCCATAGGTGCTTTTCCTCCTCAACAGTTCCACCATGCCATATTCACATTAGGATATGATTCTCCTGCTAAATCATCTGTACATCAGATGTACACATCAATTGTGGGCCCTAGGTGCTTATCTGCAACACATTGCTTCTCTGTTTTTTTACTGCTCAAGTGCTCTGAGATGAATCCTTCTAATTAGCCTCTCTCCTTAAAAGTTCTAAGACTCTTTCTCAAACTAGGATGTATGCACTATTTGGACCAGAATCACCCAGAGGGCTTATTAAAAACGCATATTCCAGGACCCACCTTACACTTGATACAGAATGTCTGGGAGTGGGACCAGGGAATCTGAATTTTTATTAGGCTTCTCAAATAATTTTAAGAATTCCAAGGTTTGAGAAATGATCTAAGATACCTATGTGTTGTGCTGTAATTTTTGTGACCTTCCCTTGATTTAATTTACTTTTCTACTTAGTTTACTTGAAGCCTAACCCAATCTCAGCATCTCTTTTCTAACTCCAAGAGCCATTGTTTCATTCTTGAAGAATGAAAACCTTAGAGTTCCCTTAAACTGCTAAGTAAAGATACTGTGGAATTTCTGGTGCTCTGTCCAAAATCCAGCGTCTTTGCTGATGACTAGGTAAGAGGAAGCTTAAGGAGCCTGCCTTAAAGCAGAGGAAGATCTGAAATCATTGCACTGAAGAAGCAAGACTGACTTTGGTTTGTTTTTAAGAGAGAGGCCCAAGGAATCCAGCTGCCTCACACTGGGGTGGAGTTGCTGGGAAGGGTCTGTAGCAGGCATGTGCTTCATGCTGTGGGCCAGAGCCATTAGGGAGATCTCTTCACAGAGCTGTCAGGGAGATCAGTTCAGAGGCCATTCCCACCTGAGGTAACACAGTGCCGACACCTCTTCCTGGGATTCCTCAAAAGTGTCACCTCACCTGGACAGTTTTATTCTTTTCTAGGTAATTAGAACTCAGTATTCTAGAATGTGGAGGCTTAGCACCCAAAATTTAGGTGAAGGGTTGATGAGTTTGGGCTTTAACATTTACCTTGTGACAGGATGAAGCACTTCAACTTGCCAAGTCTTGTTTTTCTCATCTGTAAAATAATAATACTAATATCTGCCCTGTCTGCTATACTGCCGTTTTTGTGAAGATGAAGTGAGAAGGATATATGAGAACAAGGTGGCAGTTATCGAGAGAGAACTCAAGGTCTCCAGCATGCAGGTTTTCACTGAGCAGCTTCTGAAACCCTTACAAAGCAGCCAGCGGCTTTTGTGCAGAGGAGTGCCACTTCCTTCAGAGAGAGAACACGGTTTTCCTTTCTTCCTCTTTCCCTCTTCCGTTCAACTCTTGTAGAAGCCAAAACACCAGATACATAATGTCCTAATGCCCCTGCTTCCGGACCTGTTTTCGTTGTTGGGGTTTTTCCTCCCTGCTGGGTCCTCCAGCTGGGTCACAGTGTGCTCGTGTTCTTCCTGCCTCTGAGGCCACTTCCCTGGTTGGCGTGTCTCCTGTGGCCGCACGCCTTCTGTGTTATCCCTGATAGCTGTGTTGTGGACTTCCCAGCATGCGCCATCCGTGAACGTGGTATCATGGTGAGGCAGAAAGGCAGCTTCTTACCCCCATCATTCAGATGAGGAGATGAGATGCTGTGTCAGGGGCACATCATTTCTTCCTTGGGCCCTGTGCTTGGACCAAAGCTGTGCCGTCCTGTCATCTAGCCCCAGTGCCCTTTCCACAGTGACACTGCAGCTCAGTTAGCAGAGGCCATTGAGTTATATTCAGTATCCTTTGTCCCCACTAAAAGCTGAATGTCTAAAATCCTCCACCCTACTCCATTTGGTTACTTTCTATTTTAAATATTCTTGTAGGTGGATTTACATCACCTTCATTTTAAAATAACACCTCTCTTAAAGGTAAAAAAAAAAAAAAGTCTCCTTATTTGATTGTTAATCAGACACTGTCAAACTTGAGGCAGCTTCTAGACAAATGCAGCAGCACTTAGTGGCATTTTCACTTAAAGATTGTGTTAGTTATCTCATAGCTAGCTGGATCCTTTTGCCGTTACCTATATTTAGCATAGATGGTTTTGGCAAAATCAGAATGTCTATTTTTCTCTCAGTGTTTTTCTGCCTGTCCCTTTCCAACATTTTCCTTGTACTGTGTATGAAGATTTTATTTCAAAATATTGAAAAAATATTTAGATCTTTTAGGTTCAGTGTAGATTCACTTCTCTCTCTCTCTCTTTTTTTTTTTTTTTTTGTTTGGAGACAGGGTCCTGCTCTGTCATCCTGTCATCACCCAGGCTGGAGTGCAGTGACACAGTCATCTCACTGCAGTCTCAAACTCCTGGGATCAAGCTATTCTCCAGCCTTGGCCTCCTGAGTAGCTGGGACTACAGGTGCACACCACCACACTCAGCTAATTTTTTATTATTTATTTATTTATTTTTGTAGAGGCACGGTCTCGAACCATTGCCCAGGCTCGTTTCCAATTCCTGGCCTCACACAATCCTCCTGCCTCGGCCTCCCAGAGTGCTGGAATTACAGGCATGAGCCACCACACCGGCCAAGAGTGGGCTCACTTCTGTCATCCCATGTTGCATCTTTCTCCTGTTGTCTTAGTTCCTTTATAGCCCTTGAAAAATTCCACCAGAACTCAGTTGTTGTTTAAAATGTAATATCCCCTGATGATGATTTAGTTAGTTACATGTAAAAGAAAGAGAAAGCAAGCAAGCAAGCGTCTTCTTAAACCACAGAATCCAATGTTACCACCACTTTATACTGTACTTTATACAGGACCTCTTTGCCAAGTAATAGTTGGATAGGTTCCAAGCTCAGCAAAATCAGGAAATTGGTTTCACTTGTCTTTAATGTTAATCTTTTTCTGCTCTGGGCTCACCTCCACTGCACCCTGCACCCTCCTCCCTGTGGTGACTCTGCTCCTGAAAACACCTAGACATGGGAAGCTTCTCAGGGCCTTTTTTTTTTTTTTGGCTCTCTCACCTCAAGGGCTAAAATCTGATATACACCATTCCTAGTTGTCAATTCTAACGCAAGAAGGGACATTTATACCAGAAGTCTGCACAGTTATCTTAATTTGGGGAAATCTCATTCAGGAGAGGAAGGGCCAGGTCCTGACCTAGGAGCCCCAGAGAAAAATATCCTACGGTCCTGAGGTTCCCCTAGGACTCAGAGCTGTCCCTGCCCTAGCCTACCCCATTCCAGACTGTCCTGGCAGACACCAGTCCCTTCAGGCTTGAGCACTGATCAACTTCTTCCTCTCCCTCTGCCCCAGGACTTCCAGATTATAGGTTTTTCAGTGCATTTAGCATTTTGGTTAGCCTTCTAAAATATGATACTAACCCCCTCTCATTTAATTTATCTTCTGGATGTATCCATGGGGTCTCCTACATTACTCCTATTTTTGATGGTGAAATTTTTGACAAGCTTGTTGGAATACATTCTCTTCAAGCATAAGATGTGTCTATACTGTCGGGTGGTATCTTAACATATGTATTGATGCTACTTTCCAATAGTGGGAAGCCTGTTTAGAGCTAAATCTGGTTACTTGCAGTTCTGGGATTAACAAAAGATGCTTGACTTTTCACTTTAGGAAACTGTCATAGAAAAGGAATGAGAGTGAAGGAAGAAAAAATCATTACCTTGGGCTTAAAATAGTAGTTCTCCAAATAAGCACACGAGATTTCCAGGCTAAGAGCCTGTGTGGTTTTAACTTTAGTTATATGTGATCAGCTTAAATTAATGAATAACACGGGGAAACAAGGCTCTATGTTTAAACTATGTTGTCAAGTTGTATTATCAGTGGGGAGTCACCAGTAAGTGAATCCTGACATTCAAACCAGTTTTAATCCATGGATTCAAAGTGAAATGAATTAAGGTGCTTATTTAGACTGTTTATTCTAAGACAAAAAAGTAAGTTTTTAGTACCATACAGTGGTGGAAAGATGTTGGTTACCAACATGTTTGCTGTGGGTATTTCCTCTACCCCAGCACTGTCCAATAGAACTTTCTGCATTGCTGGAAATGTTCTGTGTATCTGCATTCTTCAATACAGTAGCTCTTAGCCATATGTGAACACTTGAAATATGGTTAATGTGACTGAGGAATTGAATTTCAGTGTAATTGTATTTTAAATAGCCACATGTGACTAGAAGTTGCACTATTAGACAGTGTAGCTCTGGCTATTCAGTATGACATTATTTACCATTCTCTTGATTTTAGGCAATTCGGTTTTCATATATTTTATCTTATGTGTATGTGAATGGCTGTATAATTTTTCTTTTAAAGGAACAAAAGAAAATTTATAAGGTATATTTGGTATGTTGTATTCCTTAAATTAAGGGGTTTTTTTAGTACTCTAGATTAAATTGTCATAAAAATCCTAATTGCAGGTGTGGGAAATGATGTTGATGGTGTTCTCCTCATGCACTGCAGAGGTAGCAATTGGTTAGATGGTGAGTCAGGAGGCCATACAGGCCTCACCTCTCAGAGGGCTGCAGCTTGGCCTCTGCAATGGATTCACCTGATAAGTTTGCCTTTGTTGGAAACCATTTTACATGCCTTTTCTCTCCTATATGAGTTAAAATATGCCATAGGTGTACAGTCAGCGTTATTATCCCACTGAGTTTGAAGATTCTCATTTCTCACTGTAAAAGTGAGGTGATTGGTATGCATCGTGAGCATGTTAAACTGTGTCAGCAAAGCCAAGAAAAGTTAGAAACTATTACCTGTAAACTACTTTTAAGCAGATGTGCTCCACAGTACAACAGGTGGCATTTTTAAAGCATTGATTAATATTCATTTGAAAACTTGCGGGAGGAGGAACTCTCTCTTATTACCTGCTTCTTTGCCAAAATGTCAGTCCTTTATGTAGTGTAGCTTTTCAAAATAAATCTATTTTGAAATACCAATAGGGGATATCAGAGAGTTTAATTAAAAATACATAAATATGACAAGAATACCAGTACCTATAACCCCTTGATAGTTGTCACGCACAGTGAATTCAGTCAGGTAACTGATCTCTTTGGGAATCTTAAAGATCATAGAGGAACCTGAAAAAATTACCCCCATCACTCCTGTGAAATATCCATACAGTGTATTTCCATTTCTTCAGGGAAGAGAGTTTAGTAACCTTTTTAAACTTACCCATATCAAGAAGCCCTGTAGTCAAAACCTCTCACTGCAAACTGAGATGCATCACAGAAAAAATAAAGCATGTGACTAAGCTGTCTGCATTTTCCAGAGAGAGGACTCTTTCCAAGTCTGGAGTAAAACCCTGGTGTACTTCTGGAATTTGTAAGATGTGCCTTGGTGTACATGTGTGGATTTGTGTGTATGCATGCTAAGGGGATGCTTTTTTTAGAGGGGAAGAAACACTAATTATTAGGCTTGTTACACTAAAGATTTTTAACTTTTGTTTTCTTCAGAAAAACTAATTATTAGGCTTGCCACATTAAAGAGTTTTAGCTTTTGTTTTCTTCAGACCATAAAGGTTTGTTTTTTAGCAGGACAGGTTTTGGCACCTTCTCCCTCTCACTTCCTCTTGCTCTGCTTTTTTTTTTTTTTTTTTTTTTTTTAGTTGGAGTCTCACTCTGTCATCCAGGCTGGAGTGCAGTGACGCGATCTCGGCCCACTGCAACCTCCACCTCCCTGGTTCAAGCGATTCTCCTGCCTCAGCCTCCCTAGGAGCTGGGACTTACAGGCACGCACCACAACACTGGCTAATTTTTGTATTTTTTAGTAGAGATGGGGTTTCACCATATTGGCCAGGCTGGTCTTGAACTCCTGACCTTGTGATCTGCCTGCCTTGGCCTCCCGAAGTTGCTGGGATTACAGGCATGAGCCACCATGCCCGGCCTTTGCTCTGGCTTATTGCCAGAATAACCCAGAATGTGAAAATTGTGAATCTCTTTTGCCTTCTGCATTGGTGTGCTGTCTTGTTAGGTCAGGTTTAAAGAATCTTTGGCCAAGGTCATTGCCTTAAAGAAAAGTATGTTCAGAGCCTCAAGTGTAAAAACTAATCAGACTTTTAAATAACACTTTTAAATAACTAAAGTTTTTAAAACTTTAGAGTTTTCAAATATGTTGCATGACATTTGTGTAGCACTTTACAATCTGTAGCAGAGGCTATCTACTGGCGGCAGAGGTCTGTCCCACAGGATTTTAAAAGAACATGGAAGAAAAGCATGGTGACTGGAGGGTGCATGCCATCTCACACAAGCAGTCAGTGTGCAGCTCAGCTAGAGATTGCCAGACAGATTCAGTAGTGCAAAATCTAATTTTTTTGAGAAAAGGCAGAAATCTAGATTTTTAAAATGAGAAATCCCCTAATTTTTAAAAACTGATTCAAATATTTTTTTTTTTTTTTTTTTTTTTTTTTTGAGACGGAGTCTCGCTCTGTCGCCCAGGCTGGAGTGCAGTGGCGGGATCTCGGCTCACTGCAAGCTCCGCCTCCCGGGTTCACGCCATTCTCCTGCCTCAGCCTCCCAAGTAGCTGGGACCACAGGCGCCCGCCACTACGCCCGGCTAATTTTTTGTATTTTTAGTAGAGACGGGGTTTCACCGTTTTAGCCGGGATGGTCTCGATCTCCTGACCTCGTGATCCGCCCGCCTCGGCCTCCCAAAGTGCTGGGATTACAGGCGTGAGCCACCGCGCCCGGCCCAAATATTTTTAAAGCACTGTACAAGCCCAAACAGAACATCTATGGTCAGGGACCGTAGGTCACCATTTTGATATTTCTGGTCCAAGAGATGGTGTTCATAGCTTTTTTTCCCCACCTTTTGAAATTTTTGCAATTATTACACTGTCATAGAACAGAAAGAACCATGACATTTCACAAAATATATTGCCAGTTTCATGTTCTTTTGACATTTCAGTTACCTTTCTGTCAGTGGTAAATCTTCTCCCCTCTGGAGTGTTGGGTGGGCACATTGGGATACTGCATTTGGAGATTTGGGGGCGGACTGTGGGTTGAGTAGGCCCCAGCTCTTTTCTTGGGGCCACAGTCACCAATTGCTGAGAATATTGTTCTCTGGGCTATCATTGCTGGAGTTAAAGGACTATCACTTCATAGAATATTTAGACTGGATTAGATATATATGATGAAGGTTGGGATTAAATATGACTCCATTCTGATGCAGTGTCTGTGTTTGAATTGAGTTGAAGGTAATAGTTGCATGAAAGCTTTTCAGTTAGTAACACGCTTTTTGGAGGTGAGCAAATCAAACAGGACTAAGGAAGAATATTGGGAAAGACTAGCAGCTGGTGAGATCCTTAGACATCTCAGAGTTGGTAGACATATGTTAACCTTCAAGTAGAGGGAGAGGTGGCATCTTTTAAACAATGCTTGGGCAACAAAAAGCAAAACAAGAAAAACACAAAGCATTTCTTTGTAATTAAGCCTAAGAGACAGCCATCAGGTTGTATGGAGTCTCAGCAGTGACTAGCATAGATAGTAGGATCTCAATAAATTGAATTTTTCCCTTCATGGAATAATAATGGTAACTGCTTAAATGGCAAGGGCTTTGCTAAGCACTTAATATGTTTTTCTGACCTCTCCAGTTTACAAATGAGGAAGCTGAGGATCAGAGAGGATAAGTAACTTGCCTCAGGACATGCAGCCAGGAAGTCTGGAGATCTGTTTGATTCCAGAGTTACACTCAATTGGAGTAGAGGCCAGTGGTGGTGAAGCTAGGCTAGTTGAGGTACCGACCATCCTTTCTTCATGTTTTCCAGAAAACAGGCTGAACACATAGGAACCATTAAAGTTGGACTAATGGGAACATTTTAGCATTCTGCATGTCTGGCCTGTCATAAATGCAGAATCGATCATGTATCGCTTGTTGATTGCATGCTTATATATCTTTTCATTGCATGTTCAGAAAAGTTTACTTTGTGACCAAGAGTTGTTTTGATAGGCCAGAACATTTAACTAGTCCATTATTCACATCAAAAAAATAGTTCTCAGTTATTGGTGTTGTAATGGTAAGAACTTTTTAACCAGTTTCCTTTGTCACTGTAGGATTTTTTTAAAAATCTGGCCGGGTATGGTGGCACACGCCTGTAATCCCAGCACTTTGGGAGGCCGAGGTGGGCGGATCACGAGGTCAGAAGATCGAGACCATCCTGGCTAACACGGTGAAACCCCATCTCTACTAAAAATACAAAAAATTAGCCGGGCGTCGCAGCGGGCGCCTGTAATCCCAGCTACTCGGGAGGCTGAGGCAGGAGAATGGCGTGAACCCGGGAGGCGGAGGTTGCAGTGAGCAGAAGATCATGCCACTGCACTGCAGCCTGGGTGACAGAGCGAGACTCCATCTCAAAAAAAAAAAAAAAAAATATGTTGCACATTATTCTCTCCTTTAAAGGGGAAGAAATATTAATATTTTTATAACTCACATTTTTCATAAAATAGGAATAGTATTTTGTTTAGCAGGCACTTTATCATGGATTTTTAATAAATTATAAAGGACACTTTATACATAAAATTGTTGTGTGAAAAGACTAATACTAGGCCAGGCGCGGTGGCTCATGCCTGTAATCCCAGCACTCTGGGAAGCCAAGGAGGGCGGATCACTTAAGATCAGGAGTTTGAGACTAGCCTGGGCAACATGGTGAAACCCCGTCTCCACCAAAAAAATACAAAAATTTAGCCGGGCATGGTGGTGCATACCTGTAGTCCCCAGCTACTCCAGAGACTGAGGCAAGATAATCACTTGAACTGGAGAGGCGGAGATTGCAGTGAGCTGACACTGTGCCACTGCACTGCAGCCTGGGTGACAGAGCAAGACTCCGTCTCAAAAAAAAACAAAAAACCCCAACATACTCATCCAAATATCTTTTTTTTTTAAACCACCATGTGTGTATCTATTACTATTACATTTCAATATCAAGGATGAAATTCCTTTTAGATAAATAACCAAATGACTTAACATTTTTGTTCAAAAAAGCTTAATCAAGTTAGAGAAAGGACCCAGATTGTCGTTAGAACTGCCCTGTTCTCGAGCCCAAGCCCTCAGCTGACGGACCAACCAGCACCAGCACTGCAGCCCCTTAGGAGCTGCCCTCCCACCCAAGGCTGTTCCAGCTGAGTCAGAGCACATTTGCTGAGACTGCAGTTGGGTTGCCATCTATTATTTCTTCATTCCTGTTCATTCAACAGATATTTATTCAGTATCTTCTATGCCCCAGGCATTGTGCTAAGCACTAAGTAAGACACATGAGAAAAGGACAGATGCAGTTGTTGCCCTCACAGGGCTTCCAGCCTAGTATGAGTCAAGCAGAATCCAGCAGACAGCAAACACCATATAGTGGGATAACTGCTAAGGCAGAGGGATGATAGTGCTGTGACCGCTGGGTCATCCCTCAGTTGCCCAGTTGAGGGCTGAGTAGGCTGTTCCAGTTCCTCAGGAGCTGTGCCAGTCTCCCAGGCCCCGTGGTTCCCTTCATGAGGTGGTCTGCGAGTTAACACATACAAAGCACTTAGAACACTGCCTGGTGCTTAGTAAGTGCTCAATAAATCTTAGCTACCTACTGGGTATAATGTAACCTAATCTTTCCCCAAAAATTTAATGACAAATTTCTGTATAACTGTTTTGAATTCTGTGTCCTGAGGTTTCTAACAGAGATATAATTGGCTTTTCACACAGAACTGAATATGTTCTTTATACATACTAAAATAGTTTCACAGTTAGCTGGTGAAAATTTATGCATAATTACTTTTATCATTCTTAAGGAATAATTAGCCCTGCTAATGGGAACTATCATTATCTTAATCATCATTATTATCCCAATCTAAAGCATTTATTAAGAATTTGATTTTGCCTTATAACTAAGCTAGCCCTTCTTCAAAGCAAGTTTGTGACCTTGTCTTCGGCTTGTTTACGGTCTAAGACAATACTGATGGGGAGGTAGATTGGGGCCAGTGTTCATTCTGCTGTTCCCTCTCAAGTTACCTTCCATTCATGTACGCTTGTTGATATGTTTTCTTATAAATGTTATGTCTTTATGGTTATAAAACCCACCTCTTCCAGCAGATCCTGAGGCCTCACACCCAAAATAATATGTTTAGAGAACCAGATAATAGTTATATTTCCTTCTCATTGTACCCCCGGAGTGGTTGCTTAGTATTTAGGTGATTTTTAGAAAACAATTTTTTCTGAAGTAATTTCAAACTTAGAGAAAAGTTGCCAGAGCAGTACAAAGAACTCTCATATTCTCTTCACTCAGATTCCCCAATTATTGGCATTTTACTTCATTTGTTTCGTTTCCTACTCTCTCTGTGTTTTTTGTTTTTTTGAGACAAGTCTCACTCTGGTGCCCCAGGCTGGAGTGCAATGGCGAGATCTTGGCTCACTGCAACCTCTGCCTCCTGGGCTCAAGCGATTCTCCCACCTCAGCCTCCTGAGTTGCTGGGACCACAGGCGCTTGCCACCACGCTCGGCTAATTTTTGTATTTTTTGTAGTGGCAGGGTTTCACCATGTTGCCCAGGCTGGTCTTGAACTGCTGGGCTCAAGCAATCCGCCCGCCTCAGCTTCCCAAAGTGGTGGGATTACAAGCATGAGCCACCATATTCAGCCTCTCTTTGTTTTTATATGCATTATCATTTATTTTTTCTGAACTTTGAGAGCAACCTGTGTGTAACATCCTATCACCCATAAGTACTTGAGTATGTGTTCTAGACACTCCTATATCACCTGCATAGAACTCTCCAAATCGGGAAATCAGCCTTGATACAACACTACTGTCTAATCCAGTATGCTCCATTCAAATTCCACGAACCGTCCAAACAATGTATTTTTTCTCCATTCTGGAATGGAGAAAGTAATCGGTATCTTCTGCGTTCCAGGTCTTGTGCTGAGCACTGGGATTCATGGGAGAAGGAGACATGCGGTTGCTGTGATGGTCCTGCCACATCCGTGTGATGTTTCTTTGTCAGGTCTCTCCAGACTCCTTCAGTCTGGACGATCTCCTCAGCCTTGCCCTGTCCCTCATGGCCTTGTGTCAATTTTAAAGAGTACAGGCTGTAAGTTCTCAGCCTAGGTCCATTCAGCGTTCCCTGATAACCAATTCAAGCCATGCCTGCTCTTCTCAGGAGGCACGCCATGACTACCCTTCCCACTCCTGGTGACGTTGACCTCTGTCACCTGCTCCTGTTAGCATCTGCCAGGTTTCTCCACCTCCAGTTCACCTCCTTTTTATTAATTAGTATTTTGTGGGAATGACTCCTGCCTGTGTCAGCCACCTCTGTGATGGTTATCAAATGGCAACTGTCTATTTCTGTCATTTCTTTTACACATGGGAGTTGGCATTCTATAAGAAATAGCTTTCCCTTTCTCCCATTTATTTATTTTATTTATATCTGTTTGGACTCATGAATTCCTGTATAATTCAATGGGTTATAGTCTATTATTTATTTTGATGCTAAAACTATCTAGGATTTGGCCAGTGGGAGTTCTTCCTCCTGGTCCTTTTAACTTCCTTCCATCATCCATTGAGTATTTCCTTATGATCTGGCACAAAAAGATTTCCAGACTCATCTTGTACTTCCCCAGCCCCAGCCCTGGAATCAGCCATTTTGCCAAAGAGCCCTGCCTGATTCCTTTTAGTAGAGGATGGTAACTTAGGATCCAGGATCTGGGTAGATGAGGTGCTCACTGCTACTGAGATGTCATTGCTTCTAGACCCTCTCAGTAGAGAAAGCTTGGGTACATATACATATACACACATACACACACATATACACTCACACACATTTACATCTGGAAGTATTTATATAGCTGTGTGTGTATATAAATCATGGGTTCATACTGATCCCTCCAACCACAGTCTAATACCTCAGTGTTCTTTCTCGCATTTTCCCTTCCATGTTTGTTAATACCTCCTCCAACAGCAAGAAGCCCATTTTCCTTAATATATTGATTTTTTTGCTCAGTTTGCCTGTTTGCTCCATGTAACTGGTTTTCCAGCCACACTGGCCATCTCTTCCACCTGTCACCTCTGTCTCTCCTTCACCACCCCCATTCTCAACTGCAGGCCTCTGGTTCATACCTGTGTTAGCCCACCACCTTCCCTCACCTTTCCATGTCCTCACCACCTTGAGTTTTCAGCCACCATACTGTGTCCTCCACGTGGGGAAGGGAAAGAGGCGAGTCTCAGGTGAATCTTATCTAATGACATATTTGAGATGATTGGGCTGGTCTCTGGAAAACCAGAAGCTTGCCTAGTGAAGTATTTCATTCTTCCTTTTTTCCTGTTTTCTTTTTTTAATATTTGTGTTTATGCGTTTCTTTTCATTTTGAATTGAAATCATATTTTGTATTTCAATTTCTGCTTAGCAGAGATAGAAAAGAGAAACAAGCTTTCGAGATAGATTTTTAGGGGTCTTGACAATAAGTTAAATCCAGAAATAAACAGGGCTCATCTTAGTCCATTGGTGCTGCTATTAAGGAACACCTGAGGCTGAATGATTTGAAAAGAAAAGAGGTCTATTTGGTTCATGGTTCTGCAGGCTGTATAAAAAGCATGGCACCAGCACCTGCATCTGGTGAGGGCCTCATGCTGCTTCCACTCATGGGGGAAGGTGAAGGGATCCAGCCTGTGCAGAGGTCACATGGCGAAGAGGAGCTAGGGGGTGGCAACGGGCTCTTCACCAGCAGATCAGAAACTAACAGTAAGGACTTACTCACCCTCTCCCCAGGTCCCACCCCCAGCATTGGGGATCAGATTTCAACATGAGGTTTGGAGGGTCAAATACCCTAACCGATAGGAGGGCCAAAACAAAAAAGAAATGATTGTTAGCAAAACAAGACTCAGGGAAGAAGATTACATTAACTTTAGGTAATTCGTTAGGGTTTGTTTCAAGTTCTTATGTTGTGTTTTAACTTGGGTCAGTTGATGCACAACTAGAAGTCATTTCATGGACATATTAAAGATACCTCTGGGTGCTAGTGACCTGTAGTTTTTTATGCTTTACTCAGTCTTTCTTGGTGAACCTCTTCTACTCAGTCCCTGAAGTCCAAATCCTATTATTCTCTATTCCCTTTTCAGAGGTAGGCAACATTTATTGGAGGACTAATGGCTTTCTTGACACTAAGTAAACATCACATTTACCTTATCTGTTCTCTAGGCTCTTCTTGTATAGGGTTCCTTCCAATAGTTATTGATTTTGAAAGATAATTGTTACCCCATAATGTGTGTGTGTATGTGTGTGTGTGTTCACATGCATGTGAGACCCCAAGCCCAAGAAGACAAGTCAGAGCTGTTCAGGTTTAGGAGACATACCTTGGGTTCAAATTCTGTAAACCTCACTTTACTTGTCTGTAAAATGGGGATTCAGTGAGGTAATATATGTTAAAAAGTGCTTGGCATATAGTAAGAGCTCAGTAACAATTAGGTATAATTATTTTTACTGCTGTCACCATAAATATTAAAAAGAGATACTAAAAAAATTTTAATGGGCAAAGGATTTGAATATTTTCCCAAAGAAGATATAAAACAGCCAATAAGCACGTGAAAAGATGCTCAACATCACTAGTCATTAGGGACGTGCAAATCAAAACTACTGTGAGATACCACTTTACACTCATTAGGACAGCTATTATTTAAAAAAAAAAACAAAAAAAAACAAAAAAAAAAAACACAGCAAATGAGCAGTGGAGAAATTGGAACTCTTGTTGCGCACTGTTGGTAGGGATGTAATGTAAAATGGTACAGCCACTGTGGACAACAGTTTGGCAGTTTCTCAAAAAGTTAAACATAAAATTACCATATGGTCCAATAACTCCACTACTAAGAATATACCCAAAAGAACTGAAAGCAAGTACTTAAACTTACTTATACACCAATGTTCATAGCAGCATATTCATAATAGCCAAAAAGATAGGAACAGCCCAAATGTCCATCAACAAATGATAAAATGTAGTATATACGTACAATGACATATTTTTCAGACACAAAAAGGAAGGAAATTCTAATACATATTACCACATAGATGAACCAGACATAGAAATACACATACTAGGCCAGGCACGGTGGTGGCTCACGCCTGTAATCCCAGCACTTTGGGAGGCCAAGGCGGGCAGATCATGTGAGGTCAGGAGTTCAAGAGCAGCCTGGCCAACATGACAAAACCCTGTCTCCACTAAAAATATAAAAATTAGCTGGGCGTGTTGGTGGGTGGCTGTAATCCCAGCTACTCGGGAGGCTGAGGCAGGAGAATCACTTGAACCCGGGAGGTGGAGGTTTCAGTGAGCCGAGATTGGACCACTGCACTCCTGCCTGGGCAACAGAGTGAGACTCCACCTCAAAAAAATAAAGACATATACTGTATTATTCCACTTATATGAGGTACCTAGAATTAACAAATTCTTAGAGATAGAAAATAGAATAGTGGTTACCTGGGGGCGGTGAGGGGAAGATGTGGAGTGATTGTTTAATGGGTACAGAGTTTCTGTTTGGAATGATGAAATCCTTCTGGAAATGGATAGTGGTAATGGTTGCACAATATGGTGAATGTACTTAATTCCAACGAATTATGCACTTAAAACTGTTAAATGATAAATTTTATTTTATATTATCCACACGTACAAAGAAATTACTGAGATATTAAAATGATGGTAAGATGAAAAACCTACCTATACATGTTCTTACAAGGTTGTTTTTTCCCCCATAGTGTCCATTGGTGATAGACATTGACTCCCTTCTCCCCGCCTCCCCACACAATCTGTCAGAGAAATGTTGCAGAATAACATTTGTATGCTAAAGAAGTCACAGGGGCCAGGTGCGGTTGCTCACCTGTAATCCCAGTACTTTAGGAGGCCGAGGCGGGCGGATCACGAGGTCAGGAGATCGAGACCATCCTGGCTAACACGGTGAAACCCCATCTCTACTAAAAATACAAAAAAATTAGCCAGGCATGGTGGCAGGCACCTGTAGTCCCAGCTACTCAGGAGGCTGAGGCAGGAGAATGGCGTGAACCCGGGAAGCGGAGCTTGCAGTGAGCTGAGATCACGCCACTGCACTCCAGCCTGGGCAACAGAGCGAGACTCCATCTCAAAAAAAAAAAAAAGAAGTCACAGGAAGGGGAAGGTTGGAGGGGTTCAATGAATCTATAACAGAGGTTGGCCTATAGGCCAAATCTAGCCTGCAATTTATAATAGTTTTTACTTTTTTTCTTGTTTGGTGGGGTTTGTTTTGTTTTTTAGAAACAGGGTCTTGCTCTGTTGCCCAGGCTGGAGTGCAGTCGTGCGATCACAGCTCACTGCAGCCTTAACTTTCCGGGCTCAGGTGATTCTGAGTAGCTGAGACTATAGGCACATGCCACCATGCCCAGCTAATAGTTTTTGCATTTTTTAAAGGGTTTAAAAAACAATGATGAATATATTACAACAGCCACATGTGGTGCAAACCCTAAATTATTTACTAACTAGCCTTGTACAGAAGAAGTTTGCCAACACCTAGTCTATAGCATTGCTATGGACTGAATTATGTCTCCTCCCACAAAAAATTCATACCTTGAAGCCCTAACCCCCAGCGCGATGGTATTTGGCAATGGGACCTTTGGGAAATAAGTTTAGATGAGGTCATGCGGAGGTGGAGCCCTCACGATGGGATTAGCACCCTTATGAAAAAAGATACCATGTGAAGGAGGGCACATCTAGAAGGTGGCCATCTGCAAGTCAGGAAAAGACCCCTCACCAGAAACCAATCATGCTGCCATCCTGATCTCAGACTTCCAGCCTCCATAACTGTGAGAAAATACTTTTCTCTTGTTTAAGCCCCCCAGTCTATGGTGTTCTGTTATGGCAGCCTGAGCAGACTAAGACAAACGTACAGTTTTTCCAAAAGCAAAGCCTAGTCCTACCCTCTTAGATTTTACCAAATCTCTTCACAAATGAAAGGGGTTTTAAGAAGAGGAAAGAATGCTTGCTGTAAAGCTTGGTCAGGGAATTTCTTTGAAATAACCAGCGCAGTAAGCAGCGGGTTCCAAAATGCTAAGAAGAATAGGGTTTCTACAATAGTGGTTTTCTTATGTGGCACCATCTGTTTTTCTTTGACTGTAATAAAAATGACAGCTTTTCATGTACTGATACTCCCTGTGCCTTTTAAAGTCAAACATATGATGCTATTTGTGTGTAAAGGTTTTTCTCTTGCACCCATTTGTTTCTCCAGCTTGAATTTCTATGTAAACTCCCTTGGCTAAATTACACAAGCCGCCTACACCCAGCCGCCTCCTCCCTCGCTTTAGAGCAGGGGGTGGAAACCTTCCGTCTGCAGCATGGAGTATCCAATACACAGCTCACTGTGCCAGGCAAAGAAAGATTCCCTAACCGGAAGGGCTTCATGGTACCCGCTCCCCTATTTGTGCCCATCATTCTGAATATGCAACTTTGAAACGGCTTTATGACATTTTTGGCAACCTATCCTAAACCTGGCTTTTGTCTCCCTTTTCTCCTTAGTAATCCTTGGTAAATCTTCATCATCTCCCTTTTCCCTCTTTGCCCTAAATGCCCCTTTTATCTTAAAAGGCAATAATATGTATTTAAAGCAAACTCCTTTTTTTTTCTTTTTTTAAGAGAGGGGGGGTCTCACTATGTTGCACAGGCTAGTCTCGAACTCCTGGCCTTAAGCTATCCTCTCACCTCAGCCTCCCAGATACTTTTTTATTAAATAACTTTACAGAAGTATAATTTACAAAATTCAACCATGTTAAGTGTATAATTAAATGGTTTTTAGTAAATGTACCAAGCTGTGCAACCATCACCATAATCTAACTTTAGAACATTTCCATCACCCAAATATGATCCCTCATGCCCTTTTTTAAATTTTTTTTTATTTTTTAAAATTTTTGTGGGTACATAGTAGGTATCTGTATTTATGGGGTGCATGAGATGTTTTGATACAGGGATGCAATGTGAAATAAGCACATCATGGAGACCTTATGCCCTTTTATAATTAGTTCCCACTCCCAGCCCCTGGCAACCACTATTCTACTTTCTGTCTCTAGATTTGTCTTTTCTGGATATTTCATATAAATGGAATCATATAATGTATGATGATTTGCTTTTGGCTTCTTTCATTCAACATGATGTTTTGGAGGCTTGTCTGTGTTGTAGCATGTGTCAATATTTCTTACCTTTATGTTGCTGAATAGTATTCCACTGTACAGGTATATATATATATCACTTGTCGTTTATCCATTCACCAGTTGATGGATATTTGGGTTGTTTTCACTTTTCAGTTATGACTAATACTCTATGAACATTTGCATTAAAATCTTTGAGCAGACTTATTAAACCTCCTTTTTTCTTCTTTTAAGAGACAGGGTCTTGCTCGTCACCCAGGCTGGAGTGCAGTGGCACCATCATAGCTCACTTTAACGTCAAATTCCTGGGCTCAAGCAATCCTTCCACCTCACCTCCCAAGTAGGTGGGACCACAGGTGTGCACCACCACCCTGGCTACTTTTTAATTTTATTGTAGAAACGGAATCTCACTATGCTGCCCAGGCTGATCGCAGCTCCTGGCCTCAAGTGATCCTCCTGCCTCAGCCTCCCAAAACACTGGGATTATAGGCAAGAGCCACTCAGTCATAAGCCTCTTATTCTTGATAATTAATAAAATCATATGTTTATATGTTTCTAGTTATAAATTCAAAAAGCAGCTGAGTAGAACTTCTTATAATCCAAATCCGTTGCCCCTCAAAAAACCCCTCCTGAGCTAAATTAGCTTTTCTTACTTCTCTGAGGCTATTGATGAGTCACTGGCACTTAACAGAAAGGAGGCTCCCCACTTACCATAAAAATGTTCCCAATTGTTGTTTTCAAAATAGAAAAGTGGCCAGGTGTAGTGGCTCACACTTGTAATCCCAGCATTTTGGGAGGCCGAGGAGGGAGGATCACTTGAGTCTAGGAGTTCAAGACCAGCCTGGGCAACATAGTGAAACCCCATTTCTACAAAAAATAAGAAAAAAAAATTAGCTGGGTGTGGTGGCACACACCTGTAGTCCCAGCTACTCTTGAGACTGAGGTGGGAGGATCAGTCCTGAGGAGGCTGTCCTGGGAGGTTGAAGGTTGAAGCTGTGGTGAGCTGTGATTGTGCTACTGCCTTTCAGCCTGGGTAACAGAACAAGACCCAGTCTCAAGAAAAAAAGAATGGGGAGGAAAAGAAAAATATAAGTTATCATCCAATTTAAGGGGCATTGATTCCACACATCCCTGTGTCCAGACCTCTGTCAGGACTGAGGAAGCCAAATGATGAGACCTGGGCCCTTGAAGACCTTGCCATCAAGCAGGGAGTAATTGCCAGAGAACTGTTCACGTTTCACATGCTCAGCAGTCAGCAATGATGACAGGAGAGCTTGTCAGTTATTCTCTCCTCTCTGGCCTTTTGGATGAAGGAAAAAATTATTTTTAAGAAGATTATCAAAGCCTCTACCCATTTTTTTCACCAACTAGAATAATTTCAGCTCATGCAAGGAAGTCAGTATTAGCCAGCGTTTCACGCCTTGCCTGTGGAGGGATCATGGGCACGCATCTTTCCAAAGAACAGCAGCAGCCCTGGCCGCCCCAGGCCAGCTCAGCCCCCTGTCCTTGGTAGGACCTTCCTGGGCAGTCCTGGTTTGGATATGTCCAGGGCCTACAAGCACACAACTTTGTGCGGTGGCCAATGTGATTAGTCGCCTGGTTTGTTACTCAGTTTTTCTTAGGTTGAACCCAGCATTTTACTCCCTGCCAGTTTTACTAGTCTCATGTCCATATGCCTCTTGCTCATGGTATCCTTTTACATATTTTAAAGTACTTACCCTCTCTTTCCTTTTCCAAAGTCAGCTCTGCTAGTTGAAGAGTTCTTCTAGCAGACTCTGTTCCCTAAATGGGGTCTCATCTATTTACAGTGTAGTAATTGGGATAAGACTGTTAATGTGGCTGAATCCTGGAGTGTTGTTTGTTTGAACAGCCACCTCACACCCTGTTGGCTCCTGTGAGGCTTATGGTTCACCAAAAACTCCAGATCTCTTGATTTCATAAGGTGGGTCTTCTCCATTCTGATCTGGAGTCATTTTGTTGTTGCTAAGTCATGTAATTACATTTAGACTTATTAAATTTATGTTACTGTGGGTTTGGGGGTTTTTTCATTTATTTTTTGTGGTAAAAGACATACAACATTTACCATTTTACCACTTCTAAGTGTATAGTTCAGTTGCATAAATACTGTCCCATTGTTGTGCAACCATCATCACCATCCATCTCCAGAACTTTTTTAATCCTCCCAAACTGGAACTCCATACCAATTAAACAATAATTCTCTATTTCTCATCTTCCCAGCTGCTGGCAACCTTCTGTCTCTACTCTTTGTCTCTGCCTCACCCTAGGTACCACATATGAGTAGAATCACACAGTATTCACCTTTTTGTGACTGGCTTATTTTACTTAGCATGATGTCTTCAAGGTTCATCTATGTTGTAGCATGTGTAAGAATTTCCTCCCTTTTAAGGCTGCATAATACTCCACTGTATGTATATAATAATATCCCGCTGTATGTATAGACCACATCTTGCTTATCCATCCATCAGTACACACCTGGGTTTCTTTGCCTTTTGACTGTTGTGAATAATGCTGCTATAAACATGAGTGTACAAATATCTCTTCGAGTCTCATTGATCATGCTGGTTTTAAGTTATGCATTTGTCCATTTTGAGTTATTGGTTGTATAATTATCTATAAATCACATAAGGTCAATCTCTTTATCCAAATCCCTTCTTGATAACAATGTTGCATTTCCTATTGATTGGAAGAAATGATTTTGCACAAAATGGTCATTTCCTGCATCCCTAGTCTTTTTTAAAAGACTTATGCCATCGTCTTCACAGCTGGGCTCTGGGAACAGACTGCTTTCATACTTAGCCTGAGTCTGAGTTTGTCATAGTTCTTTTGGCTGAGGTCTAACTTGGGGACGGATGGGAGGTGAATAATAACCAATCTCTAGGCTGGGTCAAAGCAGGAGGTTTTGGGCGGTTTTGGGTTTTGTTTGTTTTTTTTTTTTACCTATTTGAAGGTCACTAAGACTACACGGAAACTATCAGGCACCATAAAGAAGGGAACTGAGTCTCGGAGTAACCCACTTAGGACTGAATTCATTTGCTCCGCAATTATTTATTGAGCTCTTACTTGTGAAAAGCACAAAGTGTTTTTGGAAAACAGAAGATGAATAAACACGTTCCCTGCTTTGAAGATGTTTACAGTACAAAATATTAGAGGAACTTCCTATTATAACCCAGAGCTCTTTAGGCAAGGCTTCCACTCTTAGCTGTAAAAACATATCTCCTTAAGATAAAGAGGATTATAAAATACATCAGAAAGCAAAGTGTGCTTTTATATTTATATTATATTTTGTTATAGATGGATTCAAGTAAGGATTTGGAGACAGACTGAAAAATCTTACCATGAAAGCTTTAGAGGTGGTTAGCTTTTGCTTTTCTTTGGCTAATATGAGAGCACCAGGAAAACAGAAAGTACTCTTGCTCTTGACAGTATAAAATTCTTATTATTTTTAGAGAATAGTAACTGCATTTATGAAATTCTTTGTCAGAGCAATTTAGTTAATAGATATGTAAATGACTACTTATTTCATTGTGTAGGTGGACCGCTCCATGTACACTTTCTGAGGAAGAACATAAGTGCTAAAAACTATTAACATTGCAAATGGAAAGAAGCAAAAGTTAAGGCTAGAATGCCATTCCCTTGCTGTATTAGATATTAGGAGTGGGACAGAAAGTCCATCTTGTCATCAAGATTTGTTCGGTTTATGGGGTGGGATTTCTTATTTACATCCCACTCTTGGACGGTCTTTTTTTTTTTTTTTTTTGATGCATGGAAACTAATATAAATTGGGGTGCAAGGGTGTTTCTTGCTGATTTTCAAGCACAAAAGGTCATTACAAACCCAGCTGGGAAGGGACTGGGGGAGGTGCTGAAAGTTAAAACCACGGCAGTAAATTTTCAACACAAGGGAATACCTCCTAAAAATCACCTAGGGGCTCTTTTAAACCTTTATTGTTTTTTTCAGCATAAAAACAACTTCAGAGGAGACTGGGGATTTCAAAGCTCTCTGGCTCTAACTGCCTCCTGGGAACAGCATGGAAGCTTCCCTAATCATGGAGGAGTTAATGCAGGCCTCTGGGGGAAGAAGTCTCTAATGGGAGGAAATAAATGGGCCCTTGCCTTGCAGATGGTCCCAAGCCCTCCCCTCACTGGAATTCTTCTTGCTCTGTGAGCTAGCCTCATCTTCAGTTGTGCTTTTTTTTTTTTTTTTGAGACAGTCTCACTCTGTCACCCAGGCTGGGGTGCAGTGGCGCTATCTCGGCTCACTGCAAACTCCGCCTCCCGGGTTCAAGCGACTCTCCTGCCTCAGCCTCCTGAGTAACTGGGATTACAGGCATACGCCACCACACTTGGCTAATTTTCTGTATTTTTTGTGGAAACAGGGTGTTACCATGTTGGCCAGGCTGGTCTCAAACTCCTGACCTCATGTGATCCACCCACCTCAGCCTCCCAAAGTGCTGGGATTACAGGCGTGACCACTGACATCAGTCCACATTCTCCGCATGAGGCTGGCAAACCTGTAAATCCCCACCCCTCGTGTTTGTTACCCCCACCCTGCTGCTCTCACTCCTGGTGACTGAGGCCCTTTGCACTTGGCCCTCATCTCTGGGATGTACACAGCTGTCATCCTAGGCCCCAGCTCTACACGCAAGCTCTTTCTGCCATACAGGGGTCCTGAAGATAGAGACCAGCGGCTGTGCCGACTCACTCCCTGGCTCTGCCGGGTGCTGCACACTGTCTTCATTAACGTTGTCTGTGTGTTTTTTTTCTTTTGTTTTCCTCTTCCTTCAGGTACAGAGTGAAGACAGTGTCCTCCTGTTTGTTATTGCATGGACGATCACGGAAATCATCCGTTACTCCTTTTATACATTCAGTCTATTAAACCATCTGCCTTACCTCATCAAATGGGCCAGGTAAAAAAGCACATTTCAAAAGGCTCACTTTTGAAATGATCTGTCATTGAATTTGCCCTTTATTGCCTAAATATTGCCTCAAAGTTTCTAAAAATAAAATTGAGACGGGTTGGGTAGAAATTTTGTCTGTAGATTTCATCAGAATAGGAGTCTGTACTTAACTTTGACTAACGGAAATACTGTTTTAAGGTTTTTATATTTTACTTAAATTATTTTAATTGGGATCAGTTCTTTTCAATTAAATTATGCAGTATTTTCTTTTTTAAAAAATTTCATCACCAAGTAGCAATCAATAGAGATTTGCCGTAACATCCCTTTTTTGTCCATATCATCACATTTTACTGATGAGCTTCTGCCATTGTGATGGGTTTTTTTGGACCAAGTCCTATTCTCCTAGTCTCAATTTTGCCAAGAAGTTGTGACTCTTAAATTAATTTTTAGGTAATGACAAACATTACATGTCAGTTTTAGCTTATCACTTTTGTTTTGCTTTGATTGTTTTTACAAGTAATGATGACTTTGGTAAAAGGCTAGTAGTTCATCTGCTTACCTTAATGAGTCCATGAGACAGTTGTAGGCAGTTTTCTGAGCTGGGAAGGACTTTGAGGGAGAGTGACAAAGCAGAAGGATCCAAGTCCCTGGAGCCGAAATGCCTTATTTGGTGGAAGGAAAGCAGTGGTTCCTAGAGTGTTTATGAGTTCAGTAATTAAATTAGGGACATAATCCGATTGTTTCCAACATTTTGAGTATGGGAACTCCTTTGTTATTTTATTATTTTTCTCATTTGCAATGAACATTTTTATTAGGAAAGGGGAAGAATGGGAAACATAGCAGTTACTAACCAACCTGGACAGCCACTGTGGAAGCTTTTTACCCTGGTTGTTAGGGAAGTCTGTTGACCAAGGCCTGATTTTACTGTTGGAGAAAGATTCTTTCATCCACTGTTCTCCATGGCCTCTGAAAGATTTTTTTCCACCATCCTACTTAGTGTGGCTAAAATTGGCAGTGGGGAATATGTCTTCCCTTCCACTTCAGAGATTTTCATCACAATTCCTGTGCCCAGAAGTTTGTAGTCCGTTGCACATTGTGAGCCACAAACAGCCAAAGGCTGTTTAAAGTCTGAGCTGATGATTCCTTTAGCAATACTTATAGTGGCTTACAGTTCCATGGGACAGTGACTGCTCTCTGAATTCTTTGTGGAATATGGAGAACTCCTTTTTAAAGAGAAAACAATTATGCAGATTCCCCTCCCATGTGACGATAATTGTAATTGTGGGGTGTTTTGATTGGAAAATTACATAGTAACCAAAAGCTATTATGAATTTTAAATTTTTTTAATTGTATATATTTGATTTTTCACAATAGCATGTACAAACATTTGAAAAATAGTAGCAGTATACAGATGCTTATGCTATTTTTTTTGTTGTTCAGTCTTTGTGTGTGGTGTGGAATTCCTAGACCACATGTTCCAACACCTCCGCCACTACCACCCCAACCCCATCCCAAGACCCACAGGGCAGGACCCGTCAGTATAAACCATGACTCAGTTCCCCTACTTTACCAACATTTGGCATCACTTTAGTTATTTTAGAGCATAATTTTGAAGAGTTGTTTATTTTGTCAGACCAAATTTTGAGGCTGCCTGAACGGCCTTTATTTTGTCGTTAGAACATTTGGAAACATATACCTGCTGTAGGCTGGTTTCAGAAACTGGCTTGTAAAACCTGAATTTGAGTAGCAGGTAAACAGGAAAATGTATAAACAATCATTTTCTAAAAGACCAGTACTGATTAGAAGGGTGGGAAGTGCAGCTTCCTTCTAAAGCTGACTTTGAGCCTCAGTAATGAATATTTTGTTTTGTTTTAGGTACACACTTTTCATTGTGCTGTACCCAATGGGAGTGTCAGGAGAACTGCTCACAATATATGCAGCTCTGCCCTTTGTCAGACAAGCTGGCCTATATTCCATCAGTTTACCCAACAAATACAATTTCTCTTTTGACTACTATGCATTCCTGATTCTAATAATGATCTCCTACATTCCAAGTAAGTAAACAGTTATGCGTATATTTAATTATGTTTTAAAATTTGGCTCTACAATAACTAAATATCTTTGACTGTCTTTGCACTATATCCAAGTAAATGTAAATCTCATTTATTGGGAATTCTTGGTTTTTATTGAATGCTGACTATCAAAAGGAATTTTTTTCCAGTAGTAATTGAATAAAGATGAACCCTTCTCAATACAGTTGCCAAAATGCAGCCCTTCTCAGCATGTGGGTTTGAAACTGAATACCAGGCTAGGTTAAGTATGTATTGGGGAAAGTACTGAATGGAAAACAAAAAAGCCATTAAAGGCCTTACCTTGATTGTAGTTTTCTGTGTCTTAAGAACTGCTTGTTACAGTATTTGAAAAACATGATAAAAAGATTTTTGCATTGGTTACTATATCAAAATAGACATTTAACTTCATTTTGAAGGGATTGGTAGTTAACTAGAAACATAACAAAATAATAATAGATTTATTTTTTTCTAAATTTTTCATTTTCTTGTTGAGCACTGATTGGGACACAGTGTTCTCTTCAAGATGGTTTCCAATTATTTTAATAGTACTGCTGAAGATTTAAGTATATGGATAATCAAATGTGCCTATCAGTGTATTCAGTGACAGAGAAAAAGACATGTTTGATGTCTCTGTGAAGTGAGCCCTACTTTCTGAGGATGAGGAGTTTAGTCCTTTGCTGGAATTCTGATGTTCAATTATAAATCCTATGATTGATTTCTATATACCAAAAGATCTTCTTATAACCAACGACATACAGTGTTAGTGGTTCTTCTCATTTTGCTATTTCTATAACCACTGTAACTCTGAATCTTATTTTAATCTAGAAAAGATACTGTATTCTTCCCTAAACCCCAGGTTAAATCAGACAGGGTTGGACTTCTCCTCATTGCATGGCATCATCGGAATGAATCACCCTAACAAAGCGACATGCTTGTGTCCCTCTGTGGAAAATTGCATTTCATGCATTGTGAGAAAAAAACTACATCCAGATTTCATGTGAGTGTTTATCTTGCAGAAATTCTTGGATACAGTTCTGCTTCATGATTCATTTTCCACTCTTTATTCATGTTGAGTCCTCTCTAGTGCTGGAATCATAGCGACCAGAGGCCATCTCTCTTCAAATGTAAAAAGTGGTTGATTTTCAAACAGATGATAAATGTGAAATCATCTAAACTACTAAGTAATAAAAATTAACTGGTAGTTTATCACCTTTCTAATTTTGTTTTTTTTTTTTAGAGTTTCATTTTCCAGTCTCTAGAGCAGCAGTTCACAGTTGCAGTTTTACCACACCCGGAGTAACTAACACATATTATCCCAGTGGGCACCACAGGCTTTATTTGAATTCACCATAGTCAAATGAATAGGAGATATGTACCATATTGGGTGACTGGGAAAGGGGCAGGGAGGTTTTTATGAAATCAGATCCATAACAAGCTGCTTCCACACTGACAAAAATCTAGGCGTTCTTACCTGAGAGTTCCTGCAAGACTTCCAACCTCTCTAGGAAGCAGGGCTTCCTTCCAGGAACCACTCCCCAGGGCAGCCTCCATCTGTCTGCATGTTTGTCTCTTTATGCTCTGGTAGCCAACCAGTGCTGAGCTTTGCCTCTTCCTTCTGAGCTCTTGGTGTAGTGGCAGTGCCTGGGTACCACACGCAGCCTCCATGATGATAGCGTTCCTGAGGGAAACCCACTCCTGTGAGCTTTTCATCTTGGTCTTGAAAGAGATAGAGGAAAGAGAAAACACTGACCCCAGAGCCAGCTGTCTTTTAGAGCAGCAGTCCCCACAACCTTTTTGGCATCAGGGACCGGTTTCATGGAAGACAGCTTTTCCCTGGGCGGTGGAGGGGATGGTTTCAGGATGAAACTGTTCTACCTTAGATCATCAGGCATTAGATTCTCATAAGAAACATATAACCTAGATCCCTTGAATGTGCAGTTTACAACAGGGTTCACACTTCTATGAGAATCTAAAGCCACTGCTGGTCTGACAGGAGGCAGAGCTCAGGCAGTAATGCTCATTTGCCCACCACTCACCTCCTGCTGTGCAGCTCTGTTCCAACAGGTGGCGGTTGGGGACCCCTCTTTCAGAGAGTAGGGAAGGACTCTCCTCCCAACAGAAGTCTGCTTTCTTTACCTTAAGTAATTCCCCCTTGCAGTCTCAGCCTCCTTTTGGTAAGAGAACTTGGCTCAGTTAAAGTCTAACATAATTTCTTTTTCTAAGGCAGCTAACCTCTTGTAGACCGGAGAAAAGGGTGGATCTCAAATAATGATTAAAAGATTCCCTGCAAACCATTGACTCCTCACCCAGGTTCAAGATGGCACACAGACTACCTCTCCTGATGCGAGTCACCCTGGTGCCTGCTGGCCTCACTGTGCTGTGGCCTGAGCCAGCAGCTCTGGATGTTCTCAGTGGTTCAGGTTGTTACTGTTGAGGCCAGAGTGTACAGTTCATTCTGGCCAGCTGCACATTTCCAACTTTCCAAAGCTTTGTATTTATCAGAAGAAAATGCAGAATTAGGAGAGGTTGCTGTTGACATGCAGTCTCCTTTACCAAATTTGGTTTTCTTTCTAAACAAGGTAGCGTTCTTTTAATCTTTAGTGGCAAGTTGATGATACACATGTATTATATAAAGTAACACCTCCTTTTCATGGGCCTCATCTGTTGTTGCGTTGTTGCACACATAGCCTAAATTGTGGCTCATGAGGCTTGACCCCAGGAGTTTCCTCATATTGGGGTGCCCTGGCCAGGTGCTCCTCTCCTGTTCTGCTGTAGTTGCAATATATACAGGATTAGTACAACACAGTCCCTGCAGGACTCAGTAGATGTCTAAGGCCTGTTTACATTCCACCCCCAAATTGGTGAAAATTGGTTATGGTGGAGGGAGCCAAAAAAGGGCAAGATACATTGATGAGGGGTGAGGACCTGGAGAAGCTGGCGCTTTCCAGGTTGTCAGTGACTGTAACCACACCTCTGATTTTTAGAGAAACCAAGGAGACTTGGCCCAGGCAGAGAGCATATCTGGTGCTGTCGTCCTCCACAGTTCTCTCCCCAGAGGGGAAGAGAGCCCCAAGAGGGCTGGCCATCTTCTTAAAGAAAGGAGGGCCCAGCAGCACCCACACCCCCCTCGTCCCCAACACACAGGGACTGTCACACACACGTGCCCAGCAGTGTCCCCATTCTGTGTTCCCTGAATTGGGACAGCAGAAGGTGGAATTCTCAATAGCCTGTTGTCGGGTTGAGGGGTTTTTTCAGTGCTATTCCTCAGTGTAGCTCATGTTGTTAAAAGTGGCAGCCGTGCATCTGAAAAGCTTTCAGTCTCATGGTCGGGTTCAGTCTGAACATGTAGGTGATTCAGATGGAGACAGAATCATAGTTCTGGTCAGCCAGAAGCCACTGCCTGAACTGTGGAGAATAGGCCAGACACCCTAGGCCCTTGGCCTCCCATCCACATTCCTTTCTCTGGGTACTGAGGAATCTCTGGGAGATGTAAAGGAGTGAAAGTGCCATCATCTGACCCTTCTGATAGGTGGCAGGCCCTGCCCATGGAAATGAAGGTCTGCGTGGCCATCTTCTTCCTTGAACTGCCACCAAGGGCTTAATGCATGACTTCCAGGTCATTCTCCTTCCCCGGGCCCTCTGAACCAGCTGTGAGACTGCAGCCACCCACTATGGGGTTGTGTGAACACAAATGCAACCAGTGGGAAGGTCTTGTGCATGCCCAGCTCACAGATTCCCTTCATTACAGTAAATCTATAGAAATGGGACTGGCCCCACATTTTTAAATGATTACCATTAACATTCCTAATGGTTTAATTATATCTTTACTTCCAGTTTTTAGATTATAGAGCTTGTCAGATTTTCTGGCTTTCGTGCCAAAATAGTTCTCTGCCTGTCGAATTATATGCTTAAGTGGGGTCTTTTCTGTGAACGACGTCCTGCCTGGCAGTAGCAATGGCGTGGATGGCAGCCCTGTTCCACGTGCTGCCTCCTCTGCAGGTTAGCAGATCTTTGTCACACACGCACTGGTGTCCCGGCGTACTTTGGGAGGATCATTTGAAATCTGGCCAGCTTGGAACCCATTTAAAAAGGAAGAAACTTGTCAGGAGAGAGTTGGGAGTAGTAGAAATTATCTTCCAAAAAATATTCGTGACAGTATAAAAAAGAGAGACTGGGCTGGGCTTGGTAGCTCATGCCTATAGTCCTAGCACTTTGGGAGGCTGAGGCGGGCACACCCCTTGACCCCAGGGGTTCCAGACAAGCCTGGGCAACGTAGGAGATCTCATCTCTACAAAAAATTCAAATTAGTTGGGTGTGAAGTGGTGTGCACCTGTAGTCCCAGCTACTCAGGAGGCTGAGTGGGGAGGATTGACTGAGCCCAGGAGGTCCAGACCATGAGCCAAGATCACACCACTGCATACCAGCCTGGGTGACAAAGTAAGACTCTGTCTAAAAAAATAATAACAATAAAATAGAGATTGGAGCTGTTGGAGAGATGAGGAGAGGAAGGATATTGTACAACAAAGAGCATTTTACCTGGAGTTGTTTACACACAGTAACCTTGTGAAGGCCAGGTGGCTCAAAGTGGTATTTCCTAGCAGGGACACTATAGGCATTTTGGGTGGGATACTTCTTAGTAGTGGGTACTGTCATGCATTATGGCATGTTTTAGCATCCCTGGTCTCATATGCCAAATGCCAGTAACCTTTCCCTTTCTCCCTTATTTCCAAATAGTCAAACTATCGAAATAGTTCCAAATAGTTCCGAGGGAGGCAGTACTATCCCATTCATTTGAGAACCAGTGCTTTCTAAAGTATTCTACAAAATGACCAAGAACAGAAGAATCCCCAGTGCCTAAGACACTGGCTTGCTTTTCATAAGGCCTTTTTTTTTTTTTTTTAACATCCAAACCTGGCTTAGTTGTGTTCAAAGCAAATGTTGTGGCATTCCTCCTCCTCCTCAAGTCTTTACCCGAAACTACTTCCCAAGAGAGGTTGCTCTTCCCAAAGAATCACCTGCCCTGGGACCATATGGGGCTAGGCTGAGGGTCAGGAGCCAAGAGCCTGGTCCCAACTCTGTCTGTGGCTTACTGTGAGACCCTAGGCAAGTTGCTTACCCTCTCTGGGGCTCAAATTCTTCCTCTTTGAAATAGGAATAATAACTTCATCACTAGAATTCTTCACCTGGTTGTTGTGAAGTTAATCAGAATAAATGTGGAGATAATACATGAATGAGCGTACAGAATATTATTTGGCTGTTCTGTGGCATCGATATAGGTCATGATAGTGACAATAGTGTCTGTCATTGTATTCCACACCACTTCTTCCCTCAGCTAAAGCAGGAAAAGAAAGGAGGTAAGTCTCTCTGTGTTTTTTCTTCCTTTCCCCAAGCCCACTTTGTTACCTTCCTTGGTTGCTGGATGAGAAATTAGTCAGAGGGTCAGAGAGGACCTCAACTTCATATGCTTTAAATAGAGCATATGCAATTTTAAACCATCCTCTTAACCAATTTTTCTTTTCTTTTCAGTTTTTCCCCAGTTATACTTCCACATGATACACCAGAGAAGAAAGATCCTTTCTCATACTGAAGAACACAAGAAATTTGAATAGTTCCTGCTTTCTGCACCTCCCACCAAAACAAACTTTTCAATGATCAAAAAATGCTGCAGATTTTTTGAGTTCCCAATACGTTTCATAGAAAATAAGTAAGAACTATTTTTAAAATATTCAAACAAAACTAAAACAAAAATCCAGTGTCACATGGGCCTGAGATTTTATTTTAGAAAAAGGTTGTTACATAAAACACCCTGGCCAGTTCATTTCAGCATGCTCTTTCAACCAGAAGTTCTTAATATTTATGATGGCACTAGAAAGGGATTTGGCATTTTATGTCCTTCTGTGTCCTTCATGTATCTGATCAATGAAGACCTGTAACACTAAGTACTTGAGAGTTACAGTCTGAATAATGAAGTCGTACCAGCTGAATAGCCCAGCTTGCAGTATAGTTATGTTTCAGTCTGCAGTGTGTTTAGCATTCCCTTGTCAAAGTGCTTGACTGCATGCTGGAAACTTTGTATTTTTGAAGCGGCAAACTCTGTTCTCTGGAATGCTCTGAAGTTATGGCTGGGACCTATCCCCTCACATCTAATGAATGAATTATAAAATGTATATGTCTATGAAGCTTCGGGGTAGTGCCTGTAATCAGAAAACAACTTAGAACCCTTTTGTTTGTTTCCAATTGAGTCATTACTGCCTGCCACTAAGAAACGTGCTTGAATCTAATAAGTATGTGTGTACCGTAAAGAATATATCTTATCTGGAGCTCAGCCTCAATCATGTCTTAACAAAATGACAGGTCTCAGAAAGGGGGAGCTCAATAGCTCAAAAGTGACAAGTCCTTTTCACAGCACCATTCTCAGAACACCTCTGAGTAACGTGTTTGCCAGTAGCTATTCTCACTGATGCACTGATGGCCCTGAAGAAGCGGATCCAGTCACATAGGAAAGGAGGCTGTGTTAGTGAAAGCACATGGAAGGTGTTGCTTTAGAAAGGTAGTCAGGAAAAACATTCAGGAATAGATTTATACACCATTATTGTTTTATTTTTAAATTTTCATTCACTCTTCTGTTTGGATACTTTTGCTAATTAACTTCCTATGTTAATTTCCACCAAGCTATAAGTCCATAGTCAGTAAAACATTCCCCTTGGGCTGTCATGAGCTAAAAGCAGTGTCATCTCCGCATGTTGGAGCAGCCAAGAAATAGTTTGGTACTACCGACATTGTCTAATCCATGTCACATCCTCATACAATTTAATTGCTCAACCATGCATTTAAAACTCCTCAAGAAAGGATTGGTACTGCAACTGTAGGTAAACTGAAAAAAAATAAGAAAGAAAGAGTTGGATGAAAATGTGAAAGCCCAAGTTTAGATGTGCATTAAGTATTAAATAGCACAGTATCTTCTTCATGGAGCCTTTTTTCCTCCCCCATCCCCTGCAGCTGCCTTTTTTTGGGGGCAGGGTGGGGGTTGATGTTGAACTTTAAGAGTTTAAAAGTTTAGCTTATTGAGTAGTTGTCATTTAAAATATAATTGCGAATATCAGAAAACTCATACTGGAAAACTAAATTTTTTTTTTCTCTTGAGACGGAGTCTCGCTCTGTTGCCCAGGCTGGAGTGCAGTGGCGCGATCTCAGCTCACTGCAAGCTCCACCTCCCGGGTTCACGCCATCCTCCTGCCTCAGCCTCCTGAGTAGCTGGGACTACAGGTGCCTGCCACCACACCCAGCTAATTTTTTTTGTATTTTTAGTAGAGACGGGGTTTCACCGTGTTAGCCAGGATGGTCTTGATCTCCTGACCTCGTGATCCACCCGCCTCAGCCTCCCAAAGTGCTGGGATTGCAGGCATGAGCCACTGCACCCAACCCCTGGAAAACTAAATTTTTAAGTGCTTATTTTTATAGAAGTTTGAAAATTTAATGCAGGCAGGTGTGTAATAAATTATTTTTGAATTGAACATTAAAATTCTGCTTCTTAAAGTCAGCACTCAACTTGGACATGTTGAAATTAGAATCTATTCTTGTATTTGATAGACAAAATATGTGGGAAAGATTTTTTGCATGACTTTTCTCTCATTTTATTCTTCCATAATGTATTTCTACTATAAAATAGAATCAACTTGGGTTATATTTGTCATTTACTTTGTTCTGTTAGATTTTTTCAGTTGTTTTTGGAAAAATTCTAGAAATCAGGATGAAAAATGCAGCTTTTCCAGGGTTGCTGGACTGGGGGTTTTATTTGGGCCTCCTTATTATAATTTGTCACTACTTATAAAAAACATTCTGTTGCAAACAGTGGTGTTGCATTGAATTGAACTTTGGCAATGAGAACACAGCACACAGCTCCCTTTTCAAAAAGGGTCTCAACCCCAGTGTGTATTTTTGTACATCAACATTTAGAATACTTATGGCAGATAAGTAAGGCATGTCACTGTGTCCTTCAGTAACCTCTCTCAGTAACTGGTTTCTTTATCCCTAACATGAATTCATTTCTCCTTTGAAGTCATTTATTATTTTATAAATTGAGAACAACCACACCACCAAATGTCACACCTTCTTATAAAGTGTGAACAAGGAAGGTCATGTTTTTGTGGGTATTTTGTCAGACTTAGAGGTTTCATTTCAGGGCATAGTCAAAGGCATCATCCTCCCAACTACCCACTTGATTATGTATTTCAGATCCCTCCGTGGGGGCCTTCTTCTGACAGAGAATTCTTTGAGGTCCGCAGTAGTGCTTTTGTCAGCACAGACTGCTAATCTACATCTTGCTGCGTTCTGTTTGCTGAGGTTGGGCTTATTCATTTAACACATACCAACCATTATCCAGAGGCACCATGGAGAGTTAGTCATGGAATAAAGCACTGTCCTTGCAGATGAAAAAAGTCTCCAGAGCAGACTTCTGACAGGAAAGGTTTAGATGCTGGAGAGTTGAAGAGGTGTAAGAAGAGATCGTGCCCTCATTTTTCACTTATTTTTTTGGTTATTCATTTATAATAAAAGGTTGGCATTGATATGGTACAACCTGCAAATTACTTGCAGTTCTGAGTTTCAGATAAAACATTATAAAACATTAAATTCAATACATACTGCTCCTTTGAAATTTGGGTAAAAAATTGTACAACCGTATATATAGTCATTTTTGTATTTTTTCTATGTTGTGAAAACCAAAATTGTAATTTTATAAGTCTTTGATTCACTAAAATTATATAATTTAAATGTATTTTTTGTATATTTAGAAATAAGGAGTCCAGAGACTACGCTTAACTTTCTATGCATGCATTTGAAAGCTGTTTTTACCTGATAATGTAGTAATAAGTTGTATTCATAAAATACTGATCTGTGTTGCATTTCAAAATAAACTGGTGTGTGCTCTGCCTGGATTTGAAATACCTACCAGTGAGTGCAGTGATTTTTCATAGTCAGTAGGCCTGAATGTGGTGTTGCAGGAATATGGGAGAATTTCAGTTCAATTATGGACTCCAGCTCTTTGACAATTTTAAAATCTAATTCTGCTATTCATAATGGTTCTGCACTTACAGGAAAGACAGATTATATTAAGAGGTTTCCAAAAAGTCCTTCCCTGCCAGTCAGTCTTCAGGCTAAGCCAGTCTGCAAGCTGGCTGCAGAGGGACAAGGGGTTCCTCATGCAAGTGACCAGGGAATCTAAGATATTAATCAGCATGGGGTTGAGGAACCTTGTCTTATAACAAGCTGGGGTTTTGTTAGTGTAACTTTTCTTTTTTTGTTTTGAGACAGAGTTTCGCTGTTGTTGCCCAGGCTGGAGTGCAATGGCACGATCTCAGCTCACTGCAACCTTCACCTCCCGGATTCAAGCGATGTTTCTGCCTCAGCCTCCCAAGTAGCTGGGATTACAGGCACCCGCCACCACACCTGGCTAATTTTTTGTATTTTTAGTAGAGATGGGGTTTCACCATGTTGGCCAGGCTGGTCTCGAACTCCTAACCTCAGGTGATCCACCCGCCTTGGCCTCCCACCACGCCTGGGATTACAGGTGTGAGCCACCACGCCCAGCCTGTTAGTGTAACTTTTCTAACAGAAGTTCAGCGGGAGATCCTGTTGCCCAGCACTGTTCATCTTACATTAAAGCAAGATGTGGTGAAGTTCAAGTACCTCATTCTGAAAATGCCTCCAAACACAGGAATCCCAGGAGTGGCCCCCCCTTACTCAGGCTCGCAGTAAGAAGTGGTGGGAAGGACACTGCCTTGGGGTGTCCTCCGCTGGGTCACAGCTGATCTAGCTCTAGGCCTCTGGTGCTGGGTATGTTCTAGTCACTTTTCCCAGTGACGACTTGATCATGGTGCCTGTAGCAGTGATGTGCTCCCCACCTGAGTCTGCCAGCTCTTTCTCAGATCATCACCACGGCCTAAGAGTGTGGTCTTTGTTCCAAAGGAGAACACTTCCCTTCTAAATGCCATCTGATCGCAGCCTAGATGTTCCCAGCTCAGAGGTTAGACCACCTCTCCTCATGTAGAGCCTATTCAGCTTCAGAGGTTGGCTTTTTCATTTATGAAAAAAGTATTGCAGCTGAAACTGCGGAACAGATGGTAAAGTTAATAGTAGAGGCTACTCAGAAAACACAACCTTTACAATGTTAGCATGGTAATGGAGACAAGGGCTTTCCAATTTGTCATTGTCATATTTTGTGGCAATTATGTGTACTATGTTAATATAAGCCTTAGCCTGGAGGAATTACCATTGGTATAATTAAGAGACCTACTGTTACACAGCATTCCAAAAATACTGCTGTGTTTTTCTATTCCCTTTAACAAGAATGAGGACTAGCTTTTCAATTCCTTTTATTATTGAAAAGAAAAAAATCCCAGCCTCACAAATAGCCTGGCTCATTGTCATACAGTTTAATGGTGAAGAAACTGTTCTAAGCAACTATTACCAAAATTAGCCATACCTATTAACATTTCTCTGCCTATAACAGAACCAGAGTTAGAAGAGAGAGCAGTGTGGTTATTTGACCAATACTTCTTTTAATTTAAAGATATATTAGTGCTATGAGGGCAAGTCTCAATACCAAAAATAATCCTTCCCACAAAAGGCAATTCACCCTAAAACCTCATTTGGTGAGCAAAAATAAGAATGTGAAAGGCTGTGTATATAAGCACCTAGAGTGCCCATTTCATAAATATTTTTATGTTTGGAAGTCACGCTTTCTGCTCCCTAATTCCAGAGCATAGACTTGTTACCATGGTAGTGCTTTCACATCTATCTTTGGCTTTGGGTGCAGGCAATCCAGATGTGTTTCCAGATGCTGCACTTGGTTAAAGCCGGGATCTGTATTTCCCCCTCGGTGTTGTCGTAGCCAGGCTTCCCCACTCGGGGGCAGCACCTCACAAGCGATTGGGGCCTTAAGAGCCAAAGGAGTTTGGGAAACAGCTTCATCCCAAGGACACGGAAAGGGGCAGAGGCACTCTAATGAAAATCAGTCACGGATCTTTTATTGTCCATATAAAGCAAAGACAGATTTTAAAGCATATTCTGGAGGAGTACAGGAAATAACACTTTTTTTGGAGCAAAGAAACCAGCTTGGGTGCGTGCTTCGAGGCTCAATCTATTTTCTCCCAGCTGCAGAGCCCTCCTCCCCATCGCAGACCCTGCAACTACTTGGTTTTGAAAAGCAGAGCGCTTTTGGAGCTGGCTTGCAAAGCAGGTGTCAGCCCTCCTGTTTCATGGAGAGCCTGCTTGTTCATATTTGAAACGTTCAGGGAGGCCAGTTCCCACTCTTATTCTGTCTCTGGATATTTTTGGAGGGTGGCCTGGGCCATGAGAAAATGTCAGGCCACCTTATAAGGCGGTGTCTGGACCAAGAATGCTTGTCTGCAGCATGTTCAGTCTATTCTGTGGATTTCAGTTAACTTGACTCTTGGACTGTGAGTTTTCTCACAGATTTAAAATGCTTCTGTTCATGCCACAGATTATTCTCACTCTTCAACAGGCTGAAAATCTTCCTCAAGAGATAGTTGTTTAAATGACAACCACTTTGGACATACCAAATGGATAATGTCCTTCACTAACCACAACTAGTTGATTGTGCCTGGGCTGATAGTCATGTTCAAGTGATTTGCTGACTTAACGAATATATGTTAAGGTGAAATCCACAGACTATTAGTTCTCAGTGATCATGGGAACATGGGCATGTTAGGGAGAGGAGTCTGTGGTTTAAAACACTGAAACAAAAATTAAAGTTTTCTCTCCTGCTAAATGTTTCAGATCTTTCTGTATATGAATGCAACCTCCAAGAGGAGTGTTAATGCAGGATTTTCCAAACCTGTTTTTCACCTTTATCTTTGACACGTCTTCAGGGCTAAAGTTCTTTGAACACACTTTGAAAAATACTAATCTATCGGTGGCAGCTGTCCCCATCAGGGAATATTGACCTATCCAAGGGGAAAAATGAGAGATGGGGGTTTAGCCTGGGCTCTAGGAAGATTTTTCCTTGTTCCTGCTCTGTTGTTTCTAGGGATCTTTTTTCTTCTTTTGAGGCAGGGTCTTGCTCTATAACCTAGGCTGGAATGCAGCGGCATGATCAGGGCTCACAGCAGCCTCAACTTCCCGGGCTCAAGCAATCCTCCCACCTCAGCCTCCCCCATAGCTGGGACTACAGGCATGCACCACCACACCTGAATAATTTTGGAGGTTTTTGGTAGAGCTGGGGTCTCAGTATGTTGCTCAGGCTGGCCCCAAACTCCTGGGCTCATGCCATCCTCCTGCCTTGGCCTCCCAAAGTGATGGGATTATAGGCGTAAGCCACCATGCCCAGCCCCTTGGGGCTTTAAAAATATATAGAAATCACCATCATCAAATAGGTAATTGAATTATTAGGCTGAGAACCCAGGTGTCGGCAGCACTGGCTGGAGGCTTCCACTTGATGTGAACTTGTCTGAGCAGACTGGGCTGGGACTGGCAGCACCTGTGGTGCTGTGATCAATCTGCTGGGCCTCACCCTGGGGCTGCCTGCCTGGGACACTCTCTGTAATTTCTTTTAAACTTCATCTTTCAATCTCTTACTCACTATCAGCCCAGGATATCACCCCCAATTTCACAGAGAAAACAGAGCCATCAGATAGTAATTCCTTCCACTTTTTTTGTCACCAGATCTATAAACTTGCCCATGCTGGGATCATCCTTTCCTTTTCCTGATGTTAGAATGGATGGGGTGACCTTTCACCAAAACTAATCCCTACCTTGTGCTCCAGATGTTTTTATCTTTCCCTTTCCTCACAGACCTCACTCTGTCAATTCTCCCTCTCTCTCTCTGTACTTCCTCTTTGCCAGCTCTTCCCATGTTGGCCTTGACCCCATATCCTCCACTACTTCCACCTCTCTCCTGTCCTCTGGAAGAGATACCTATGAAGCACTTCTTTTTTTGAGACAGAGTCTCACTCTGTCACCCAGGCTGGAGTGCAGCAGCACGATCTCAGCTCACTGCAACTTCTGCCTCCCAGGTTCAAGTGATTCTCTTACCTCAGCCTCCCTAGTAACTGGGATTACAGGCCTGCACCACCACGCCTAGCTAATTTTTGTATTTTTAGTAGAGACGAGGTTTCACTATGTTGGCCAGGCTGGTCTCGAACTCCTGACCTCAAGGGATCCACCCGCCGCAGCCTCCCAGAGTGCTGGGATTACAGGCATGAGCCACCGTGCCCAGCCCACTTCTCTCTTTCTTATCTGGCACTCTTCCTGTCTCACTCTAGCCTGGCTTTTCCTATCATCCCCCTCTGTTCAAGGTCACTAATGACCTTGTTATGAAAGCCAGTGCACACTTTTTTGTCTCTGTCTTGTGGTTGAAGTTGGCGTGCAGTCCTGCTGGGTGTTAGAAATAATGATACGGCTTTGGAGTAGACTGGGGGGCCCAACAATGCCCAGTCCCAGCCCAGAACTCTCATTTCTCCTCGATGCATTCCCAGTGGAGTTGTATACAAAAGAATCAATGGAAAGCAAGCAAACTCGTGTTGCAGTTAACTGGCTTGAGCCCTAGGGTAGGATTATGGTAGTCTGGGCAGAACCTCACAGAACACTCCTGCTTCCTAAACCAGTGAGAGGTAGTGGCTTCAGCACAGGAAACTGTGAGACCTGCTCAATTCACCTCTCACCCGACCCCATCCCACTCTCCATCCTAGCACTTAGCTCTTATCCACTGAAATGGGGAGAAAGGCTGCTCCGACACCCCCAGCTCCGGGACAGAAATTCATAAAGATTGAGTGCATGTGCCGCCATGCTCGGCTGGTGGGGGCCAGGGCCAGGAAGGACAGGAAAGCATCCAAGAAGAGAGCCCACCCCGCTCCACTTACCACTTAGGACTGGAGAGACAGAAGAGGGAACCACACCCCTGTGCACAGACCTCTTAATGCCCATTGGCTCCATCACTCCCACTAGCAAATGCAGCTCCATCACAATC
Organism: Homo sapiens; assembly: GCF_000001405.40. NCBI lineage: Eukaryota > Metazoa > Chordata > Mammalia > Primates > Hominidae > Homo > Homo sapiens. Next base: position 123,486,509 of record NC_000003.12, on the reverse strand, counting down.
TCAGAACTGAACATTAAGATCAACATTCCTCTTCCTTAGGGAGGAACGAAGATGTGTTGGAGAAGGATGAAGATGGACTTTGGAATCCTTCCCAGGAAGCCAACATCTTTCCTTCCCATCAGCCAGCCATCTTTCCTGAAATGACCTTTTCTTTTGAGATCCTGTTCTTTTGGTTCTCTCCTGCCTAAACCAACCTTTCTCTGTCTCCCCTGCCAACCCCCCAACTCAGAGGTTCTCAGACTTGAGTGTGCACCTATGGCGCTGGTTAAAATCAGATTCCTGGACCTTCCCCAGGCCTTCTGAATCTGAATCGCTGGAGACAGAGCTTGGGGTTCCATTTTTAGGCACACTCCATGGGTGATTCTGATGCAGGGGCTTCTGGGTTAATTTGGGGGAACATTGCCTTAAAGGTGCCTGATCCTGAGGGTTTTGTTCAGCATCTCCTCTCACTTCGAACCCCAGACCCCTGACCAGTGGTCCCCAGAGCATATCTGGCCCACAGATGTATTCTGTTCTGCCCACATTGTATTAAAGTGGAACCAGTTATAAACACTTTAAAACTGAGAGACATCATGTAACCATCTAAGAAAAATCAGAAGGTGAGGCTGCAGGAGTCCACACTCCTACCTGTCAGGCATCCGCAAGGACCAGGGGGAGCTGCCCCACTGGATGGAGCACTAGGGAAAGGGTTCAGCTTAGGCCCCAGTGCTTCCTGTCCAGAGACTCTGGTTCAGCCCTGTCCCTGCCCAGCCAGCCTTGCAGGTTTCTGAAGCAGGCGCTGGAGAGGAGCAGCAAGGCTCCCGTGGCTTCCAGCTGCATCTCCATGCTGGTGGCTCAGGCCTCTGTCTAAGCCTGCATCATTTCAGACTTCTCCTGGCCATCGCCACTGAGGTATGCCATGAGCACCAAAGGCTCAACCTATCCAAAATGAAGCACCCTCCTCTTCCTCTGCCACCAATCTTTTCTTCCTCTTCCTCCTCCTGCCCTCCTCCTGTCTCCCCCACCTCGCTGAATGGCATCCCATCGTCCAGTTGCTCAAGTCAAGAACTTGGGAGTCACTTTTCCTCTTCTGCTCCCTGATTGGCCCCGAGCCCCCTTCATTTTGAATCAGTAGCTAAATCCTGTTGATTCTGTCTGCTGAGGATGGACTGAATCTATCCAATCTATCAACTTCCCTCTTCCACTGCCTCCTTTCTTGTCCACGCCACCATCATCTCTCAGCTGGATGGCAGCTGAAGCCTCCTAACCAGCCTCTCACCTTCCACTTCTGGTCTCCCGAATTCATTCTCCATACAGCAGCCAGAATCAACTTTTAAAAATGCAAGATGTAGCCAAGCGTGATGGCTCACGCCTGTAATCCCAGCACTTTGGGAGGCCAACGCGAGCGCATCACTTGAGGTCAGGAGTTTGAGACCAGCCTGGCCAATGTGGTAAAACCCCATTTCTACTAAAAATACAAAAATTAGCCAGACATGGTGGCACATGCCCATAGTCCCAGCTACTCAGGAGGCTGAGGCAGGAGAATTGCTTGAACCCGGGAAGCAGAGGTTGCAGTGAGCAGAGATTGCGCCATCGCACTCCAGTCTGGGCGTCACAGCGAGACTCCATCTCAAAATTTAAAAAAACCCAAATGAACAAAACGAAATGTGAGATCATGTTTTCTCCACTTAAAAGCCTTCAGTAAGTGTGTTGTTCTTGGGGTAAAGTCCAGACTCCCAAACATGAGCTAAGACCTTCATCGACCTGTGCCTGCCTGCCTGTGTCCCTAGCCCCTCCACTCCCCATCCTGAGAAAGCCTATCAGGCTCTCAGGGCGCTTGGCTGTCACATCCTGGCTTTTGTACACCACATTCCCTCCACTTGGAAGACTCATTCCCCCTCCACCTTGCTAATTCATTTCCATCCTTCAGGTGTGACTGGGGCCCCCTTCTCCAGGAAATACCTGCCCCAGGTCCCAGAACTGGCTATGGTGCTCCTCCTAGATGCTCCCACAGTGCCAGGGTTGTCAAAACAAATAAGCCCAGCTAAATTTGAATTTCAGACAACAATGAAGAATTTTTCAGCATAAGTGTGTGTCCAGCAACATGTTTAATAATTTGCCAGGTGCAGTGACTCACACCTGTAATCCCAGCACTTTGGGAGGCTGAGGTAGGAGGATCACTTAAGCTCAGGAGTTCAAGACCAGCCTGGGCAACATAGTGAGACCATGACTCTACGAAAACATAATAATTTTCTTAAAAACACTTTAGGCCAGGCTCGGTGGCTCACGCCTGTAATCCCAGCACTTTGGGAGGCCAAGGTGGGCGGATCACAAGGTCAGGAGATCGAGACCATCCTGGCTAACATGGCGAAACCCCATCTCTACTAAAAAAATACAAAAAATTAGCTGGGTGTGGTGACGGGTGCCTGTAGTCCCAGCTACTCGGGAGGCTGAGGCAGGAGAATGGCGTGAACCTGGAACCTGGGAGGCGGAGCTTGCAGTGAGCTGAGATCACGCCACTGCACTCCAGCCTGGGCGACAGAGCAAGACTCCGTCTCAAAAAAAAAAAAAAAAAACACTTTAAATAATTTGCTAACTTGCTCTGTGACAATGAGCATGTTTCCCCATCACAGTCCTCGTTGCTCTGTGACAATGAGCATGCTTCCCCATCACAGTCCTCGTTGCCGCCTCTTACCTGTTTGCCCACCAAGGACGGAAAGCTCCCCAAGGGTAAGAACTTCATCAGGCTTGCTTCCCACTGTATTCTCAGGGCCCAGCCTTTCACTGGGGTTTGGGAGATGTCAGGAAGCTCATAAACAGATGATTAAATCAGGTAGTTTAACGGACTGTGAAGAAACCTAGAAAGGCAATGTGTTAGAAAGTGTGGTCAGATGAAGTCTCTCTGAGGAGTGATTCAGGATTTGAACCAGATCTCACTGACCCCAAAGCCCACAACTGTTTCCCTCCACCAGGGTCAAGCCTCATTTGTGGCAGAATATCATGTGAGTTGCCCACCAAGGCAGCCTCTCAAAGGTTGCAGAAGCTCCTTAGAGACTGGAGGCCTCTCTGAGCCCTTGGGGCTCCTGACAAGCACGGTGAATGTGATAAGACGTCGAGGTGCTGGGAGGACCCCACCTCCTGGAGCCCAGGCTGCAGCACCATTCCATGGCTGCTGTAGTCAGAGCACTGGGCATCTGAGCTCCAAACTTTCCTGACTTTCCTGGGACCCAGCATCACCCTCGGGTCCCGGTCATTAGCAGAGCTGCTGGCAGCTCGGAGTCTGCTCACAAGATTCTCACAGGCCTCCAGGTCCTTATCTGCAGCATCCTGGGACCAAGCCCCCTCCCCAGGGCTGGGCTGGGTGGGCCATGCCAGGGGCACCTCTGCCCACAGCCTAAAGCCTACATTGCCTATGTTTCTTTGGGTCATTGCTGCCTCTTCTTCCCAGCATTAGGGCAGCTCATCAAGCCCCAGCTTTCCCTGAAAGCCCTCCTGGGCCCGGCAGCACACACTGACATTGCCTGCCCACAGCTGGGGCTGCTTTACCTCATGCCCAAAGTAAGCCGAGGAGCAGCCCCACCCGCTCCACGGAAGACTGCCCCTACCCGCTACAGCACCACAAGCCCCCAGCGCACATCGTACCTGAGGGAACTATGCCATCTCAGGCGTGGAAGGGGCCTCAGAATGGCGTTGTCACCTCCAGTCTCCACTTGTACAGAGTTGGAAACTGATGCCAAGAGGGATAGGGGCCACTTGGCTGGGCACGGTGGCTCACGCCTGTAATCCCAGCACTTTGGGAGGTCGAGGTGGGTGGATCACAAGGTTAGGAGATCAAGACCATCCTGGCTAACATGGTGAAACCCCATCTCTACTAAAAATACAAAAATTAGCCGGGCATGGTGGCAGATGCATGTAGTCCCAGCTACTTGGGAGGCTGAGGCAGAAGAATGGCTTGAACCCGGGAGGCAGAGCTTGCAGTGAGCTGAGATTGCGCCACTGTACTCCAGCCTGGGCAACAGAGGGATAGGAGCCGCTCCTCATCCCCCCACCCCACCCTACAGCCTGCAGGATGGTGTGCAGGGCATTTCAGGGTAAGCCAAGTAGGTAACTTCCTACTCCTCCAGGGACCTGAGCTTGCTGCCAAGGCAGGCAGAGTCAGGGCTGCCCACATTGTGATCTCAGGTGGGGATTTTCCGGGAGATTGTGGATTTAGGGGGGACCCTCCCAGGCCCTGAGAAGGATGTCGTGAATACTGCCGCGAATAAGCTTGGAGGACACAACCAGGGGGCCGCTGTTTCAGGCAGCCCGGGGAGGACCGAGGGCAACAGAAAGAGGGAGGTCCACCAGGAGTTTCCAGTAACCCCTCTGGAAGCTTGTGGTTGCACAGCTTAATCTGGGTCTGTGAGGGTTTTCCCAAGTTTCCTACATGTATTTACCCAAGAACTGATATCTGTGGGCACCTTCCAGAAGGCCCAGTTCCTGCCTCAGCCACTCTCCCCTAGTCAGAGCAGCATCCTGAGGCGCAGCCTACAGATACGGAGTCCAAGGGCTTGCCCAGCCTCCTGTCAGGAATGTCAATCCCAAGCCAGGTGGCTGTTTGGCTTGCCTGGTATATTTAGAAAAGTCAGGCTCCCTGCTCCCTTACAAAGTGTGAACTGCACCTATCACATGGAAATGTGATTCACTTCTCAGCAGCCCAGCTGAGCGGCTTCCACCGCCCCCAAGCATCCCTCCTCCCTGCCTCCCTCAGCCCTCTCTGCACGGGTATCCTCATATCCTCCAGTGGAGCTGAAGGCCCTGCCCCACTGTGACAGGGAAGGGCTGGTGGAAGGCACCTCAGTGGTCAAAGGCAAATGTCCCTTTTGCATTTTCTGGTAGCAATGCATTGGTCTTACTCTGTTTCCTTCTCTCTGGAAATCTGGATGCTTTCTTCCTCAGAGTCCTCAATTCTCACCGCCCTGACACACACACACTCTGCTCCTCCTGGGGTCTTGAGAAGCCCTGGATTGACTTGCAATCTGACCATGAGCCCCTCATGTAAACAAGTGGCATAAAGCAGAGGTTGTATCCTGGCAGCCAGTAGGCTTTTCGTTTTTGTTTTTGTTTTTCTTAAAATGATATTTTAAATTGTTTTGGTTACCAGCGTTTTAAAATTATGAGAGTTCACATTTTAAAAAATGAATTTCCTGCTTCTCTTGAAAGAAGATGTGGCACTCCGGCAAGCCTGGGCCTGGTTCCTGCACGCCTCGGCACACCCGCGGGGACTGAGTGGAGGCTGTCCCCTTTCTACAAGTGGGTTCTCCAGGTCACCTCACCAGGCCTGTGCATTCATTTGAGTTCCCTGCCTGGGCCTTGGAGATTTCTGGATTTAGAACTCCACATACCTGGGACCTTCCATTCCAGCAGAGATAGAGCAGAGACACCCCTAGTACCATAGGGCCTCATTTCTCCTTTTCCTCCCTCGGTTTCTCACTCTTCACTCTTCAGTCTTCTGAGTTATCTCCCTTCTTCTCGCACCCCTCTTGAGTACCCTGTATCATTGACTTATGTGGTTCTATTTTTGCCCAATACCAATCTCCCAGCCCTTCCTTGCCTGGTTCCTTGGAGACAGAGCCTTGTGATGCTTTGGAGTTGGGCGTGAGTTCGATTCCTGCTCCACTTTTTGTCTTCACCACTTTCCTGAGCCTCTTTCACGTAAAAAATAGAGAGAAAATGATACCTCGTTTGCAAGGTTGCCCCGTTCCCTAGCTCATGAAGTGGTCAAAGACAGCTGAGTTTGTTTCAGTGGAGAGCAGAGACTGTGGCCTCCTCTCCTGGCCCTGCAGAAACCTCAGCCACTTCCCCATTCTGTGGTCCCAGGACATAGCACGTGTGCACAGGCTACCCCCAGTGGGGCCCAGAGGTGCCAATGCCTCTGACACTTGAGGACAGGAACTCCCCTAAGTGACAAGCCTCATCGGGCTGCTAGACACTAGTCAGGCCCAGGCTGGGCTCCACCCAGGAGTCACCCAGGATCTCAGGACATGCTTCCCCCTCCTTCCCCAAAATCCCCAAAGCCAGGTGTCTGCCCCTGCCCAGGACCACAGGGAATACTGCTGATACTGCTCAGCATGTACTGTGCCAAGCACTGTTTATATTTTTCATATGCGTTAACTCCTGAAATTATCCCAATAATTCTACAATTTCAACACTGTTAGACTCCCATTTTACAGAGGAAGAAACAGGAATCGTTGAGGAAAGGTTAAATAACTGGCGCAAAATCACCCAGCAGGTGAGTGGTAGAGCCTGGCTATAAAGGGAGGCTGTGGAGTTCCAGAACTTACACCTTTCATGACTGTGCTAATTATACCGCTTTTACTGTAGCTCCCAGACCACGGTGCCCCGTGCTGAGCATTCAGCCCCTCTCTCGCCATCTTGAATCACTTCAGCTGCCGCAGCCCAGCCTGGCCCCCAAGCTGGTTACCCATGAGCACCGCGTCATGGCAGAGCCCAAACAACACCCGCAATAGGCAAATACCTGGAGATAGAACTCTCGTTTTGAAGTCAATCTTTTGATCACACAGAGAAAGTAAGTGCTCAACAATGAAATCCTCTTCCCTTTGTTGTCACAAACATAAAGCAACCCATTCAAGTGCCCACAAAATGATAAAATCCCCGCATCTCTATTCCTCATTTTTGCCGTCTTGCTCAGTGCTAGCCTTGAGGGCCTGATACAGCTCCTTCTGCACCTGCAGGCTGGGTCCCTTTCCCTTGGGACTGGCGGGCTCCTTCAGCCCCTCCTAGGGACACTGACACCAACCTGACGCTCACAAAAAGAATTCTCAGAACCTGACACAATGGAGCCGTGTTGTTTTCTTGCTTAGACCCTGGCAGAAATGTAATAGCTACCCTGGGAGGGGAAGGCATGCCAGGCAGGGACCAGTAGATGGAGAATCTAAGCAAAGAAGGGAGGAAATCCGCTTGCATTCTGCCCTGACAGGAGTCCAGTCCTCCTCAGCCCTACAAAGGCCCTGAGCTGGGCAGCTGGCCCTCCGTGGGGGTAATTCCCACTGAGAGGTTGGTGGAGCTGCTCAGCACACTCACGGGCTTCTAGACCTGCACCTGCGTGTCCCTGTGGTCCATTAGTTCCCAAGCCCAGGCGCTCAGGGGCCCAGGAAACATGATATGATTCTTTTCCACAGGCTTCCAAACCTTGCCCGCCCTCATCCTCAGGTTCTCCAGGTCCTGGCTGCTGCTCTCACCTCCCATGAGAGCACCAAGTCTCCTTCCTGCTACCGCAAGACTTGACCTCCCTAGAAAAAAACAGCCAGTCCCCAGCCGTCTCTTGAGAATCAGGACAAAGAAGCGAAAACACAAAAACATGGTGGAGACGCAGAAACGTGCCCTTTGCCCAAGTCCCGCCCCCTGGCCTGCCCCAGCACTGTCCACCTGAAAGCCCTGCCTGCCCCAGCACTGTCCACCTGAAAGCCCTGCCTGCCCCAGCACTGTCCACCTGAAAGCCCTGCCTGCCCCAGCACTGTCCACCTGAAAGCCCTGCCTGCCCCAGCACTGTCCACCTGAAAGCCCTGCCTGCCCCAGCACTGTCCACCTGAAAGCCCTGCCTGCCCCAGCACTGTCCACCTGAAAGCCCTGCCTGCCCCAGCACTGTCCACCTGAAAGCCCTGCCTGCCCCAGCACTGTCCACCTGAAAGCCCTGCCTGCCCCAGCACTGTCCACCTGAAAGCCCTGCCTGCCCCAGCACTGTCCACCTGAAAGCCCTGCCTGCCCCAGCACTGTCCACCTGAAAGCCCTGCCTGCCCCAGCACTGTCCACCTGAAAGCCCTGCCTGCCCCAGCACTGTCCACCTGAAAGCTCTGCCTGCTCCAGCACCGTCCATCTGAATAGTCCAGTGGCACTGGAGGTGTGGACCAGCCTGCAAGGGAGTCTCTATTCTTCCCGACAGGACAGGCAGCCAAGCTTGCTGCTGGCCTAAAGCCCTGAGACTCCTCCCCAAAGCAGGAGCCCAGCCTTTTCCTGTCTCTCCACTTAGGGGGCTCCCTTAGCCCTAGGACTGCCCCTACTGAGTGACTCTTGAAGTCAAACTGTTGCTGGTGGCCCAGGCACACACTAGTGGGAACAGCCTGCTGTTCAGGGAAAGGATCATCAGCTCATAGGGTTCTTGTTTGTAGTGCATTAAAGCAAGTCTGGGACCTGGTTCACTGGGTCATTGATTTTTACCCTGGGGAAAGGGGGTAGCCTTACCCTTCGTTGATATGGAACTGAAAGACCTCTGTTGTGGGGAGGGAGAAAAAGAGATGGTGATCATTCACAGTGATTCAAGACAATGATTCTCCAGAGGAGAGCTTGTTCTACGGCTTCTGAAACTAAGCTACAGGCAGGGCCATGCTACCCCTGAAGGCTTTAGGGGGAACCCTTGCTTGCCACTTCCAGCCTCTGGAGACTCCAGGTTTCCTTTGCTTCCAGCAGCTTCACTCCAGTGTCTGCCCCTCCCTTCACATGGCATTCACCCCTGTGTCTCTGTGCCTTAAATCCCCCCTCTCCTTTCTTCTCTCTCATGGGAACGCCAGTCATTGCATTTAGGGCCTACCCTAAATCAAAATTATCTCATCAAGAAATGAGTATGTAATCTCATGATAAGATCTTAATATCTGAAAATGAGATCTCCATCCTTAATTATATTTGCAGGCCTTATTTCCAAATAAAGTCACAGTCACAGGGACCAGGGGTCAGGACCTAGACACATCTTTTTGGTGGGAACAAAACTCAACTCACTACACCCTGTTTCCTCCTCTAAAAATGAAGACAATAACATCTGCCTTACCGCGTGATTTCAAAGGTTACATAGGTCAGCACACATACGGTTCTTAGAACAGCACCTGGTGCCTCATAAGTGCTCAATAAATGTGAGCTATTATTACAATTCCTCTGCCACCTGCCAAACTCCTCCTCACCCTTCAAGATGCAACTCAATGAAACTTGCTCTGAGCTGTCTCCCAACCCCTTTCTTCTCACCCAAGTGAAAGCGCTGCCTGCACATCTGCTTCCGCGGCCTTTGTAGACGCCCCTCTAGCATGGGCGTCGGGATGAGCTGTATAGAGGCTGTTTCCTCTCCCAGCCTATTGGCTCCTTTCGATCAAGAACTGGATCTTATTCATCTCTCTCTCTCTCTCTCTCTTTTAAAATAACCCTTTTTGAGTCCTACAAAAATATCTTGGTCACGAGCAATAATATGTACGTGTATAGAGACATCACAGAGCAAGAATATTTCATCATCATACACCCAAATGTTTCACAGTTTTCTCCTGATAATCTAACTGGTATCCTTCACCTTTGTCCCTCCAGCACCTGCTGCAAAGCCTGGCACATCGGGGAGGAGCACACAGAGTGCTTGATCATTGGAGGAGGAAGGCAGCCTGAGGTCAGAGCAGACACAAAGGGGCAGCTGAATGGAGCCAAAGGACACCCCCACGGTGGGGGGATGTGGGCAGTTTCTGAGGTTGATGAGAGGATGAAAGGAATGGCCTGGGGCATAGGGGCAACTGAGGCACGACAGATGAGTGTCAGCATTGAGTGTGCTTGAATGCTCCCTGGCATCAGGTAAACTCTCAGCCCTGATCCATGGCCAGTCTAGGGGCACTAAGAAGACAAAAAGAGGAAGGCTGTGACCATGGCCTGGCTGTGTGAAAGGCAAATCAGCTACCTTTGTTTTTATCGGCTGTTTATTATTTATGACTAATTACCATGCAGCAAAAAGCGGCTACATATATAATTACACGGCAGATTGATTTTGTTATTAGCTTCTTTTAATTATGCTGCTGATCTCTGTTTCCTAAATCTTCACTACCCAAAAAACAAACACAAAAACAAAACAGCCAAAAATAGAAGTCCTACTGCCCGCCTCTGCTTTCACAGCTGGGCAAGGTAGGTGGGATCCTGGTTCAGTCTCCACAATGGGATCAGTTCCTCAGCCAGAGCCGCTACTGTGGCTGTTGTTAAGAACTATGTTGGGCTGGGCATTGTGGCTCACGTCTGTAATCCTAACACTTTGGGAGGCTGAGGCGGGCGGATCACCTAAGGTCAGGAGTTTGAGACCAGCCTGGCCAACATGGTGAAACCCTGTCTCTACTAAAAATACAAAAAATTAGCCGGGCATGGTGGTGCATACCCATAATCCCAGCTACCTGGGAGGCTAAGGCAGGAGAATCGCTGGAACCCGGGAGGCGGAGGCTGCAGTGAACCGACATCACGCCACTGCACTCCAGCCTGGGTGACAGAGCAAGACTCCATCTCAAAAAAAAAAAAAAAAAAAAAAAAAAAAAAGGAACTATGTTGTACTGAGCACTTGCCGTGCTGGCTGTCTCACAGCACAGCAACCCTGCTAATATCCAATGAACATGCCCGCTCTGTAGAGGCGCCTCTAAAAGCCTCGGATGGAGTCATTCCCTTGGCTGGGGAAGGGGTCCTGGGCTCCAAAGGTGGGAGAAGCTCCAAAGTTCAAAGCCCCTCCAAGTGTCCAAGTTCACTCCCATGGGGTCCATCCTGCCCCCACTCGGGCCAGCGGCTTGCTCATCTGTGAAACCCACTTGTTTTTCACCCCTGCCTTCCTTACCCTCTCTGGTTCTTTGTATCCTGTCCCTGGTCCCTGCAGTGACAACCATGTGAAAATGGACTCCTCGGGTTCCAGCCAAAATAAGAAGACAGGAGGAGGCAGGGAGCCACAGAGAAAAGCCAGGCAGGTCTGCAGCAGGTTTAGAGGAGGTGGAGGGAGCTAATCCAGATAGTGAGACAACCAAGGGAGTGAACTCATTGATCTGGAACTTGTAAACGAGCTAAACCCACAAGGCATGGTCAGCATGTGTGTGCATCAGAGAAGCCATCTCTGGGGCGCCCCGATAACTTCCTTCATTGGAGAGGGCTCCTCACTCGCTGCAGGGATCCTTCCCTCTCTCCCTGGTTAATTCTCACCTGTCTTTCCGGTTTTCTCTCAAACATCACCTCTCCGGGAAGCCTATCCCAGGAGCCCTCTGTGTCCGACTCCCCTGGAAATGTTCTGTTGCTCTATGTTTTTCCCTCTGAGTCCTGGCACAGGCATCCCTAAGTGACTGTGGCTAGTAGTTCCGGTTCTGCCTCATTTCCTCTCAGAAGGGAAGCTCCGAGAAGGCAGCGATTCTTGACTTGTTCAGCGCTGTCTCCCGAGCACGCGCATCGCGTTAGGCACGTAGTAGGCACTCAGCAAACATTTGTCAAGGGCACAACTCGAGTTGGAAATATGGGAGGAGTAAGTCCAGGTGGAAGGAAAGAAATGTGAAAAGTAGACTTTGCCTTGTGGCTTGCAAGGCCTTTCCCCTTTTAGGAATTGCTCGGCCCACTTAGGAATTTCACAGGAGCATGGAATCCTCCAGCCACGGGCAATTTCCTCACTGCGTCCAGACTCTTCTGCTGTTCTCCTCAAAGAGCCCTGCAAACGAAAACTCCTCAGCTTTCCTTCCACGTTGCTTGTGACAGAGACTTATGCTGTTTGCTGTTAGGAAGTTCTTTTCTGAGTTTGACTTTATACTTTGCATCCCATTTTCAATCCCTTTTCCCTCTTTTGAACGCAGACTCACAGTATCAGAACTTCACGGGAGCTTACAGATGATCTAAGAAACTTTCGAGCCTTTGTTTCCTAAGCAGGAAAATCCCTTTTCCCAGTTAGAGAATCTCATCTCTAAAATGTGAGGCTGATGAAAGGGAAACAGTTCTGATGGATGTAACAGGTTGGGAGCCCTTTCAGGGCACCCCCAGGAGCTTCAAGGAACCCAGTGTGAAAACCACTGATCAGGTCCAAGCCTGATACTTAGTGGATGAGAAAATTCAAGAAGGGAAGTGATCTGTCCCAGCCAGATTACAACTCACCTTTGCCATCCTTAAGTTCACAGCCCACATCCACCTCAGTGAAAATGATAAAGTTTGGGGTGCTCTGCAGATGAACTTTTTGAATAAGTATGTTCCAGTGTCATTTGGGGGCTACGTGTTTTTGTTTTCCCTTTTGTGATATTTCATACTTCAATATGCCAAAAAAACTCAACAAGAAGTTGGCAAAAGAAGTTATACAAGCATGTTTCACAAATATCCAAATCTTTGAATAAAGATGGTCATCACAATTTCCCAAACATTTCCACATAGGGCTGCAGAGTAAGGCCCATCTTTTTTGTGTTATTTACTCATTTATTTCTTTTGGAGCACATTTGAAGCACAAACCATGCCATTGCAAGAAAGATCCAACTGGAACGAGAACTGGCGGGGACTCGTTTGTGCTGAGACTCATTAAGTTTCCCAGCCCCAGGGATTGGGGATTTTCATGGAATCAATTTCCTTCTTGGGACTGTTAACATAATCCCTTCACTGGAGAGTCGAGGGTCCTGCCAGCAGCCAGCACAGTGGGTCTGCTGTGGGCCTCTGAAGGAGAACATTCCCAAGGACCAAGAGGAAGGGCCAAGCCTCTTAGATGTCCCTCGATTCACAAGCTCTTCATGCCACACCCTCACCCTGCCCTCCACCTTCAGCCAGCTCCCAGACTCCAGGGCAGGGAAATGGGATGTCTCCGATGAGCAGGATCCATAGCAGTGCCCTGTAACAGCTATTACAGATCACTCATCTGCCACGTGCCGCCCTTCAAACATCAGTCAATGGGTTGGGTGCAGTGGCTCACGTCTGTAATCCCAGCACTTTGGGAGGCTGAGGTGGGAGGATTGCTTGAGGCTGGGATTTAGAGGCCAGCCTGGGTAACAAAGCAGGACAACATCTCTAAAAATAAAAATTAAAAAATTAAAAAAAAATCTGTTGACGTATCATGTTGTGGATGCCATTTTTTAATTAATTAATTAATTTATTTATTTTTTGAGATGGTGTCTCGCTGTGTCACCCAGGCTGAATGCAGTGGCGTGATCTCAGTTCACTGCAACCTCCAGCCTCCAGATTCAAGCAATTCTCCTGCCTCAGCCTTCTGAGTAGCTGGGATTACAGATGCCTGCCACCATGCCTGGCTAATTTTTGTATTTATTTATTTTTTTTAGTAGAGATGGGTTTTCACCATGTTGGCCAGGCTGGTCTCAAACTCCTGACCTCAGGTGATCCACTTACCTCAGCCTCCCAAACTGCTGGGATTACAGGTGTGAGTCACTGCACCTGGCCCATTTATTAAGCCTCTAGTATTTGCCAGGCACTGGGCCAGTCCATCTAATCCTGACAGCAAGGAATGACAACATTGGTATCTCCATTTTGCAAAGGTGAACACTGATTGTCAGAGGAGCTTGAGCCAAGTATTATTTCACTTAATGTTTGCATACATTAGGTTGGGCAAGGTGGCTCACGCCTGTAATCCCAGCACTTTGGGAGGCCAAGCCAGGCAGATCACGAGGTCAGAAGATCGAGACCATCCTGGCCAACATGATGAAACCCCATCTCTACTAAAAATACAAAAATTGGCCGGGCATGGTGGCACATGCCTGTAATCCCAGCTACTCGGGAGGCTGAGGAAGGAGAATCGCTTGAACCAGAGAGTCGGAGGTTGTGGTGAGCCGAGATTGCGCCACTGCACTCCAGCCTGGTGACAGAGCAAGACACTCCACCTCAAAAAAAAAAAAAAAAAAAAGTTTGCATACGTCATTTCATCTAATACTAATAATGGCTGTTATTGCTCGAAGACCTTCTTCTTCATGATTGTATACTTGTTTACTCCTCACAATAACCCTATGAAATTAGGTATTATTATCATTTTCATCTTTCATATGAGAAAACTGCGGCCCAGAATGGTTAAGAATCTACTGGGGTTAGGCATCCCTCAGCTTTCTTATCAGTTCAGGGTAGTCTCAATTCAGTCCAAGCAGCATTGACTATGTTTCTTCTGTGCAGGGGAAGCAGTATAGGGGAGTGGTTAAGAGCACGGATGCGGCCGGGCACAGTGGCTCACGCCTGTAATCCCAGTACTTTGGGAGGCCAAGCCGGGTGGATCATTTGAGGTCAGGAGTTCGAGACCAGCCTGGCCAACATGGTGAAATGCTGTCTCTACTACAAACACAAAAAATTAGCTGGGCGTGGTGGTGCACACCTGTAGTCCCAGCTACTCCAGAGGTTGAGGCAGGAGAATCACTTTTATCCAGGAGGCACAGGTTGCAGTGAGCTAAGGTCACTCCAGCCCAGGCAACAAGAGCAAAACTCCATCTCAAAAAAAAAAAATAATAATCATGGACTCTAGTTTGGAGTTCTCAAAGAACTTAAAATAGAACCACCATTCGACCCATCAGCCCTACTACTGGGTATACACCCAAGGGAAAAAAGTTCATTCTATCAAAAAGACACATTCCCCTGTATGCTCACTGTAGCGCCATTCATAATAGCAAAGGCATGGAATCAAGCTAAGTGCTCATCAACTGTAAATTGACAATGACAATGTGGTACATATGCACCATGGAATACCATGCAGCCATAAAAATGAATGAAATCATGTCCTTTGCAGCAACATAGATAGAGCTGGAAGCCATTATCCTAAATGACCTAATGCAAGAATAGAAAACCAATACTGCATGTTCTCACTTATAAGTGAGAACTACACATCGAATACACATGAAAAAGATGGAAGCAATAGCATTGGGGATCACTAGAGAGGGGAGGGAGGAGGCGGATGTGGGCTGAAGAACCACCTGTTGGGTACTATGCTTACTGCCTGGGTGATGAGATCGTTGAGATCCCAAGCCTCAGCATCATGCAGTTTACCCAAGTGACGAAACTGCACGTGTACCCTTTAATCTATAATAAAAGTTGCAATTTTTTAAAAAAATCATGGATGCTGAGGTCAGACATAACTGGCTTCAAATTCCAGCAGGATCAGAGACAGGCCTTGTGAGGACAGACAAGTGTGTTAGCTGTCTACTACTATGTAACAAATTACCCCAGCGTTTGCCTGCTTAAAGCAACCACTTACCATCTCCCAGTTTCTGTGGGTCAGGCAGGGACCTGAGAGCAGCTTAGCTGGGTGGTTCTGGCTCAGGGTCTCTCATGAGGTAACAGTCAAGATGCAGGCCAAGGCTGCAGCCACCTTAAGGCTCAACTAAGAGAGGAACGGGGTCCAAGCTCACTCGTGAGGGTATCGCCATGAGACTGCCTAGCAACACGGCAGAGGGCTTCTCCTGAAGCAAGTGACCCAAGAGAGTGGGAAAGCACCCAGGATGGAGGCCACAGTCTTTGAGTAACAATCTCAGGAGCAGCATCCCACTACCTCTGCCCTGTTCTGCTCAGTAGGAGAGAGTCCACCCTGGACTGGAGGGGGACTATATGAGAGCATGAATACAAGGCGGTGGGATGCCAGGGCCCTCTCAGAGGCTGCCTTCCACAGGTCCCTTAAACTTCTAAGTCTCAGTTCCCTTGTCTGCAAAATGAGACTCAATAGGACCTGCCTCAAAGAGTTGTTTTAAGACCTCAATGAGACAATGTCTATAAAGAAATAAGAGCTGGGCGCAGTGGCTCACACCAGTTATCTTAGCACTTTGGGAGGCTAGGCAGGAGGAGTGCTTGAGCCCAGGAATTCAAGACCAGCCTGGAAAACATAGAGGCCCTATCTCTACAAAAGATTTTCCAAGATTAGCCAGGCATGGTGGCACATGCCTGTGGTCCTAGCTTCTTGGGAGGCTAAGGTGGAAGGATTGCTTGAGCCTGGGAGGTTGAGGCTGCAGTGAGCCATGATTGCACCACTGCACTCCAGCCTGGGTGACAGAGTAAGACCCTGTCTAAAAAAAAAAAAAAAGAAAAAGAAAAGAAAAGAAAAGAAAAGAAATTAGAACAGTGCTCAGCAAATAGTGAGTGTTCAATAAATGTTAGTTGTGGGCCTGGTGCAGTAGCTCACACCTGTAATCCCAGCATTTTGAGAGGCCAAGGAAGGCAGATCACTTGAGGTCAGGGTTCAAGACCAGCCTGGCAAACATGGTAAAACCCCCTCTCTACTAAAAATTAGCCCAGGCATGGTGGCAGGTGCCTGTAATCTCAGCAAACTGGGAGGCTGAGGCAGGAGAATCACTTAAACCTGGGAGGCCAAGGTTGCAGTGAGCTGAGATTGTGCCATTGCACTCCAGCCTGGGTGACAGAGTCAGGCTCTGTCTCAAAATAAATAAATAAATAATTTAATTACTTAATGTCAGTTGCTATCATCACCAATGCTATAAGCTACTTGAGGGCAGGGAGAGTGTGTCTTTCTTGATCTCATCTGTCCATACCTGGCACTTCTTTTCATTCTGCTGATGCCAGGCACTGCCAGTGTCAGGTTGAGGGTAGGGGAGAATGAGGCAGTGCCTGCCTTCAGGGAGCACACCAGACACACACATGCACCTGCACAATATTCCCAAAGCTTGGGGAAGGGTCCTCCCCAAGGACATCAGGAGTGTCCTCTATGAGCCATCTGGGGTACAAGGGCTTAGACTAACCAGAGGCTCTGAACCTACTCTCCCCAGAGATGGTGCAGCAGTGCAGGTAACCTCAAGGGGCTAGTCCTGGGTACAAGCCCTCCCTCCCTGCCCCTGTGGGCCCTGGCTTGGCAGATCCCTCAAGCACCGCCCATACTTCTCTCAGGAGAGACTGGCACAAGGGGAAGAACAAGTTCCAGAATCCTAGACCACCCCCGTGTGGCCGGCAGTGACTGCATGGCTCCCTGAGGCTTGTCATCAAGGAACAACATGTTGCCCTCTGGGGTGCTTGGCGATGGTGGCAGCTGCTCAGCATTACCAACCTGGATCTCGGGGACAGCAGCAGAGGGGAGGAGACAGGGAACTGCCACATCCTTGGCAAAGGACCACTTACCCAGGCTGCAGACGAGGAAAAGAGACCGAGCACAGTGGAGAAGCAGTGAGCTGCACTGCAGGGGTATGTGATTGGGAGGGCTGTGGGAAGGCCACCTCACCCACAAAATGGGGCAAGCATCCTGCCACCTTGCCCCGAGGTCATGAGAATCAGCAGAGCCTGGCACACAGCAGGTGCTCCATAAATGGAACCATCGTGATCATCAGCCTGGTGTAAGTGGGAGGGTGCTCAGAGAAAGGAAGATTGACGCTAAGTAGTTGTTTGGTTTGTGTCAGTTTTATTGAAGTATCTATACATATTTAAAAGTACTTATGTCATAAGTGTAGAGCAAGACAAAACTTCACAGAGTGAACACACGTGTGTCACCAGCATCCAGATCAAGAAACAGAACATGATCCACACCCAAGAAGCCCCCTTTGTTTTCCCTTCCAGTTCCCATCCACCTACAAGGGGGGCCACTGTGCTAACTGCTAAGGCCCTGCTCTTGAGGTTTATAAATGGAAACAAATGGTGTGCCTTCTTCGTGCCCGTCCTTACTGGCTCAGCATCACGTCTGTGATGTTCTTGCGTGCTACTGCTCGGTGGTGTTTGTTGGCTCCCATTGCTGTGTAGAGTTCCACTGTGTGACTATACCCCAATATATTGATTCATCCTGCCGCTGAGGGACATCTGGGTTGTTTACAGTTTTTGGTTCTTAAAAACAGCAGTGCCACTGGGCACAGTGTCCCATGCTTGTAATTCCAGCACTTTGGGAGGCCAAGGTGGGAGGATCAATTGAGGACAGGAGTTCAAGACCATCCTGGGCAACGTAGTGAGACCCTGTCTCTACAAAAAAAATTAAAAATTTGCCATGCATGGTGGAATGTACTTCTAGTCCTAGCTACTCGAGAGGCTGAGGCATGAGGATTACTTAAGACCAGAAGTTTGAGACCAGCCTGGGAAACATAGCAACACCCCGTCTCTACAAAGAATAATTAGCTGGGCACAGTGGTGTGTGCCTGTGATCCCAGCTACTTGGGAGGCTGAGGCAGGGGATTGCTTGAGCCCAGGAGGTCAAGGTTGCAGTGAGCCATGATTGTGCCACTGCACTCCAGGATGGGCAACAGAACAAGACACTGTCTTAATAAATAGATAAATAAATAAGCAGTGGTGCCATGAACATTCTCATACATGTTTTTCTGATGGGTTCAGGATGGAATTACTGGGTCAGAGGTCACCCACACTCATTGCTCTAGTAGGCACTGTGGCACCCCAAAGCGTTACTAATAATATACACATGCTGCTCTACATCCTTGTGCACACTCGGCATTATCACTCCTTTTCATTTTAGTCATTCTAGAAGGTATGGAGTGATGACTTTAGTTGTGACTTAATCATGATTTGGATTTGCATTGCCCTGATGACAGTGAAGAGGAGCACCTTTCCCTATGTGCTGGACATTCTGGTATGAATACAGGTAGTTTAATTTCTGTCCTTGATGGGGCTTCTCTTAGGATTGATACCTCCCACTCTCAGATTTTGCATTTCACAAATGAATATAATATGGCAGATCAGCCACAATGTTGCCAAGGAAAACAAATTATCACCAGTGGCGGATCTTGCAGATTAGTTCACACAACTCCATTGCACCCCTGCAGCAGGCCTTACAGCTCCAGGTCCACACATGACCCCAGCCCCCTGCCAGGCAGGTGCACTGGCATGAGATTTGCAAGGCAGCAGTGTGGCCAAGCCTGTGCTTTTGCTGCTTCCACTGTTTCTCCTGGAAAGCTTGGAGGTGAGATGGTTGATTTTCCTGGGGCAGACATGGCAAAGAGCCCAGGCCCCATCTCTAGTTTTGTGGATGTCAAGAGGCAGATTCTGCAGCATCCATTTTGGTGATGCAGTCCTGAACTTGGCAGATGGGGGCAGTGGCTTCCTGACCCCCGAGATTCCTGACACTGGCATCAATGGTGCGGCTCTTGACAGACCAGTCCTACCATGCTGGGAGGCATTCCTAGAAGCCTGGCCTCAGTCTGCACCTCCAGCCCCTCCAATAATGTTGTAAAGTCTTAAATCCCCGTGTTAAATTCTGTTCTGCTTAAAATAGTTAGAGTGATTGCTGTACCTGCAATTAAACTCCGACTGATACATCATGACACGCTGATACCACTGTGTCAGGACAGAAAAGATATTTTAAGACGAAAAAGTCAGAAGATAATCATTAAAAAAAAAAAAAAAAGACAGTCTCTTAAATTTTATGAAATCAGTCCCATGAAAAGCTCATTTTCCTCTTCTCATTTTGTTAGTGGAAATTTCAACATTAGTGTTGGTTCTAAAGGAAAAAGTGAGTTTAGAGGAGGAATTAAAAGGGAATATTTATTTAAAGAGTAGCCCCTGAAATGGGACATAAGGAAGTTGAGAAGGATTGGGCTGCTATTTAGTAACTATTTAACCACAGTGCCAGGAGTAACGTGACCCTTACAGTGCCAGGAGTAATGTGACCCGTGACTCTCGTACCAATAGTATCTGGAACTCATTTTAAATGCCACGAATACTGTTATTTCTATGGGTTCTTTTGCCCTGACCTTGTTGGGGGTCAACAGGAGCTTTTGACCTTGTTGGGGGTCAACAAGAGCTTTCAACGAGGAGAAGTCCTGGGCAAGAGCCACTGTGCAGTCCCAGAAAAATGATTTGAGTGGTCATTAGTAACACTGGAGTTGTGATTTGATATTTTAAATGGTATTACAGGATTCAGGGAAAATGACTCCTGAGAAGAGAGAGAGGAGCTGGGGTCAGAGAGAGAGGAGCTGGGGTCAGGGACCATTCAGGAGGACCCAGAGAGGCAGCCAAGTTTTGCCTGGGGAGTCTGCTCGGTACTTGGGGGTCTGGCTGCCATGCCTGCTCTGCTCCGCTGTGGCTGCCTGGGGATACGGACGTCTCTGCACCAAGCCCAGCTGGAGAAGGAAGGCCATGGGCTCTGGTGGCAGTGGGGGTTGTGGGGGCTGGAGGATGGCTCTTGATGCTGTCAGCTGAGCCTGGCTGGTAGGGACAAGGAGAGGGACTGATGATGCCATGATGGACTCTAGAGGTGGGAAACACCTGAGTCGTCTAGTCTAAGTGATGTTTTCTCACTCTTTTGTTTTCCCTCTTAACAGTTTATAATGGAGATTTTCAAATATATACAAAAGTAGGGAGAATAATACAGTTGACCCCCATAGACCCATCACCCAATGATAACACTCATCAACTCATCAACCCAGTCACTTTTAATTAATTAATTTATTTATTTACTTTTGAGACAGAGTCTGGCTCAGTTGCCCAGGCCGGAATGCAGTGGTATGATCTCGACTCACTGCAACCTCCATCACCCTGGTTCAAGCGATTCTCCTGCCTCAGCCTCCCAGGTAGCTAGGATTACAGGCGCCCACCACCACGCCTGGCTAATTTTTGTATTTTTAGTAGATATGGGGTTTCACCATGTTGTCTAGGCTGGTTTCAAACTCCTGACCTCAAGCAATCCACCCATCTTAGCCTCCCAAACTGCTGGGATTACAGGCATGAGCCACCATGCCCAGCCGAACCGTCATTTTAAAACTCTTTCTAGCTTCTAGTCCTCTGTTCAAACGGAACCTTATGTATGTGTAGCTGAATTAGATTATGAAGTAGTAACTTAAATTTTACTCCCTATCCCTTTCTCCCATTCAAACAGACATTAGGGGAATAGCCTGTAATACCTGGGAGAACTTAGAGGGTTTGCAAGAGAGGTAAAGACGGGGAAGGAATCTGTATTAGTTTGCTAGGGTTGTAACAACAAAATACCACAGACTGGGTGGCTTAAATCATAGAAATGGATGGCCTCACAGCTTGGGGGGCTAGAAATCCTAGCTCCAAGTGTCACGAGGGTTGTCTGCTTCTGAAGGCTGTGAGGGCAGATCTGCCCCAGGCTTCTCCTTTGGATTGTAGATGGCTGTCTACTCCCCGCATCTCTTCACATCATCTTTTCTCTATGCATGCCTGTGACCAAATTTCCTCTTCTTATAAGGACACCAGTCACATTGGATTAGGCCCAATCCTAATGACCTCATTTTAACTTATCTCTGTAAAGAATCTATCTCCAAAGAAGGTCTGTTCTGAGGTACTGGGGGTTAGGATTTCAACAAACGAAATTTGGGGATGGGGGAGACACAATTTATCCCATAATGGGGACTCTGGCAAAGACTAAATGAACGTCTTGAAGAAACACAAAGGGAGAGTTCCCCCAGGCTAGGAAGGGCTTTCCCAGGTTGGGGAGTGGGGCTGTGGGATGAGGAGAGAAAAGCAGGGGGACACTGGTGAGCTCCCAAAAGGCACCCATGTCTCAGGAGTGACACAGAATCAGCAGAGACAGCTGGGCCCACAGGGGCCACTGGGCAGAGATGTGGCTTGTTAGTGGGCACCCTTGTCCGAGAACCCTAAGAATATCTGAATGGGCGTGATGGCTCACACCTGTAATCCCAGCACTTTGGGAGGCCGAGGTGGGCGGGTCACTTGAGGTCAGAAGCTCGAGACCAGCCTGCCCAACATGGTGAAACCCCATCTCTACTAAAAATACAAAAATTAGCTGGGTGTGGTGGCTCATGCCTGTAATTCCAGTACTTTGGGAGGCCAAGGCGGTTGGATCACTTGAGCCCAGGAGTTCGAGACCAAGCCTGGCCAACATGGCAAAACCCCATCTCTACTAAAAATACAAAAATTAGCTGGATGTGGTGACATACCCTGTAATTCCAGCTACTCGGGAGGCTGAGGCATGAGAATCACTTGAACCTGGGAGGCAGAGTTTGCAGTAAGCAGAGATCACATCATTGCACTCCAGCCTGGGCGACAGCACAAGACTCTGTCTCGAAAACAAAAAAAAAAGAATATTTGGGGTAAACACTTCATTTAGCTTCTGGGATGGGTTCTGGGAGTCGGAAATTAATTTAGAGATTTAGAAAGTGAAGGAATTGATTTTTTTGCACCCCTGAGGTTGTCAACTGAGAATGAAACCTGCCAAACATAAAGCAGGTAAAAGCTGGTCTGTTCTGGGTGCAGCTCTCCCCTAACCCGGTTCCCTCTGGCCCTTGCAGCATCCCAAAGCAAATCCCAGGAGTCCTGGGCTTCAAGGAACACAGTTTGAAAACTCTTAGTGTCCACCCCTTCCCACTTATTAACACACACGGACACCTGTGGCTCTGAGGAGGAAAAGACTTGCTCTTGGTAGGCACGAGCTGGTAAGCAGCAGGGCCAGCCTAGAACTCAAGACTCCTGATTTCCACCAGGACACGATCCTGGTGGCTTCCTCAAAGATTTCCCAGGGAGGCTGATCCTCTGTCTTTGATCCACGTCCAGGTCTTCCGTGGGAGGTGTCTCATTTACATCAGACGGCTGGTTCGCTGAATCATCCTGGAGTGAGCCTGGAATCACTTCTTGCAACCTTGTCAGATTTTTATTATTGTTGTTGTTTTGCTTCATCCATTTTAACAGATGTGTATCATCCCATGTTCTTTTCACATGTCCCCATCAATCTTTGAGCACATCTTTGCTTTCTAGCCCAATGAGGTATTCCAGGTTCACCTTGTCCTTTCCCTACCCCATACCTGGAATATGCCATTCATCAAAGGCTCCAAGTTGAGTTTTAGTAGCAGTTTGATAAGAAGGTGACTTGGGAAGTTATGATGTGTTGGAGAGACGCACCATTAAATGGTACTTCTGTAACGGAGATAGCATCATTCTACAGTCAGATCATTCCTCACATACTGAGGTAATTCCCTTATGCAGAAATGGCTAAGAACTTCCTCCTTGAACTTGTCTCCGGCATCTTTTAATACATTATTTTCTGTTTTAACTAGGTAGAGTGGATTCTGCTTTCCGTGACTAACCCTCCCCAATAGAGTGTTTGACACCAGGATGGTGGCAAGCAACAGACTCTTAACGAAATGAGCATCTGAGATTGGCTCTCTCACCTAGTTGGATTGGAAGGCAACAATGATCCTCTATTTACATTGGGAGATAGCACCTGGTAGTCCATATCACTCATAGTGGCAATACAGATCTCACCTGTGGTCACCTAGAATGAAGGGGAAGGCTTCAGAGGACAGAGTGGCTGCTGAGCTAGCCACTGTGGTGAGATAAGAAACAGAAAGCCTGGGGAGTTGGACTGGCTGCTTAAACTACACAGAGTGTTTAAAGAAAGAAATGACACGATCAGGATTTTTTCTTCTTTTTTAAAAAATAGCTTCATTGAGACACAACTGACATACAATAAAATGCACACATTCAAGGTGAACAGTTTGATAACTTTTGACATTATACAAACATACACATGCCCCTATGAAATCATCACCACAATGAGGATAATGAATATCCATTACCCCCCAAATTCCATGTGTCCCTTTGCAATCAAGCCCTTCTGCTCTTCCTTGCTCCCTGCCATCCCCAGGGAACCACCAATCTGCTTTTATCCCTACAGAATTCGTTTGCATTTTTTAGAATTTTTAATAAATAGAATAATACAGTATGTACTCCTTTTGTGTCTGGCTTTTTCTACTCAGGATAGTTATAACTGAGAGCCATTCATGTTGTTATTTATCAGTAGTTCATCCCTTCTTATTGCTGAGTATTATTCCATTACATGAATATACCACAACTTGTTTTTCTGTTCACTTGTTGACAGATATCTGGGTTATTTCTAGTTACAAATAAAGCTGCTATAAACATTAGCATATAGGTCTTTTTGTGGACATATGTTCATATGCTTTCATTTTTCTTGGCTAGGAGTAAAATAATGGATTCTATGGTATGAGTATGCTTTGCTTTTTAAGAAACTGTCAAACTCTTCTCCAAGTGATTGTACCATTTTGCATTCTCACCAGCAGTGTATGAGAGTTCCAGTTGCTTCATATTCTGTCCAACACTTGGTATGGCCACTCTTTAAGTTTAGCCATTCTAATAGGTGTGTAGTGGTATCTCATTGTGATTTCAATTTGCTTTCCCCTAATGACTAATGATGTTAGTATCCTTTCATGTCCTTATATGTTATCCATATATCCTCACCCATTTTGAATGAAGTGGTTATTCAAATCTTTTGCCTATTTTTTATTGGGTTGTTTTCTTGTTACTGACTTTAGAGCATTTTCTAGAGATTTTGCATATAAATTTTTTTTTTTTTTTTTAAGACGAGGTCTTGCTCTGTTGCCCAGGCTGCCAGGCTGGAGTGCAGTGGCACGATCTTGGCTCACTGAAGCCTCTGCCTCACGGGTTCAATCAATTCTCCCACCTCAGCTGGGATTACTGGGGCATGCCACCACGCCTGGTTAATTTTTGCATTTTTAGTAGAGACAGGATTTCACCATGTTGGCTAGGCTGGTCTCGAACTCCTGACCTCAGGAGATCCATCCGCCTCAACCTCCCAAAGTACTGGGATTACAGGCATGAGCCACCGATCCCAGCCAAATCTTTTATTAGATATGTTATCTGTTCATAATTTCTCAGCCTGTGCCTTATCTTTTCATTCATTTAATAATTTCTTTTGAAGAGCAGTTCTTAATAAAGTTTATCAAAAATTTGAATAATTTGAAAAATAATAAATTGCTTTTGGTGTTGTATCAAATAAATTGTTGCCTAACTCCAGGTTACAAGGATTTTCCTCCTGCACGCTCCTCTAGAAATTTTATGGTTTTACATTTTACACTTACAATAAATAAATTAAATTTTTTTTTTTTTTTTGCAGGACAGGGTTTACTCTGTCACATAGGCTGGAGTGTAGTGGCACAATCATAGCTCACTGCAGCTCGACCTCCCAGGCTCTTCCCACCTTAGCCTCTTGAGCAGCTGAGACTACAGGTGTGCACCACTGTGCCTAGCTAATTTTTAAAATTTTTCGTAGAGATGGGGATCTTGCTACATTGCCTGGGCTGGTCTTGAACTCCTGGCCTCAAGTGATCCTCCTGCCTCGGCCTCCCAAAGCACTGGGATTACAGGTATGAACCACCAAGCCCGGCCAATTTTAAGTTTTTTTTTTTTTTTTTGAGACGCAGTCTCGCTCTGTTGCCCAGGCTGGAGTGCAGTGGTGCAATCTCAGCTCACTGCAAATTCTGCCTCCCGGGTTCACAGCATTCTCCTGCCTCAGCCTCCCGAGTAGCTGGGACTACAGGCTCCTGCCACCATGCCTGGCTAATTTTTTTGTATTTTTAGTACAAAATATTTGTACTAAAAATTTCACCGTGTTAGCCAGGAGGATCTCGATCTCCTGACCTCATAATCTGCCCGCCTCGGCCTCCCAAAGTGCTGGGATTACAAGCGTGAGCCACTGCACCCGGACTCTTCTTCTGAGATGAAGTTTTGCTCTGTCGCCCAGGCTGGAGTGCAGTGGTGAGATCTTGGCTCACTGCAACTTCTGCCTCCTGGGTTCAAGCGATTCGCCTGCCTCAGCCTCCCGAGTAGCTGGAATTACAGGCATGTGCCACCATGCCTGGCTAATTTTTGTATTTTTAGTAGAGAGGGGGTTTTACTATGTTGGCCAGGCTGTTCTCGAATTCCTGACCTCAGGTGATCTGTGTGCCTCGGCCTCCCAAAATGCTGGGATTACAGGTGTAAGCCACTGTGCCTGGCCCAATTTTAAGTTAATTTTTTATGTGTATGGTGTGAAGCAAGGATCGGCAAATTTTTCTTAAAGGGCCAGATAGTAAAGATTTTAGTCTTTGTGGGCCGTCTGATCTCTGAGCAAAAGCAGACTGAGCCAATAAATACACGAGTGTGACAGTGATTCAATAAAACTTTATTTACAAAAATAGGTAGTGGGCTGTATTTGGCCCACTGGTCAGAGTTTGCTCACCTTTAAATCTCCAAACTCCACTAAGCTTCCCTAGGCAACAGAAGCAGTCCCACCCATCCCTATCTGTTGAGTCTGGTCCTGCCTTGCTTAAAGATACTTAATGCAAATGACTTTGCAGGAGAATGCCCATTTTTCTCATGCCCCAAACCCTACTCTTCCTTATTACTTTCAGACCTATAAGCAGAGACATATTCTCATGTGCCCTAAAGGACCAAGTTCACAACCTGACTCAGACAAGCTGTGTACATACCAGAATCTCAGGTTCTCAGGTGGACCAAGTGAACTGTAATGTCATCCCACTTCATCCTGCCTGCCTGCTTTGGGCTGATAAAAAAAGTCGAGAAGTTTAGGTCAAACGCAGCCCCTAATGCTGTGTGATCTTGATCAAGTCACTCCCATTCTCTCTTTCTCTGCATCCCCCCAATAAAATGATTTCTCCTAACACTTTCGGCATCTCAATGTTGTTGAGTGGAGAAGAATAAGACAACACATTTCTTACCCACCTGGTTTGCTCTCTACCAGACAGTTCTAAAGCTGTTTTCTCCTTGAGCAGTTTTTAAAGACTGCTTGCTTGCTTTGTTTCCAAAAGCATGACACAAATGCAATGTATTGTTACCGTTTTCTCTTTTTAAGTAAATTCTAGAAAGCCCAGCCACAGGATTTCACAATCTGTCACTGTCCCCCGGTGCCCCAGCCTGTTGCCAAGGAGAGAGATTATCCGGGTTTGGGGAAGGTCAGCCAGCCCCAGCACGATCTCTAACACAGCCTGGTTTGCCATCCTCAATCACAGATTCAGAGTTGGCCACACAGAGACTGGGCAGGACCACTCCAAGGCCAGAGCGGCCACTGAGGGAGAAACAATGCTCGGCACCACTCAAGCTTCCCCAGGCCACTCTAATCACCACCCATGCCTGCAGGAGGATGCAGCTCTCCAGTCTGCGGGGCAGGCAGGCTGTAGTCTGTCAGAATCCTGAAAGAGGGAACGTCTTTGAGAACAGAGACCTCATCTGCATGGCCCTGGGGGCCCCGCTTTGAACACAGAAGAGATGAAAGAGCAGATCTCCCAGACTACTAGAGGAGTTGGTACACATACGGCACAGACATAAAAATATTTTTCACAGCCATCCATAAATGTATGCAAGCGCTTGAGACCTGGGGATGTATTTCATTCCATGCTAACCTCATAAATGAACACCTGGTTTATTAAGGGCAAACTTATTAATTTGGTATTATTAAGAATGCCTCCCATTTTATGTAAGGGTGAATAATTTGAAAAGGACCATCACGTTATTGTTCTGTTCCTCAT
Source organism: Homo sapiens (assembly GCF_000001405.40). NCBI lineage: Eukaryota > Metazoa > Chordata > Mammalia > Primates > Hominidae > Homo > Homo sapiens. Next base: position 123,459,567 of record NC_000003.12, on the reverse strand, counting down.
GACAAGTCATGCAGGCCCACTTTAAAGGTAAAAAAGATGAGGGACTTAAAACTAGGATATTTCCTCCATACTTATGAAGCAGGGTTACTGAAGTATCGCTTTTCTTTGACCCCACTTTTTTCCCTCAATTTTTTTTAAAAAAGCTTTATTGTGATATAATTTACATACCATAAGTTTCAAGTGTGGAATTCATTTTTAGTACATTTACAGAGTCATGGAAGCTCTTACCATATCACCATAATCCTAGAACTCTTTTCGCCACCCTGTTGTACTCATTAGCAATGACTCCCCATTTCCCTCCCCCAGGCTGTAGACACAGGTAATCACTGATCTACTTTCTATAGATTTGCCTCTTTTAGACATTTCACATAAACAAGATCATATAGTATGTGCTTTTTTGAGACTAGTGGGATATTTTCAACCCAGTCTCATATATCCAACTCCTATGCATACTTTAAGACCCCTTCTCACCCCAACCACCTCCATTCCCTGAAGACTGACCTTCCTTCCTTCCTTCCTTCCTTCTTTCCTCCCTCCCTCCCTTCCTTCCTTTTTCTGAGACATGATCTCACTCTGTTGCCCAAGGCTGGAGTGCAGTGGTACGATTGTGGCTCACTGCAGCCTTGACCTTCTCAGGCTCAGGTGATCCTCCCACCTCAGTCTCCCAAGTAGCTGGGACCACAGGTGTGCACCGCCACATCTGGCTAATTTTTCTTTTTTTTTGAGATGGAGTCTCACTCTGTCACCCAGGCTGGAGTGCAGTTGTGCCATCTCAGCTCACTGCAACCTCTGCCTCCTAGGTTCAAGCGATCCTCCTGCCTCAGTACCCCCTGAGTAGCTGGGACTATAGGCACTCACCACCACGCCTGGCTAATTTTTTTATTTTTTGTAGAGACGGGGTTTTGCCATGTTCGCTAAGCTGGTCTTGAACATCTGGACTCAAGCGAACTGCCCACCTTGGCCTCTCCAAGTGCTGGGAGTACAAGAGGGAGCCACCACGCCCAGCCTCCCCAAAGACTTCTTGCTCATTCCAACCTATGGAATATTTTTCTTCTATGAATTCACTCCCTCTTGTCTGGAGTGTTCAAGAAGCACTTGGCAAAAGCTGCACGGCCCATCTCTGCTGCTGCTGTGCTGTCTGTTCTCTAGCTCTTTCTGTGAATTCCTCACCTCTGACTTCCTGGGGGTGGATCTTGCTGACATACCTCGCAGGTGCCCCCTACTCACCCCACTCAGCTGTGCCCAGCATAGTTTTCTGCTTCAAATGGGTAATCAGTTTATGTATGTTGAAAGAATAAATGACTCACGGGGATGTTCCCAGACTTTTAGTAAAAAAGGATTCAGGAAAAGTGCAAGAAGGAAAGTAAAATCAAGAACAGGAACAAAGATCAAATGTAGAATGTGGGCATCAGAGTCCAAAGGGTTGGCAGCTACCAATCAGGTGCAGTCCTTGTGATGTGACTAGAGGGACATCAAAAGGCCCTGGGCCACAAAGGGTCTCCCACCTACCTCCAGGAGCAATTGAAATAACATATTAGTCACTCCTTGCACTGGAGGCCTTAACCGCCTCCATTAAAATGCAAATGTCAACACCTGGGAGAGTGGTAGATCATGGTATTATCAGCCATTTCCACCTCAGCTCCAATCTGAGCTCTTTATTTCCTGTTCTCTGAGGCCCAGAGGTTTAGACATAAGGATGGGGTCTGGAAAAATCTAGGGTCCAGTTCCCCAGATGGCTAATTACAAACGTATCATCCTTGATTTCCAAGCCAAAGGTCAAGAGTAAGAGGGCTGAAGTTCAGAGCTCATGGTGGGGTCCCAGCTGCAGTGGAGGATGGTTCCCAGGGACTCAGTCATTTGTACCTGATGGCTAAGATGCTGGGCCCCATTGCCTGATGGATGACCAGCCCGCAAGATGCCCAATGCGCCATCCTGTTAACTATTCTCTGACTTAGGGAAAATAAGTAGATAGTTCCCTGCGGGAAAGGTAAGTCATCTCTCTAGTTTGGAGCATGGGGCTTGCTCTCAAAATGTAAACATCTAGGAGAGGTTGGGCACACTTTGTAGAGTCATTTCTACCTGACTGTCGGAATGAGATGATCTTTAATATCCTTTTCAGTCTCAAGAGAGCCTTGGGTTCATAGAGTTTCTTAACTCCTTTTGAATAACTCACAGTGCAGGGCTCTCCTGGACAAAACTGTGCAGGGGGCAAAGTTCATTTTTGACCCCCAGTTCCTAACTGGCTTTCATTTTTGCCCTCCTCCTTCTAGCTCCCAGGCACCCAGGCCCTCAGCCCCTCTTCTACTCAGTGTCTCCCATTCTATGGTTTCATTTGACCCAGGAAATGCTCTCTGGTCCCAAGGGTTCTTCTCTCCTTCCTAACTCATCCCTATTCCTAAATAGCAAGCATTCATTCTCCTAGTGCCCACAACCTTGGCCAAGTAGTAGCAGAGGCTGATTAAATTCATTACACTGAGGCTGGGCATGGTGGCTTACGCCTGCAATCCCATCACTTTGGGAGGCGGAGGCGGGTGGAACACCTGAGGTCGGGAGTTTGAGACCAGCCTGACCAACATGGAGAAACCCCATCTCTACTAAAAATACAAAATTAGCCGGACGTGGTGGCGCATGCCTGTAATTCCAGCTACTCGGGAGGCTGAGGCAGGAGAATTGCTTGAACCCAGGAGGCGGAGGTTGTGGTGAGCCAAGATCACGCCATTGTACTCCAGCCTGGGCAACAAGAGTGAAACTCCATCTCAAAAACAAAATAAAACAAAACAAAAACTCATTACACTGACTTGTCAAAGACTGATGTCCTGCCGCAAATCTCTGAACCTCTCAGGGGTATCTGCATTCATTTTTCCAACCATCTTATTGGGATATAACTTACATACCGTAACACTCACCTGGTTAAGGTGTGCAGTTCAGTGCTTTTTAGTATACAGTTGACCCTTGAACAATGCAGGGGTTAGGGTTAGGGGCACCAGTGCCTGCGCAGTAAAAAATCCACATATAAACTTTTGACTCTTCCAAAACTTAACCAATAGCCTACAGTTGACTGGAAGCCCTACAGATAACATGCACATCAATTAACACATATTTTATATGTTATATGTATTATATACTGTGTTCTTACAATAAAGTAAGCTAGAAAAAAAAAATGTTAAGGTGGCTGGGCGCAGTGGCTCATGCCTGTAATCCCAGCACTTTGGGAGGCTGAGACGGGTGGATCATTTGAGGTCAGGAGTTTAAGACCTGGCTAACATTGTGAAACTCCGTCTCCACTAAAAATACAAAAATTAGCTGGGCACGGTGGCGCACATTTGTACTCCCACCTACTCAGAAGGCCAAGGCACGAGAATTGCTTGTACCCAGGAGGCAGAGGTTGCAATGAGCTGAGATCGCCACTGCACTCCAGCCTGGGCAACAGAGCAAGACTCCGTCTGAGAAGAAGAAAGAAAGAAAATCATAAGGAAGAGAAAAAATTTATTTACTACTCATTAAGTGGAAGTGTATCATCATAAAGGTCTTCATCCTCATCTTCAGCAGGCTGAGGAGGAGGAATTGGTCTTGCTGTCTCAGGAGTGCAGGGGCAGAAGAAAATCCAGGTATAAGTGCACCTCCGCAGTTCAAACCCGTGTTGTTCAAGGTTCAACTGTATTTATGGATTTGTACAATCATCACCATAACTAATCTTAGAACATTTTCGTTACCCCCCAAATAAATCTTATACCTGTTAGCTGTCACTCCCCGTTCTTCTCCTTCCCCAGGCCTAGGCAAGCACTAATCTTTCTCTCTCAATTTTCTGCATTGATTTTGAATCAATTTAGCAAATGAGTGTTATCCCAAAGCATGACTATCTAATAGTGGAGTTCTAAGCAGTGTGTGGGGGAGTTATTTTTAGGTAGGGGAGTATTATTGCTACCCACTTCTAAAAGTATTTCTGATTATTCCAAAATATTAATATGTGAATATTCTAATTTCTGAAATAGAAATATTCTTATAAAAAGCAGCCTGTGGGAGTGAAGAATTAAGTCCTGAAGGGTAACTGAGGCACGAGGGGGAAGATGGCTGGAGGGGAACAGAGGTGTATCTATAGGTCTCCCAAAGGGCCTGCTGTGCTCTGGAGTCTGTCGTCCCCATACCTCCAGCAAACTAAGCATTCACTTAAGACAGAGACAAGAGATGGTGCTTAGGTTGGCATTCTCTCTGATGACAACATCCTTCTTACTTTTTTTTTTTTTTTAATGGGATTTTCCTCTGTTGCCCAGGCTGGAGTGCAGTGGTGTGATCACAGCTTACCACAGCCTAGAACTCATGGGCTCAAGGTATCCTCCCACCTTAGCCTCCTGAGTAGCTGGTACCACAGGCATGTGCCACCATGCCTGGCTAATTTTTGTATTTTTTTTTTTTTTTTGGAGAGATGGGGTCTTGTTACGTTGCCCAGGCTGGTCTGGAACTCTTGGGCTCAAGTGATCCACCCGCCTCAGCATCACAAAGTGCTGAAATTAAAGCTGTGAGCTGCTGTGCTGGCCTCATCCTTTCCTTTTGATACCAGGTGCACATCTTGGAGTTTGTCTTGAAAACCTCTGCCTTTCATTCCTGTGATCCTCAGCTTTTCTTGATTTCTTCTGACTGTGAAGACTCCTCCTTTACCCAGGGTTTAGCCCCACAGGGTTTCTTTCTCAGCCCTCCACAGGCCTCTTCCAGCCAATGGCATCATTCCCATCACCAGGTCACTTTTGGCCCAATCTACATCTGTTCTGCAATAGCTTCCTGACTGGTCTCCCACACACACTCCCACTTTTTTTTTTTTTCCAGTGACAGGGTCCCACTTTGTCACCCAGGCTGAAGTGCAGTGGCATGATCATAGCTCGCTGTAGCCTTGAACTTCTGGGCTCCAGCAGTCCTCCGACTCAGCTTCCTGAGTAGCTGGTTTTACAGGGGCACACCACCACACATGGCTAATTTTTAAATTTTTTTTGTAGAGATGGGGTCTCACTATTATCAGCTATGGTGCCGAGGCTGGTCTTGAATTCCTGGCCTCAAGCGATCCTCCTGCGCTGGCCTCCCAAGGTGCGGGGATTACAGGGATCTTGTTTCTTGAATGTAGTAACATTATCACCAGTTTGCCTCTTAAAACAGAATGAACCAGGACACTTTTGTCCCTAAATTTGGGGGCTCCTTATTGTTTTTAAACTGAAGCCCAACCTCCTCGGCACTATGTTCCAGAGTTCAACTCACCTGTCCATCTTCACCCACTGTCGAAAGTCCTCCTCCCCTACATATACCTGAGACTCCATCTTGCTTACCATTCCCCAGATGTGCCATGTGTTTATCCAGCAACTATTGGGCACCTCCTATGTGCCAGGCACCAGGCTAAACACTGGGCATGGAATAAGATCCCAACTCTACCCTCAAGGCATTCAGCAGACTGTGGAGACCGTTCCGTAAACAAGTCAAGATAATACAATGTGACAGGTGCTATAATAGATATAAGCAAGGTGTGCTGGGGGCAGAGGAGGAGGAGGGAGTGCCTATTGGCATGGGGGAGGGGTGGAGGGAGGGGAGGGGTATTAGGGAGGGCTTCCCTCAGGTGCTGAGTTTGATTTGTGGAGGAAAAAGGGTTATCTCTGCAGAGGCACAAGAGCAGTTCATGGGGGCTGGGTGACAGGAAGGTGGTGAACTCACAGTGAAAGCTGGCAGGTAGGAACAGGCTGTTTTGTGGACATGATTTCAGTGGGAGTGAGATCAGATGAGGACAAGGCGGAGGACAGATTTGAGGGCAAGGAGGGAGAGTTGGCAATTATCCAGGCAAGGAAGGGGATGATCGGGATGAAGGCTGTGGTAAGAGAATGTGGAAGAAGAGACAAATGCGAAAAGACAAGGCAGAGGAGATATTATCACTCTTAAGATCACAGAGTTTGGACGAAGGTAATTCCACCAGCAGCATGAAAAGGGAGTGAGGAGCAAGCTACTTGGGAGATGACCTTATTTTCAGAAACAGTGAATTTGGGATCTGGTGAGTCCCAAGGAGCATCGATGGGGAGCTCTCCAGTAGCCAGAGGGAAGCTTGGAACTGGGAAGGGAGGCAAGGGCTGAAGATACAGATTTCAAAAATATCTTAGAGAAAAAAACATGCTTATCCTTGGGCCCAGCAATTCTATTTGTAGGAATTTTTCCTAAGGATATGTGTAAATTTTTATTCATTTATTTATTTTTGAGACAGCATTCTCTCTATGTTGCCTAGGCTGGCCTCGAACTCCTGGGCTCAAGAGATCATCTCACCTCAGCCTCCTGAGTAGCTGAGATTACCAATGTGAGCCACTGTGCCCAGCTTGTGTGAAAATTTATCTACAGAAATGCTCACTGTTTATAATAGTAAAGGAGGGGAAACTTTTATTTATAAACTGCTATGACAGTGAAAAATGCCTAACAGTAGGGGATTGGTTAAATAAAGTATACTATACCCATGCAATTTGGACAGTAAAATGGATATTGTAGATGGATGCTTATTGACATGAAAAAAAATCCACAATATTTTGCTAAGTAGAAAATGGTAGACTCTAAAACTAATTGTAGAGTAAAAGATCCAGTTATTGTTTAAGAAAAAAATTAACATATTAATACTGGTTTTTTTTTTTTGAGATGGAGTCTTGCTCTTTCACCCAGGCTGGAGTGCAATGGTGCAGTCTCGGCTCACTGCAACCTCCACCTCCCGGGTTCAAGTGATTCTCCTGCCTCAGCCTCCCGAGTAGCTGGGATTACAGGTGCCCATGACCACGCCTGCCTAATTTTTGTATTTTTAGTAGAGATGGGGTTTCACCATGTTGGCCAGGCTGGTCTCGAACTCCTGATCTCATGATCCGCCCTCCTCAGCCTCCCAAAGTACTGGGATTATAGGCGTGAGCCACCGCGCCCGGCCAATACTGGTTCTTTGGTGATATGATTATGAGTGTGTTTTCTTTCTTTTTAATTTTTTTCCCACATCAATCATACATGGCTTTTGTTGTAAGACAATTATTTTTAAAAATTGAATAAAATTAAGAGGAATGACTTAGGGATAGCTCTGGGAATGAGAAGATGAGAGGATCAAGGATGGAACCTTGATCAATAGCCTTGATACCTCTGGCCCTGTGGCCCCTGTCCGTGCAGTTGACTATGTCTTGAGGGTGCCACCCATGTCATATCTGCTACATTGCTGCATGGTAGAATACAACGAGCAGACTGCTACAACTATGAGCTTTGGGCAAACTCATATATATATATATATATATATATAAATAATTTTATTTTATTTTTTTTGAGACAGAGTATTGCTGTGTTGCCAGGCTGGAGTGCAGTGGTGCAACCTTGGCTCACTGCAACTTCCACCTTCTGGGTTCAAGCAATTCTCCTGCCTCAGCCTCCCAAGTAGCTGGGACTACAGGCACACACCACCACGCCTAGCTAATTTTTGTATTTTTAGTAGAGACAGGGTTTCACCACGTTGGCCAGGATGGTTTCGATCTCTTGACCTCGTGATCCGCCTGCCTTGGCCTCCCAAAGTGCTAGGATTAGAGTCGTGAGCCACCATGCCCGGCCTTTTTATTTTTTATTTTTTTTTTGAGACAGAGTCTCATTCTGTCAACCAGGCTGGAGTGCAATGGCATGATCTCGGCTCACTGCAACCTCCACCTCCCGGATTCAAGTGATTCTCCTGCCTCAGCCTCCAGAGTAGGATTACAGGCTCACACCGCCACGCCCGGCTAATTTTTGTATTTTTAGTAGAGACGGGTTTCACCATGTTGGCCAGGCTGGTCATGAGCGCCAGACCTCAGATGATCTGCCTGCCTCAGCCTCCCAAAGTGCTGGGGTTACAGGCATGAGCCACCATGCCTGGCTGGACAAACTTTTTGATTCCCTAAGTCTGTTTTCTCATCTTTATAGTGGGGATAACCTTCCTCAGAATAGTTATCTGACAATAAAATGTTTACAGACATACAACAGTTGCTTAGTAAATATTAATTAGTCCATCCTCCCTTTCTTAGACATCCTTCCCTGCTAGACCCAGGTTTGACTTCCAGGCCCTTGTTTGGCCCTCACAGTGGGAAGTGACACCCCCTCTCTCTGAATGCCCGAGGTGCTGTTTGCACTTCTATTGAACCCAGAACTTTGCTCTGACCTAGAGATAGTGGCTAGCTCTTCTCCGTCACTGACTTGTTCGACTTGTTCCCGGTCTAGAGTTTGGTCATCTCTCTATCCTGGTAGCAACTAGCACAATGCTTTGTACATTGAGGGTTCTCTAGAATTTTTATTGACTAAATTCATGTTTTTTTTTACAACTTGGCTAATAGTGGAATACTCAAAGGCTGGATTACCCAAGGGTTAGTTTATTCTGACCTCTTGGAATTTTTCTCCTCCCAATTTGTAACTCTGGCAAGGTTTATCTTCCAGTCTGCAGAGATGACCAGCAGAGAGAGACAAAGAAGGAAGCTCACTTAGACCTCTAGGCTCCCTGTCAGAAGCTCTGGGGAGAGAGTTGGAGGATGAAGAAGGGGAAAGTAAAAGCTGTTTACCCCCAGGCTGGGTAGGAGTGTGGTCTCCCACCTCTCCAGGGTTTAGACTGTCAGAACTCCAGCAGGACAGCTTGGGGGCAAAGGGAATTGGGTAGACACATCATTCTACAGGCCTACGTCCTTTTTGCCTAGCAGTCGAATCCTTCTCTCCATTCCTGCCTCTTGTGGCTGGTGCTGTGTATCTAGCCATTTTCCCCTTCCCCTGCTTCCCCCCAAGTGGGCACGCCAGCTTGCTCAGGTGCCCATCCTTCCTGCTAACACCTTGTTAGGTTAGGGAGGCAGTCTGGCGCTGACGAAGGACCTTTGGGTGCCAAGTTAGTAGACCTGTGTGACCTATAGCAAGTTGAATAAGCTCCCAGAGCCTCAGTTTCTGCATCTATAAGCTGGGAATAGCTACACGGTCTCTGTCCTCTGTCTCATCCTAGGATTACTGACGGGAACCAAGTGAGATTTATGAGACTTTACGAACAGGCAAAGAGCGCTTTATAAAAGCCAGGTGTTTCCAGTGTTCACTGTGGGGCTTTCTCCTGGTAACTACCCACCAAAGCCTCCCTGTCCGCCCCGCCCCGGCTGCATCGGCCTCACCCACTGCATCACCATCTTTTCCATCACTGTCTTCCTGCGTCTCAGAAGTCCTGTTTCTGCATCTCCCCTGTCCATTTCCGGGTCTGGCTCTCCGGCCCCTGAGACCCCTCCAGGGACTCTGTTCTCCTTCTCCTTGAGGCACTCGCTGCCCAGGCGCCCCCCACCCGGTGCGCCCTCCTTTGGCACAGCCGCCGGGCCAGAGAATCGCCCAATAAGAGCGCCGGACTGTAGTCTGACAGCTCCGGAAGCGGCCAATCGAGCCGGGCCAGGGAAGGGGGGCGCAGCGCCGGGGCTGAAGTTGGGTTAAATGGGGGGAGGGGGATTAAAGGGGGATACAAAAGAGGGGAGCTAGGACTGGGGGCGCTGGAGCCCTGGCCGGGGGCGGGGGAAGACCGCGCTCCACCCAGGTCTGGTGACGGGACCGCAGGCTGGATGCGGCTCCTAGTCCCAGGGAGGGAGGGGCGCAGCGAGAATTTTAGGTGAGGAAGGGGAACTGGGGTGCCCGCGGCCAGGCCTGAGGATGCCCGCGGGGCGCCGAGGCTGGGGCCATGGCCAGGCCGGGGGCGGAGGCGGCCTCGCGCGGCTGTGAGCCGAGGCCCGGGCGGCGCGGGGGGCGGGGAGGCAGCGGGAGGAGGGGATGCGGAGGGCTCTCCGGCGGCGGCGAGCGGGCGAGAAGGGAGGAGCGGCGCGAGCGGCCGGAGCGGCGCAGGGCCCGAAGCGTGCATGGCGCGCCCTGAGCCGGGCTCCCGCGGGCCCCCCCGGAGCGCCTCTCGGGCGCCGCGGCTCTCAGGCGGGCCCCTCTGGGCCGGCTGCTTCTGAGCCCCGGCGCTGGATCTCTGGATGCCTTACTCCCCGGGAGAAGCCTGCCTGCGTCGGGGCAGAACCGCGGCAGCGCTGCGCCGGATTCCGTCCTCCGCCTAGTCGTTCCGCGCCGGCCGCGGTGGGCCCGCAGCCGGCGACGAGGAGCTTGGGGCTTGCGAAGCGGGCGCGACAGCTCTCCGGGCCGGCAGGTCCCGGCCGGCCCCGCTCCGTTTGCGGGAAAGGGAGAGGCGAGAGGGGAAGGGCCGCACCGCAGGAGCCGGTCCCTGACCCGGACCCCGCCCCCTGCGCGGACGCGCCGAAGGCTCGGCTCGGCTTTCGCCGGGGCCACGCATCCACTCTCGCCGCGAGAGGTGGGGGATGCGGGCAACGGCCCCCCCGGGCTCCAGGACCCTCCCCCCCGGGGCTCCGGAGCTGTTGCTCCGCCCGTCGCCCCCTCCCCCGTCCTCTCCACCTCCCATCCCACCTCCCCACCCCTCGTAAGAAAATAATGCTGGCTGGCGCCCGCACCTCCCAGTCGCTCCCAGTCCGCTGCGAGGAAAGCGCACCCGCAGTGTCTCTTCGCCGGGACCCCCGCCGAGCCGCCCTCGCCGCCGCCGAGCCCCGAGAGCAGCTGGGCTCCGCTTAGGCGGAATCAGCGAGCGCCGCGCCCGGGCACTGCCGGCCCGAGGAGGCACCGCCCGCAAGGACACCACTCCGTCCCGTCTCGTCCGCAACTCCGGCCCTCGTCGAGCTCGACGCGAGCCAGGATCCCGGACGTCTCTCCGCGTGCGGCGCAGCAGCAGCCAGACCAGTCCCTGCGACCCCACCTCGGAGGCAACTCCATTTCGGACCTGGGACTTCTGACGCGGATCCTCAGCTACTTCTCACCTCGGGGCTGTGCCCTCCTCCTCCGCTCAGGACGGGGGTGCCAAGATGCCCCGCTGCAGCGCAGGGCCCCGGGCCGCCCCCGACGTGTGACCCTAGCCTGGTCCCCCTGCTCGGCCGTCCGCCCTCCCCTTGGAGACCCCCGGCCCGGCTTCCGGGGGAGGAGGAAGGAGACGACGAGGCCGAGGGGGGGATGTCCGGCTCCAAAAGCGTGAGCCCCCCGGGCTACGCGGCGCAGAAGACTGCGGCGCCGGCGCCCCGGGGAGGCCCCGAACACCGCTCTGCGTGGGGCGAGGCCGATTCCCGCGCGAATGGCTACCCCCATGCCCCCGGGGGCTCTGCCCGCGGCTCCACCAAGAAACCCGGGGGGGCGGTGACCCCGCAGCAGCAGCAGCGCCTGGCCAGCCGCTGGCGCAGCGACGACGACGACGATCCTCCGCTGAGCGGTGACGACCCCCTGGCCGGGGGCTTCGGCTTCAGCTTCCGCTCCAAGTCCGCCTGGCAGGAGCGCGGCGGCGACGACTGCGGTCGCGGCAGCCGCCGGCAGCGGCGGGGCGCGGCCAGCGGGGGCAGCACCCGGGCGCCCCCTGCGGGCGGCGGCGGCGGCTCGGCGGCGGCGGCTGCCTCGGCGGGCGGGACGGAGGTGCGCCCTCGCTCGGTGGAGGTGGGTCTGGAGGAGCGGCGGGGCAAGGGGCGCGCGGCCGACGAGCTGGAGGCCGGCGCCGTCGAGGGCGGCGAGGGGTCCGGGGATGGCGGCAGCTCGGCGGACTCGGGCTCGGGCGCGGGGCCCGGCGCGGTGCTGTCCCTGGGCGCCTGCTGCCTGGCGTTGCTGCAGATATTCCGCTCCAAGAAGTTCCCGTCGGACAAACTGGAGCGGCTGTACCAGCGCTACTTCTTCCGCCTGAACCAGAGCAGCCTCACCATGCTCATGGCCGTGCTGGTGCTCGTGTGCCTGGTCATGTTGGCCTTCCACGCGGCGCGGCCCCCGCTCCAGCTGCCCTACCTGGCCGTGCTGGCGGCCGCCGTCGGCGTGATCCTCATCATGGCTGTGCTTTGCAACCGCGCCGCCTTCCACCAGGACCACATGGGCCTGGCCTGCTATGCGCTCATCGCCGTGGTGCTGGCCGTCCAGGTGGTGGGCCTGCTGCTGCCGCAGCCACGCAGCGCCTCTGAGGGCATCTGGTGGACCGTGTTCTTCATCTACACCATCTACACGCTGCTGCCCGTGCGCATGCGGGCCGCAGTGCTCAGCGGGGTGCTCCTGTCCGCCCTCCACCTGGCCATCGCCCTGCGCACCAACGCCCAGGACCAGTTCCTGCTGAAGCAGGTAGGGGCCGACCTGGCCACCGGGACTGGATTGCGGGGCGGGCAGGCCTCAGCTGGACTCCAAAGAAAGGGATCCCACCCTCACCCTTTCGAATGGTGAAAAGAGCCAGAGAGACAGGGCTCGGCCATGTAGGCTATTTGGGAGCTTCTTACCCCACTCTGAGCCCCAGCGGCTTCATTTACAAAAAGAGTGCCCTTGTGTCGTTTGCAGTGTTCCTTGCCCCTTAGATAACGTGTACTGAACTGTAGCCATCACTGTGGGAATGCAGTGAGGAAGGTTGGAGGAGAAAATTATAAGGAGTGTTTCCCATCTCTTCCTGAGCTTCTGTTCCTATATACAAAAGGCCCCTAACGAAAGTGGCTGGACCCTCTAGCAGCCACCCCCTCGTGAGTGCCACTGCTGCTTTGTTAATCCAGCCCTGGATAGAGGGTTGGTGAGGGGACACCCTGCACCCCTTGCTCAGTGGTAAGGAGGAGGTAGCATGAGCCTGCCACCTGTCTAAGGCTGGGGATTTGGTAGCTGGAGATATCCCTGAACTTGCAGAAGGACTGACAAGTTTGTTTCAGTTAGCAGAGCGCCCCAAGCCAAAAACCTGCCCTTCGCTAAAGTGGGAAGGAGCCTCCGAGATGTGTGTGGTGGCAATTCCCCTTCCGGCCTGAGCAGAAAGCTGTTGTTGAACATCATGACCCCTTCAAGTGGGTGCCCCTGGTCATTGCTTGTGGTAGGGACATTTTATCCCTGCTGGGATTTGTTGGGTGAGTCTAGAACTGCAGGTTCAGGAAGAAATACAACTTTTGCCTGGTTAGCTGGTGACTCTCTTAAAGGCTTCTGTGAGAGGGGCATGTTGGCTATCCTGACCTCAGGGTGAGAGGAGCCCCCCTGCCATCCATACCATATCTCCCTTTAGTGTCCTGTGGTCTGGTTTCCTGGTCCTCATCCATGATTGCTTCTGAACCTGCTTGTTTGCATGCTGCTCCACTGTGAGAGTCCACTGGGCCCTTGCTACAGGCAAGTCTCTTCACCTTGGACCCCAGTGCACACATCTGCCCACTGGTGTCTGCCTTCTCGAATAGAACCTCTTAAGGGTTTTCCATTGTCATTGCCTTCCTCTGTCTCCCCTCTTCTAGTGCCTTCTCTTAGACTTTTATCCTCTTGAGTACCGCATCTTTCTTGAGTTGCTCTCCTGTGTCCCCTGGCTTCCTGGACATAGTATTCTTCCATAGAGAATAGCACTGTTATGGGTTTCAGGGCTCTGGGCTCTAGCTGAACCTGCAGGGTGCTCTGTGACTGGGACGGAGGGGACACACAAGCTCTCTGGGCCTTTGCTACCTTTTCTAGAGAATGAGAGGAATGTTTATGTCCCTTCCACTTCTAACGTCCTCTGCCCCAAGCTGTACCCCTGCAAGGAACCTTCTTCTTCCATTCCAGCCACACTGACCTCGTGGTCTTCTGTATGATTAACAATAGAGTCAGAGGCACAGAGTGGAGCACTTATTCATTTTCCAGTGTCCACTTGTTTTGCTGTCTGTCCAGTGTAACCTCCATGGATGCACAAATCCCAAGGTGTATGTGTTTTTCCTCCTCTATTCTCTCACCCTTACCTAAGCACAGTGCAGAATACTTAGTAGGGATTTAATAACTGCTTGCCAATATAGTTGGGGTCCAGTGAATGGAGTAAGTGGGGCTGTTGATGCTAAGTTAAAAGTTTTTTCAGATCTGAGATGAGAAGAAAAAAAAAATCTTTAGAGACCAGCTTTGCAGAAGACTTTTGAGAGGTGGTGGTTTAAAAGTTACTACCATTGTTAGTGCTTATAAAAGCCCCAACTCTTTTGACCCGAGGACTCGTGCTTTCAGATGGTTGTTGTATCTTTGGGGACTGCTCCTGATTTGGGTGGATGTAGCTTTTCTGCAGAGGAAGGGGCATGTCATCCATATGGAGATTTTCAGGATAGTTCAGGGTATTTTGTGAACCAGACTTGGGACACAGGGTCTGATTACAGCTGTAGGTATGGTTTCTCCTGAGGGGGGTTGGAGTCAGATCCCAGGAAAGGGGTGCTGAGCCTTGGGGGGGGCCCCAATTCCACCTTAGCATGAAAATACCATTGCAGCAACAGAGTGTCTGTCTGACTGACTTCTCCTTCTGGTTCCTTAGGCAAATCCCTCTCCCTTCTCTCCCCACCCCCACTGGCTCCTACCCTGTTCTTTTACCCACTGTGGTCTTTAGACTTTTGCAAGGCTGTAGGATTTTGGGTGGATTTACACTTACTTTATATGATCTTCCCTGAGTGGTGCAGAGCTTGTTATGAGTGGTTCAAGACAAGGGAATGCAAACATTTCCTCTATTTGGCTTCAGAGAAAACTGTATCTTTTTTTGTTTGTACTTGATTTACCCTTTTGATTATGCCTCATATAAAATTTGTCTTTCTTGAGCAAACCCTGCTGGCTGGTGGGGGAAGTCCAGCATTAACCTCTGCCTCAGGTTACTCCAGAACAGCAGGCATGTAAGAGTGGTTGGGATTAGATGCCTTGTTCTTTTCTTTGTTGAGACACATGTCCAGGGAAATGGGTGGCAATGAGCAGTTCCTATGTTGGGGCTTTGGGAATTCCCCCTTCGGTGGCTTGGACACATAGTAGGCCCTCAGTAAACTGGACTGGCATTTCTTCACTGCTCCTCTTGCAAGGCTGGACCTCTCCCCCTTTACTCAGGTCCTCAACATCATTATCTGACCTGTGTATTTTATTCTTCTTCAGCCTCTCTTATGTGTGGGGCTCTGCCCTTGGCTCCAATTAGGAGAAGCATTTGGTTTCTTAACCAGTGGCTCCTGACAGTTTTGACTCAAGGGAGGAACAGGACACAAGGTGCCACAGCCCCTCTTGGTGGGATGGTGTTTCTTCCCTTCTCCATCCCTCTGGCTCTGTCCATAGTGTTTGTCACCCTCCCCCTCGGCTCCTTCTCTCTCTCTGCCTGCTCCTTTCCTCTCTGACTTCCTTTCTCTTCCCTCTCCCTCTGATCCCTGTTACTGTCTGCCCACCTCACCTCTCTGCTGCCTTCCTGCAGGCTCTGCTTTCCCATCTCTCCCTCCCTGTTCGAGGCCTCTCAGCCTCTGCTGTGCTCTTGTCTCACTGTCGACTCCTGTCTCCTCGCTGGGGTATAGTAGGAGCGTCACGGGGTTGTTTTTTTCTCCTCCTTTGCCTGTTAGAAGTCCCTCTGCTACACCCATACCATAAATAACACTGGAGCATCTGCCAAACACATTCCTCACTTGTGTTAATAGGCTGCAATGATGCTGGAGCCTGTTGCCATGGCAACCTCATTTTTGTTTGACTGTATCCCACTCTGCTACATAAAGCTTCTGCACGCACTCACACAAAAACAAGCATGCTCACACAACTATTACATATGCTTAGCTATTAACGATTATTTTGGAGAAGGTATCGTTGTGCCCTGTGGGGTGGGGTGGTCATTTGCACTCCAGGAGATTAGCAGCAGCTCTATGGTCTGGACTCTAGGTGATGATGGATGGAAGAGCTCTTTGAAAAGTGGAGAGTCCTGTTCAAATATGGGGTATTATTATTATGCATCCACATTCAATCTGCCTGACATGGTTTCTGAGGAGAAGATTCTGACCCCGCATGGGTCCCCGTGAGCTTGGGGGAGCCACTAGGGGTTTTCCCTGCAGTGTGGGACAACCCATCTCCCACCCCACCCTGTCTTTCCCCAGCTTCTTAGTGATTTCCTGCATTTCTTCTTTTGTGCCTATTTGAACCTACAACTGTCACCAGTTGTTCCAGTGATCAGAAAGGCACAGGCGCTGTGTGGGTGAAATTCTGTGACTGTGAGCACGTGTGTCTGTAGCGAGGAGACAAATGAGGGGTGGGGGTAGGAATATGGACCAAGAATCGAGGCTGTGGCTGTTCAGGGGTGCATGTGTGTACGTGAGCACGTGCGCATCTGTCTATCTGGTATGAGGCTGACCCAGGTGGTGGACGTGGGCCTGGGAAGCCTTTGTGTTAACTTTGAAAGGAGATCATGGCAGCCCTGTCCTGTTTATTCTTGGCTGGTAGTTGGCTTCCCCTGGCCGTTTGCTTTTCTGGTCCTGGGCCTTGATGGTTCTTCGGACCTCGACCTCTGGCTCCCCAGGGAAGTAAGTACCTGGGGCTCTTCTGACTCCATGGAGTCCCTTTCTTCTCTTTCAAGAACCTTTCCTGCTACCTACCTGCTCAGCAGCCCAGCCCAATGAGCCCCGCTGAAGAGCTGCCACCTTGCTCTGGAACTTGGCCCAGAGGCCTGTCTGGTGGATCACTCTGGCTGCCCCATGTGAGACGCTGGGTAGAGTGGAGGAAGACACACTTTCACCCACAGGCCCGGGTATTGTCTGCCACCAATTGCTTTCCCTATCACCTGCATTTCTGGATAGGAGAAATTCAGTGGCAGTGAACTTCAGCAGCAGGCTCAACCCCAGCGCAGCAGCAGGCTGGGGTTGGGGGTTGGCTTTGGGTTTCGAGTGGAGGAGGGTCTGCTTCTCTTGCCTCAAGGCTGACTGTATTTGCCGATTATATTTACTTATTGCTTATTAGATCGCCTCTTTCTCCCAAAAGCTAGGAGTGGGTATTTGGAGGAGAGCAGAAGTGGCTGGGGTGGGGGTCGTCTTCTAGATCCCTAGAGTGCCTTGATCCCTGGGGGAGGACTTCAGGAATGGCAGAGACTCAGCGGAGGGGCACAATGCCCAGCTGCTGTATTTGTGGGAATGTACACTGTTAATAATTCAATCTAAATGTTCGTCTGCAACAGGAGCATGAGTTCTGTGTGCTGTGGGACCCAGAACAGTGCGTTCATGTTTGTCTGTAAAGAGGACATGGATGATGCGTTAAACCCCATCAACCTCACAGAGAGTTTCAAAATCAGTTTATAATGCTTGGACAGGAACTCTCCTATTCATTCAAGCTCTGGCCATGAGTCCCTCTGTCCGAGGGTGTGGCTGGAGCACACGCAGGGTGGTGGCCCATGTTCGGGCCAGGCCTCCTCTCCCGCATGAGGCATGAATGGAACTGCCACCTTGGTCCTCACCAAACTGGGACCTGAGGAGGGAGCCTCCCGTGATGGCGCAGCCTCTTGCTGAGTGCCTTGCTGTCCGTGGCTGCCTGCTTGCTACTTCAGTTAACTTTATCTTGGTGGTGGGTGCAACCTGCCGTCATGTGTTTCCCAGGAGTGTAGCCTGTGTTGAGAAAGAAAAGTTTGCTCTGGGGGCTTCAACATGATGGTGCCCGTAAATCCTTTGGGTACAGTTACATAAGTGAGGCCCTAGCATCCTTGTCTCATCCATGCTTATCAGATGAGGGTAGCTGGCTCATGGAAGGCAGGATCAGTATTCATTCTGCTCCCAAACACAAAATTGCAAAATTGGAAAGCCCTGCTTTTTTTTTTTTTTTTCCTTCCTTAAGGCAATATCCAAATGTAGGACAGGGAAGATCTCTCTTTACAGCATTGTGAAGAAAATCTGGGGGTTTCTAGTTAGCGGACAGTGAGCTTAATGTGAGCCCGCATTTTGGGATGGCTGTTAGAAAAGGCCCACAGGATCTTGGTTAGGTTTATAGCCTTATCCAGTTCATCAGAGGATTGAGGCCTGGTCTGAAATACAACGGCCTCTGATTCTAGACTTCAAAGGAGAGTGACCAGTTTTGTAAGGGGAGTGGAAACTTCTGAGAGAGCATTTGAGAGAATGGAGGATATTTAGCTGGGAGAAAAGCAGACCATATCAGGTAAGAAAACCTAACGCGAAGGGCAAGGTGTTATTGCTGGGATCTCTGTTTTCAGATATTAGAAGAGGGACTAAATTATTTTCTGTTGCTCCCAAGGGTAGGCTTGTGGCAGATGGGTGGAAGTAGTAGACAGGTCTCAGCTCTAGGTAGATGACACCTTTCTAGCCATTGGGTTTGCAGCAGCCAAATCAGGTGCCTCTTAGGGTAGCCAGCTCTCTGTCAGTGGAGGTGTTCAAGTGGAGACTGGATGGCCACCTCCTTGGCTTGTTACTGAGGAAATTGACTGCTTGGTGAAAGTTTGGATGGGTCACTGACTGCATCATTGATTCTTAACTTTGGCTTATCATAATCACCTGGGAAGTTTTTGAAAAAATGCAGATTCACAGGCCGCACTGGGAAGGTACAACTTCCAAAGGTCTAGGGTAGGGCCCAGGAATGGATCTCTATTTAAAACAACTTGGAGCTGGTTTTCAAATCTCCCCAGGTGATTTTGATGACCAGCTCTTAGGTTTGGGATCATTGGCCAAGAAGACGGCTCAGGTTACACCTAAGCCTGGAATTCTGTGGGTCAGTGTCTTGCAACAGTGGCAAGACCTCCTAAAGTCCTCCAGGGTGTCCTCTTATCATGCCCATCTCAGCCCCTGTTTAAAAGAAGCACAATCAGTGCATACATGCAGACTTATTGGGAGGCATCCAGGTGGGGCTGGTGAGTGTGCACTAATGCACAGATGCAGATCTGGAAGGCGATTGGGTCATAGTGGTGGTGGTAAAACAGGATGAGAGGGATGATCAGCCCTGGACTCTCTCTTGCCCCCTCGCCCCAATCCCCCCTTCCTTTTTGAGGCAAAACAATCTGTGGCTCACCTTTTGAGGGGGAGGTTAGTAGAAAGATGGGCCTAGGTTTGACTTCTGGTTTATTCATTCGTCTGGTGAGTGGGTATGAAAACCTACTGAGGACATCCCAGATCCAGAAGGGATGGTATAGAGTGTGGAGAATGAGGAAGTCAGGGGGTGGAGGAGCAAGACAGGCGATGGGGAAGAATTCCGAGGTGGTGTGAAGGAAGGGGAGTGTGCCTTAAAGAAAGGAAGAGGAGATTGGAACTGTGAGTATGAGGAGGGTAAGGACTTGGAAGTGGGGGTAGGGCTGTTCTCTGGGAACAATGAGATATGGTCACAAGAGAAAGGGGGGGTGGTTAGACAAACAAACACAAGGAGACAGTAGAGGCTTTATTCTTTAGGCTAGCCTCATGTGTCAGTGTGAAACTGTAATAGGCCCCCCTCCCTGCCCACTACCTCTTGCTCTGGTCGGGTTATGAGCTGCTGCATCTGGGCTTGTGGCCTCCTGACCTCACACTTTCATGGTCCCCTCTGCCTTCCCCTTCAGGGCTCCCTGGGCTTTATCACAGAACTCACTGAGGTCCCACCTTGTCTTTTGGAGGGAATCCTGAGGGACCCAGTGCCTCACCTCCATCAGTGCTCAGCACACAGTAGGTGCTCAGTGAGGGTTTGAATGAACAAGCAAATGAATGAATGGGTGGTGGGGTGGGTGGACGTCTGCACGCAGACTCTAAGCTCTGCCGAAGTGCTAGACCAACACCTCCACAGAAGGAAGCGACGCAGCTCGGCTTGGAAGCCTATTTTGGTGGGTTGTAATCCTAAACTCTGAGCAGGGCTTCCAAAATCCCTCCTGCTGCAATTTAAAATGTGTGCCTTCTTAGAAACAGAGAGCTGTTGCCTGGCACTGCCGATACTATATCACTTAACAGATTTGAAAACCATCATTAAGTCGTTCTTTCAGCCTTCTCCCTATTTGTTCAGATAATAATCATTTATTAGGTGCCTACCTTATAATAGGCACTGTCTAGGCCATGGGGTTGCAAAGATGACGGGTTGTGGCTCTGAGGACCGCCTTCAGCCCAGGCTCTCCCACTAAATGTGTCCCTTGGAGGGCTGTTCATAGATGTCTCACATACAGTAGTCCCTCCTTATCCAAGGGGGATACAGCCCAAGACCCCCAGTGGATGCCTAAAATCGTGGATAGTACCAAACCCTATATAACATTATGTTTTTTTCCTGTATATCTATACTTGTGATAAAGTTTATAAATTAGTCATAGTAAGAGATTAACAATAATTAATAATACAATAGAACAGTTTTGATGATATACTGTTCAGAGTTTCAGACAGAAGATTTGTTCTTACCGTAGATCTTAGCAACCTCAGCGTATGATTTTTTTCTTTCCTTATTAAGTTGAGAACTTTTACATTTTCCCTTAAAGAAAGCACTTTAGGGCTGGGTGCGGTGGCTCATGCCTGTAATCCCAGCACTTTGGGAGGCCAAAGCAGGCGGATCATGAGGTCAGGAGATCGAGACCATCCTGGCTAACACGGTGAAACCCCGTCTCTACTAAAAATACAAAATACAGGCGTGGTGGCGGGCGCCTGTAGTCCCAGCTACTCGGGAGGCTGAGGCAGGAGAATGGCATGAACCCAGGAGGCGGAGCTTGCAGTGAGCCGAGATTGCGCCACTACACTCTAGGTGGGTGATAGAGCGAGACTCCATCTCAAAAAAAAAAGCACTTTAGGGTCTGGGCACAGTGGGACCAGGCACAGTGGCTCGTGCCTGTAATCCCAGCACTTTGGGGGACTGAGATGGGAGGATCGCTTGAGTCCAGGAGTTTGAGACCAGCCTGGGCAAAATAGTGAGACCCTGTCTCTACAAAAAATTTTTTAAAAAGGTTAATCAGGTGTGGTGGAACGCACCTATAGTCCTAGCTACCTGGGAGGCTGAGGTGGAAGGATCTCTTGAGCCTGGGAGGTCAAGGCTGCAGTCAGCTGTGATCATGCCACTGTACTCCAGTCTGGGCAGCAAAGTGAGAGACCCTGTCTCAAAAAAATAAAAAGGAAAGGAAGAAAGTGCTTTAGAGCTTCTCTTTGGCATATCCAAACTGCCAGCATCACTACGCTTGCACTTTGAGGACATTATTAAGTAAAACAAGGGTTCCTTAAGCACTGCAGTACTGTGACAGTTGATCTGATAACTGAGCCTGCTATGGGGCAGGGGTAGGTATCATGTACAGCGTGGATCTGCTGGACAAAGGGATATTCATGTCCTGGGCAGGGTGAAGCAGGACAGGGAGGTTTCATCACTCTACTCAGAATGGTGCACGGTTTAAAAGTTAGAAATTACTTATTTTTGGAATTTTCCAGTGAATATTTTCAGACCGTGGTTGACCATGGGTTACTGAAACCGCGGAAAGCAAAACTGAGGTTAGAGGGGGACTATTTTACACACACATGGTGTGTGTCAAATAAATTTAGGAAATATTGGATTAAACAGAATTCTTAGGCATTAAAGCTTTTAATATGTAATGGGTATAAGAATTTGCCAAGAGGGGGTTATGGCACGAAGCCTTTTTCAAACACATTTGACTCCAGCACCATTTTCCGAAGGAACCTACTGCGGGGAGGGCATTAGTGTTTGTTAGGACACGCTTTAGGATACAATTCTTCAGGGGCTGGGAGGAGCCTTGAAGTTTCTCAAGATCTAGCCCCTTGCCTCTGGGCCAGGCCTATCCGAAGGCATCTAGATGGGGGCATTTGTTTGGTGGCTCTCCTCCCTCAGGGAGGAAATTGCTTAGACTGCATCAGCCTGCTGCCTGCTTTCAAGTCTCATTCTCCATCTGGGTCAGAAATCCTTTATAAAATAAATTGAGGGGGCTGGCAGGGACTGGGGAATGCCTCCTTGATTTTGCATCAGTTTCTTTTAGGAATTTTCTGCTGTTGTTAGACATCGGAAGAGGTTGGGTCTGCACAATGACCCTTGGTGGGCTTGGGGTCCCTTGAATGTCTTTCTGGAACTTTTCCTAAGCAAGGCACTGAGTGCGTGGCTGCCCATGGGGAAGTAGTGTCGGACCATTCCAGATCAGCCTTCCCCAAATGTTTCTTTCCCATCCCCACTCTCCAAAAGGAGGAAGCTCATAAAGTATATTGATGATAACCTGTAGCTTATATTGAGTCTTTACTGCAAACCTGGCACTGGGCTAATCCCTTCCATGCATGACCTCATCTAATCTTCATGTCATCCTTATGAGGAAGACATTTTTTATTCCGATTTTTAAAATTCTACACCGCTGCAGAAACTGGGATAAGAGAAGGTAAGTAACCTCCCCAAGGTCACACAGCAAGCTTGTGACAGATGGTTCAGCACCCTGCCCATATCCCCTGGGCATGTACCTTTCACTCATACCAGCCAGACTTCCAGCTGAACCTGGAACCTGAGGGAGAGAACCTGAGGGCTTTCTCTGGCCTTAAACCTTGGGGCCTGCTGATAGGGTAGGTCAGAAGTGCCAGGGAGTTACTTCCTGAGAGCAGCATTCAACCAGTGGCTGTTGGGCACTGGTAGACGAATGCCCCAGCTCGTTTGACCTCGGGGTTGGGGGAATCTTATTCTGAGGCTGGTGTTCTGCATGGTCTCCTAGAACTCTCTGCAAGGATTAATCTCTAATGGCTCACAGTGGTTACAGGCTTAATAACACACTCTTCTTTTTGGGGGCTTTCTTTCCTTCCTTTCTCATTTCTCCACTCCCCTACTCCCCTCCTAATGTTTCCCGGGGTCACCTCCCAGAAAAGTCACTTGTACTCAAATCCTTGTCTCAGGGGCTTTTTCTAGGAGAATCCAAACAGAAAGTGGAGAAGCCTGCATTCTAACCCAGGTCTGACTTGAACACCAGGGAGGTGGGGAGGCTGCTTACTAAGGACGAAAATGCATATGAAGTGCAGACCTCCGTGGCAGGATTGGATCCCTGGCCCTGCCTTGGGCCTCTCTCTTCCATTTGATAGCATGTGCTTATCAACAGCTGATTGGTTGCTGGACTTGAGGAATGATATGAAATTTAAAAGTTTTTACTTTACTTATTTTTAAATTTATTATTATTATTATTTTTTGAGATGGAGTCTTGCTTTGTCACCCAGGCTGGAGTGCAGTGGCATGATCTTGGCTCACTGCAACCTCTGCCTCCTGGGTTCAAGAGATTCTCCTGCTTCAGCCTCCCAAGTAGCTGGGACTACAGGCATGCCCCACCATGGCTGGCTAATTTTTGTATTTTTAGTAGAGAAGGGATTTTGGCATGTTGGCCAGGCTGGTCTCGAACTCCTGACCTCAGGTCATCTGCCCACCTTGGCCTCCCAAAGTACTGGGATTACAGGTGTGAGCCCACCATTCCCAGCCAAAAGACAGTTTTTTTAAAAGACAAATTACTGTTTTTGAATTTTTGCTTTGAGACAAGGTCTTACTCTGTTGCGCAGGCTAGAGTACAGTGGTATGATCTTGGCTTACTGCAACCTCTGCTTCTGGGGCTCAAGCAATCCTCCCACCTCAGCCTCCTGAGTAGCTGGGACTACAGGTGCACAACACCATGCCCAGCTATTTTTGGTAATTTTTTAAAATAAAAATGGGGTCTTGGCCAGGTGCAGTGGCTCACACCTATAATGCCAACACTTTGGGAGGCTGAGGCGGGCGGATCACGAGGTCAGGAGATTGAGGCCATCTTGGCTAACACAGTAAAACCCCGTCTCTACTAAAAATATAAAAAATTAGCTGGGTGTGGTGGCACGCACCTGTAGTCCCAGCTACTTGGGAGGCTGAGGCAGGAGAATCGCTTGAACCCGGGAGGCAGAGGTTGCAGTGAGCTGAGATAGCACCACTGCACTCCAGCCCAGGTGACAGAGCAAGACTCCATCTCAGAAAATAATAATAATAATAATAATAATAATAATAATAATAATAATAATAATAATAAAAGGGCTCTTGCCAGGTTGCCCAGGCTGGTCTTGAACTCCTGAGCTCAAGCAATCCACCTACCTTGGCCTCCCAAAGTGCTGAGATTATAGGTCTCAGCTGATTATAGGTCTCACCACGCCCAGCTGAATTTTTACTTCTTAAAAATGTGTGGCTTTCTGTGCCCTTTTTCATTTATACTCTAACCTGTCTTCAGGTTCCTAAGCTGCTGTTATAAGGTGGCAGCAGAACTTGTGGCCTTAAAAAAAAGGTTTTCTTAGTATGAGAAACAAGGACCCTTGATTTGGGGCATCTCATGCAGGTTCTGAAAGAAGTTATGTGCTGACTAAAGGGCCTGCCAGCTTCCTGGAGAGGCTGTGACATCTCTTGGTCAATGGAGGACTCCGTCATTGGTTAAATCTTCTACTGGAGTCTGCAGGGACCTTGTGTGTGGAGGCAGTCTCTCTTCAGCATTTCTCTAGTTTTGGCGCTACTATTCAGATGAAACCAGCCCACACCACTGTGCTCAAGCATCTAAAACTCAGTTGAGTTCAAGTCAGTGCTGCCTTACGTATTTATTTATTTTTTGAGACAGGGTCTTGCCCTGTTGCCCAGGCTGGAGTGCAGTGGTGCAATCACGGCTCATTGCAGCCTTGACCTCCTTGAGCTCAGATGATTCTTCCATCTCAGCCTCCCAAGTAGCTGGGACTATAGGCATGCGCCACCAGGCCCAGCTAATTTTTGTGTTTTTTGTGGAGATGGAGTCTCACTATGTTGCCCAGGCTGGTCTTGAACTCCTGGCCTCCATCAGTCTGCCTGCCCTGGCCTCCCAAAGTGCTGGGATTATAGGTGTGTGCCACTGCGCCCAGCCTCAGTGCTCACTTATTAAGCTCTTACTGTGTGTGGCATATACCCAAAGGAGTGAAACATAGCCCTTGCCAGAGAGGGGATTGTCACATATTAGTGGGAGACCTAGGCCCGGGTCCTTTTGAGGGTCCCTGTGTCATCCTGCATGGTCTGTTAGGGTTAGGGTTAGGTTTAGGGTGGTTGTATGGGTAATGGAGCGAGGAAGGGAAGGTAGGGCTATAGACAAGAGATTTCTTATCCTGGGTGCACCTTTGAATCCCCTGGGGAGTTTTGAAACTATACCTTAACAAGGCCCACCCCAGATTATTTATATTTAACTCTCGGGATGAGGCTTGGGCACTCCTAGGGTTGAGACCTGGACTAGACAGTGGCTCAAATACCAGCCAAAAGGCTCAAATACCTTTATATTTAATTAGCATTTTTTGGGTGACAAAGGACTTGTTTATGTGTGATCTCATTTGCTTCTCATGGCAACTCTGACGAGGTGATGTGTTAAAACAAGATAACCATTGGCTTTGGGGCCTAGAGGCCCAGGAGATAACCCTGACTGTGTAATCCTGGCAGAGTTGCCCTAACCCCTTTTTAGTCCTTTTTCTCTCCTGTATACACTGGGGGTGATAGATTCCTGATTGACTGGATCTGTTCCTGGGTGCCCCAAACAATTTAATGCAGGTGAGGGCACTCTGTAAGCTGTGAGGCGGGTTACAGACCTGTGATGCTGATGTGGTTTTGGAGAGGAGGAAATAAGAGGCTCCGAGAGGTGAACCGACCCCATTCAGGTTACATTGCTAGTTAGTTAACTTTGGAGCTGCTGTACAAATTCAGATCTCTGACTCCAAACCCAGTGCTCTTTTCACAGTTAGGGCAGTGCTAGGTCCTCCCTGTGGTGCTTTCAGAAGCTGTGTGGAGGGCCCAGCTGCTCTCAGGCAGTTGTCTCAGTTTGGTTTCGGAATGCATGGCTTTTTATTTGTGATGGCCCTCCTTTCCCCATGGTGTCTGGCTCAGACGGGCATTAAATGGGTTGTCATTTCCTGAGCCGGCATTGGTGCTGTGCTGAAGTGTTTGTTTAGGGGGCAGCTGGGATCAACTGTTTACCTATGAAGAGCTTCTGAGTGGTTTTATGGATGACTGAGTAGGGACTGAGACCCAGAAGAGGTATCAGAAGTGATGTTACAACTGCTCAGCTCTGGGGTGAGGCTGCCGCACAGCCCGTCTTCTGGTGGCATAAGTGGGACAGGGAGGGAAGGGAGGAGGCTGCTGGGGACCCATCAGGATCACCTCTTGGTACAGCCCTGGAAGTCTGACCCGGGGTCTCTCTGTTGAGTAGTATTCAGTAGATACGAAGCTTGGTGCTTACTAGAGCGTTTCTAGGGTGTCTCTAAAGCCCAGTTCCCCAGCACCATCAACACCCTAAGAAATACCCCAGCATCCTTTAGCTGTGTTTCAGATTCACTTTTGTTCCTGTCGCTCTTCTCAAGAAAACTAAAGGAAAATGAAACTCGTTTGCTAAGTAGATCTTTGAGATTATATTTTTACATTTTCTTTTGGGGATGGGACGGCTGTTTGTTCACTTAGTGTGCCCTAGTCCCCAGTCTTCCTCTGGCCAAGTCCCTTTCCCGTAAGCATTTCACCACGCTGAGTGGAAGGAATCCATCTGCCCCCTTGACTGGCTCCCTGTAGGTGATGCCAGCTGGGAAGTGTCTTGGCTCTGGTACCTCAGCTGAGCAGGCTGCAGAGGGACAGGGGCCTGAGCTGAGTCCTGGGTGAGCAGTGTGGGCTTGCACCCCTCTGGGGCCCTGCCTGCCTTTGTGGCATCTGACACCGCCAATCTAAATTGGAAACATCCCCTTCTTTTTCTCTGTAGCACTTATGCTGGTTTGTAATTTTTCTCGTTAGGTTTGTTTATGTGTCTTTCCACTGGACTGTTGGCTGTCTGAGGTCAGGGAGCTTGTCTCTTTCAATCCCCAAATATTTACTGAGTGTTATTGATTTTTAGATCCCTACTTGCCCAACACTGTGGGAGGAAGGCAGATAGTGCCCATTCTCAGGTTCCACAGGAGTTCTGACTTTGGCAGGAAGGGGTCCCTCTGGGTGCTTCTTCCCTGGGCTGGCATCTCCTCTACCAGAGCCCCACCTCTCTTCCTTGTGCCTGGGCCCTGCCTTAGAAAACACTGGTTTTCAGCTGGGTACAGTGGCTCACACCTATAATCCCAGCACTTTGGGAGGCAGAGGCAGGAAGATTGCTTGAGGCCAGGAGTTAGAGACCAGCCTGGGCTACATAGCAAGTCCCTGTTTCTACATAAAATGAAAAAATTAGCTAGGCAAGGTGGCATGTACCTGTGGTCCCAGTTAGGAGGCTGAGGCAAGAGGATCACTGGAGCCCAGGAGGTCGAGGCTGTAGTGAGCTGTGATCGCGCCACTGCACTCCAGCCTGGGCACGGAGCAAGACCCTGTCTAAATAAAAAAATAAATAAAAATAAGTAAAAAAATAGGAAACACTGGTTTTCATCTCCTCTCCCTTTCTAGGATCCGCCACTGTGCTGTCAGGCCATGTTGGGAGGGGCTGTGTTGCACCATTTTTCTCTCCCTCCACCCGGTTCCTTCTCCAGTCTTTCTTCTGGTGTCTTTTCCTGCCTGCTGCCTCCTCCCCACTTCTCTCTTTGCAGCTGTTAAGAGATGCGGGAGGACCTCAAAGACTTGACAAGAGGCAAGTTCCTGGGCATATTGAAGGACAATAAATGTGAGTGTGGATCAGTACACAAATTCCAAAGAGGATTGTTTATTCTTTTCAAAGCAGTCCCAGGAAATAGCAGTTCCTGCAGTGCCTTTTCAACTTCCTTGTAGTTTATTGCCATGTATTATGGTGCATGTGTCAGCCTCAATTTTTCACCTTGAATGCCCAGGGCTGAGACTTAGGCTTTCTGGCTGGGTTAACCTCAATGAGTCCGTCAGAGCTTAAGGTGTGGGAAGTAAAGGTACGTCAAGGAGCTTTCACCTAATCCCGGTGCCCAGGTACGTCGGCAGTGGCTGGGCATCAGCGTTTTGTAATGCTGTGGGTGATTCTGTTGTGCGCCAGGATTGAGAACTACTGCCCTGAGCCTCCCTCATCAGCGGAGGGGTCATGTGATGACACCGAGTCTGATTTATGGCTGTATTGAAAGGCAAGTTGTTTATATCTAAGGGGTTTATTGTGGTGATTCAGTAAGGAGTGATGGCCACTAAAAATGATTGCAGGCGTGTAAGAGGGGAAGAAAACTTGGTTGGTGGTTGGTATAAAAACCTTGTCAGGCAAGGCTGTGGCTTAGTATATTTATGTTGCTCTTATCACCAGCAATTAACCCCAAATGTGGCTGGATAAATGGCTTAGTGCAGTGCTATAATAACTGCAAGAATATTTTAGGAAATGACTGTTACACATGGCTGATAGACTGACCATCTTAGCAGAGCAGCAAACCTCACTCAACATTCCTGAAGGCTTGTTAGCTACAAACAAATGCCTATTGATCCGTCAAATATTAACTCTATTAGCTCTTTCCTCCTCTCTCTCATTTTTTTTTTTCTTTTGAGAGAGGCTTGCTCTGTTGTCCAGGCTGGAGTACAGGGCTATTCACAGGCACAATCATAGTGCATTACAGTGTTGAACTCCTGGGCTGAAGTGATCCTTCTGCCTCAGCCTCCTGAGTAGGGGGGATATGATATTTCACTGTTGAGTAGGGAGAAATTGTATAAACACCTGTGGCCTTAATACCCTCAGCAGTGTTCATTAGTCTTTGTGAATCTGTCTTTGACTCCGCTGTAAACTAGAAGTGTCTGTAGTAGATGCTCAATAAATAGCTGCTGGCTGGATGAATGAATTTGCTCCAGTTTACTCAACAGGTAGATAGCAGTGTTAGTCCGGCACTAGTACTTTTTCTTCACCTCTGTAGCTCATGAGAAGCACAGAATTATATAGCCGGCAACTCCCCATATGCGTTTGTTGTTAGCATGTGTGGCCAAGACTAGGAAAGTTAAGAAAGGTGATGTGCAGGGTGAGGAAAGGATGGGGCTTGTACCCTCAGAGGATTTCCTTCCTGTCCACTGTGTGGACAGTTATTTTCTAGCACCTTTGGATCAGGGCAAGAAGGGCAAGGACCCTTCTGCTGCAGGTCCGGGCTCTGGGAGGACAGAGAAGCAGATGAAGTTGGGGTCTGTCTGAGGACTGAAAAGGTTGGCAAGCACCAGCTGTGGGGCTGGGACCTGGGGCCTGGGAAGCATCCCTAGTCAGGACAGGGAGATGTCCTCAGGTTAAATCCTCCACGAATGACCACATGTGGATTTGTGATGTGGTCTTTCTTTGGAAAGGGGTTATCTGGGGAGAGTTAATTTTGGATTTTGCTTTACACTTATTTTTAAAGTGGAATATTTCTCCAGCATTGGTGACAATGGCCTAGAAAAGCCCGTTAGTCACCATCTGACATCTTCCCCGTGCGGGGTGTTGCTGCCTTTGCTTCTTTCCCACCTGACGCCTGTGGGGCTGATTTCGGTCCTCCTTCTCCGAGGCCTCGGGGTGATTTCACTGGCAGACAGTGCTGTGGGGAACTCCTGCTGGGCCTGAAGTGGTGTCAGCCTCTGCTTCCATCCTGGGGTGTCCGGGAGCCAGGCAAGCTTGTGGGGTGGTGGGGAGCCACATCGGAGGATGCGATGGTGTCTAGGTGAGGCCTGTCCCTGTGAGTCCAGATCTGTAAGGCTGAGTCCGGCCTGTATTCCCCACAGTCTTTTTGCTCTTTGTTTTCCCTCTGTGTCTTCTGGAAATCACCCTCAGTCTGGGACTTAAGGAACAGGTCTAGTTTATCTTAAGGGAACTGAAAGATATGGAATGCTCATCCTGTGTTCCCTGGGTCTCCTCTAGGTTCCTTTGTGGAGCAGGAAGAGGGTCTCCATGTGTTTGCCGTGGACAGATGTGGGAGGCTGTGCTGAGGGCATGGGGGAATGGAGGAGATGCTGACCTGCATGCTTTGTCGAGAGGTGGGAGAAGGGCTGAGGCCGGCATTCACTCCCTTCCCAGGCCGAGCTGCCCCCGCTGACACTCCTGCTGGGTCTCCACACCCCACCCCCAGGGCAGCCGTTGGGGCAGGTGAGCTGGGGAGGAACAGTTGGGGTTGGACGTGGGTATGGGGTGGGGCAGCCTCTTCCCCAGCAGAGTGTGGTTGCTCAGAGTCTTGGTTTTTTCAGAAGCTGAGAAGTCTGGACTGGCCACACAGGTGGGATATGCCACCCTGATGGTGCATATGCAGCCCATGCTCTCCACCTGCTGTCCCCTGACTACACCTGCCCCCTGCCCTCTTGAGGATGGGCCATCAGGTGGTTTTAGAGGAAGATGCCTCACTCTGTCACTGTCATTCTGTTGCTCTGTCACTTGTGAATGTGGCAGCCTCTGTGTTTCTGTGAACTCCAGGCCCCGAGTGAAGAAGCCTTCAGGATGCTGCGTGATTGGCAGGTGGGGGTGGGTGGGTCGTGCTCCTGAGATGAGGGAGCTTACTTTGCCTTCTGCTCTGAGGAGAGGCAGACTTTGTGGTCTCAGATGAGGGGGCTGAGCACAGGCACTCACTGGGGCAGGGTTGGGGGGATCCTCCTTTTATCTGGGGTCCCCTCTGGATTTGGAAGTATCCTAATAGCCAGCCAGGTGTGGGATGGACCATGGCATCTAGCGGTCTTTGGGAACAGCAACTCTTTCTTTTCCATGCCACAGCCTGTGCACTTTCCTAATGAGCCCCTAGGGCTCTGGGCATGGAGAGGAAACAGGAGGCTTTGTCCCTGCCTTTGCAGAATGTTCGGTCTGATGGAAATCTACTTTTGGGAGATGCCCAGCCTAAAAATAATAGGCAATACAAATACTGCCAATCCCTATCATTTATGACACGCAGAGTGTCAGGCATGGTGCTGAACACTTAGTAGCTCATTTGACCCTCATAATCTCCCATTAGGTGGCTATTGTCTTTTTATTTTTCTTCAGATGAGAACCTTTTATAGATAAGGAAATTGAGGTTCAGAGAAGCTAAGTGACTTGCTTAAGGTTGCACAGTTAAAAAGTGGTATGATAGGGCTCCAGTGCTCGCACTCTGAACTACTACTCCAATAGCTCACAAACGTAGGTGTGCAAGAATTCCCCAGGAACTCCGTTTAAAAATTTGATTCCTGGGCCCCTCGTCAAGAGAGTCTGATTCAGTGAGTCTGGAGTAGAGCCCAGGAATCTGTATCCCAAATAGGCACCCCCCGCAAATTAGAGGCATGTGCCCTGGGGATGCAGTTCTACCATCCAGTGCTCTTCCCAGGGGGAGAACAGATTGACGTTATCAGGTTCTCCTTTCCCTGAAGTGATGGGGAGTCCCAGGCCCCTCTGAGAGACAGAAGTTTCTATGTTCACTGCACCAGGAGGTGGGCTCAGGAAAGGCACAATATGATGGTTAGATTGAGAGTGGAGGGGAACTTCCTGCTGAGCCTATGCCTGGTGATTCTCAGAGGACAGGGCTAGAGGAGGCTTTGGAGGACGCAAGGGAGCGAGGAGATGGAGACACTGTAATCCAGAGAGCAGGAGCTAGGAGGTAGCCTGGTAGCAGAACCTATGTCAACAGCCAGAGAGAGGAGGCAGACAAAGGGATTTTCAGGTGACTGCAGGGACACCAATTGTTACACTACAGTGCATGACTGCAGGCACAAAAGTCCTGGCAAGAAGACATCCACCCCTGCCTCAGTTTCCTTGTCTGTACAGCAAGATCAGATGGTCCCTGAAGGTCCTGCCTGTGTGTGCCATAAAGGGTGCCCTTGGGTCAAATAAGAAGGGACTGTACTCCAGGGACCGGGAGTGCTATGGGGACAAAAGTACTACAAACCTGGAGAAGCAGAGAGTCACAAGGCCAGGTGGCGCATGGTTCTCACATATTTCTTTCTAGACTCGACTTCAGACATGGGTCCCTGTCCGTTGATCCTCCTAGTCACTGTCCCTCCATTTGCTTGAACCTAGCATGCCTCCCAACAAAATTCCTCATCATCCCTAACTTGACTTTATTTTCGTTATTATCAGTTCTCTCTTTGCCTAGGTGCCTGTGTTAAATGATTGTTGGGCTGAATTATTTAACAAATATCTACCATGTGTTAGGCACTGGGAAACCAAGATGAACAAGCCACAGACCCTGTCCTCAACAGCAAACCTGTAAATAACTGCCACCTGTGTCAAGCTGTGTTCTAATTACTTCTGTTAACTCAGTTAATCTCCACAGTAGTCCTATGAAGTAAGCACTGATATTGTCACCCACATCTTGCAGATGAGGACACTGAGTATGGCAGGTTAAGTAACTTGCCCAAGCTCACACAAGGAACTGGGCAGCCTGACTCTGGGGTCTGGCCTCTTATACATCACCACCTCCCAAGTCCAGTGGAGGGTCCTAGGAGACTTCCCAAAAAAGATGTTCTCTGAGCCAGCTTAGAGGATGAATAGGGATTTCCATGTGCAGAGACATGGGAAAGGGCAACCCTCACACAGGTAACAGCAGGAGCGAAGGCATGGTGGCAAGAGACTAAACCAGGGGCCAGGGAGAGTGGCCAAGGAATATGGTGGAAAGGCGAGGCTGGCTGGTAAGTGGGACTGGGTTGGGAAGTGTATAGACTTCTGCGCCAATACATTTGGGTTTGTTGGAGGGAAAGGAGATTTCTAGAAAGCTGTGTGTAGGAGAGTAAATAGATATGGTCCCACCTGTGATTAGAAAGGTGGGTCTAGTGTTAGGGCATGGAGGTGGTCTACAGAGGGAGAGCCTAGAGGCCAGTGATGGGTATGCTGGCTGCTGCCCTTGTCCAGGGAGGCTGGAGGAGGCCCACTGAGGGAGCTGGAGGGCTAGGGACACAGGGAGCCCCTGGGCATCTGCCTATTAGTGTCTTTCTACCTTGGTTACCAGTGGCACTAAAGCTTGTCCCTAATGTCCCCCAATCAGGAGATCCTCCCTAGCCTCTGGGGAACCAGATATCACCTCTTCCCCAGGGGACTTGGATGGATCCCAAAGGCCTTCCTCCTTTTCTTGGGCTTTAAATATCCCATGACAGCCTCCTTCCTTCAGATTCCCAGGGCTCTGCCTTCATCCAGGTGTTAAGCACCCGAAGAGTCAACCTCCTAGCTTCTCCTCCCTCTGGGAGCCCCCACTGAGTGCCTCTGAGGACCTCATTCCTTGGACCCTGGTGTCTAGGGCACCCCAAGCCCCAGCAGAGCTCCTGGTACTCCTACAGGCTCCTTGCGCCAACCTCCACATAGCTTCCTTTCTCAGGGGCTGCCTGACAAAGTATGTACTTAACTCTTCTGTTTATTCCTTGCCCTCCTTCCGTCCATAACCTCTTTAGAATGTCAGCTCTGGCCAGGCGCAGTGGCTCACGCCCGTAATCCCAGCACTTTGGGAGGCTGAGATGGGCAGATCACCTGAGGTCTCCTAGGAGTTTGAGACCAGCCTGCGCCAATGTGGTGAAACCGTGTCTCTACTAAAAATTAAAAAAAATTAGCCTGGCTTGGTGGCGCACGCCTGTAGTCCCAGCTACTCGGGAGGTTGAGGCAGGGGAATTACTGGAACCCAGGAGGGGGAGGTTGCAATGAGCCAAGACCACACCACTGCACTCCAGCCTGGGTGACAGGGCAAGACTCTGTCTCAAAAACAAACAAACAAACAAACAAAAACAAACAAAAAAAAAACACAAAAGAAAAGAAAAAGAAAAAAAAAGAATGTCAGCTCCTACAGGTAGGAACTTCATCCTGTTCACTGCTGTCCACCCCCATGTTGCCATGCTGCAGGGTGTTTCTCCTTGGCAAGCGCCCTGCCCTTTCTGGGCTTTAGTGCTCTCCTCCATGAAATGAGATATCATGATGCCTGCTCCCCAGAGGGTTGTGTAGAGCATTACCTGTGATGATATAAGCAGAGCACTTAGCACAGGGACTGTACAAAGCCCTCAATAAATGACCTGGGGTCTGTCCCAAATGTGGATGGTTTGTACTTTTAAATTCCCACACATTCCAGGAGAGCTTGTGTTTCTCTGGACTGCCTGTATGTTTGGATGGCAGTAAACAGGCAAGAAGAAAACTGCACTACCTCCAAAAAGAAGTGGAAGAAGAGCTAGGTCCTGGGTCATGGGTTTTACCCTCCCCTGGCCCTGTCCTTATTCTGGCTGCTGGCTACCAAGTGACCAGCACAGACCTTCCAGGAGCCAGGCTGCCCCTAGAACCTGACTGGGACCAGCTTGTAAGCTGGGGCCAGGGCTCCCTGGGGTGAGTGGTGTGAACTGGGGGGTGGGCTGGGCCAGGTCCTCCTGAATCTGGGGGTGGCTGCAGCTGAGGGAGGCTGTGGCGAGGTCAGCCCTGTGACCAGCATCCCTTCTGGGGACTGCTCTAGAGGATCTGGTAAATAAGCTGTGGATGGTTTTGAAAGGGCTGGGGCCACTGGGACAGAGAGGAAAGCCATACAGCTGCTTCTTCCAGATGTACTTCCTTCTGTAACTTCATCAAGACATGCACACATGCAGTGGAACACAATGAAACCACCCACAGACCACCAGAGGCCTCAGTGCTGAGAGAGCTCTGAGCCTGTGAGGCCTGTTGCAGAGAAGGTGGCACATGGCGAAGACCTGAGACATCAAATGGGACACCCGAGGGATCTGGCGAGGGCTGTTGATAACCGAGACAATAAGCCCAATCCCTTTCCCCCAAGTGAGTGTCTAGGTGAGGCAGGACCCATGCCTGGAGTGTGACGTTGTAATGATGTCCAGAACATTCCTTTGGCTGGTTGGACCTGTGAACACAGGGCTGGCCAACTGGGTGGATGGTTGGAGAACTGCTGGCAAGCGGTCTGCCAGCTTCCTGCCCATCCATAACCTGTGTGCACCAGGATGGGCCCCTCTCTGCAGTGCTCAGTTACCCTAACATTGAGAGGGGGCCCCTCATGCCTGGGCTGCACTCAGGATGCCTGGGGAGGGGGTGTGCCAGTGCGCCAGAAGTCACAACAGACCCTGACCCTGGCTGAAGGAGTCAGTCTCGAAATGAACCTTTTTTTCTTTTTGGCTAAATTAACATTTGGCATTTCAGGGTGCTGGCCCCACGCCCGGCCTCTCTGGCCTTCTGCCTGTCAGCTCCTTTGAGGCTATTTTTGCCATTCACTTATTTATTAACTATTATTGCTCCCCAGGACAGATGGGCACATGGGCATGCTGACATGCGCGCGTGCGTGCATGCGCGCACACACACACACACCCTTCAAACCTGGAGCCCATTAGAAAAGCCAGTGTGTACTGGCCAGGCTGAACATGGGGTGGAGAAGGAGAAGCCATCAGGAGGACGGTCATTCTGGGTAAGGCTGGAGGAAGGGCTGTAAGGGTGGTAGGAGGCAGCCACCTCCTCAGAAATGCCCCCAGCCACCAAGGCCTCGCTGTGCTTGTTCTAGCCCTCAGAGGAGTTCAGCCCTGGGAACGGCTCATGTGTGAGAGGACTGTGCATTCTGCCTGGACCATCTTTCCAGGGAAATTGGCATGGGGAATTGGGACCTCTGAGCACCCCCTGCTAGGATATAGGAGAGCACTCGCCTTCCCCCTGGGGAGGCCCCAAGGTCTGCTTCTCTGCCTGACCCCACCAAACCCCCATCTTGTAGAGGAGGGAAACTTGGCTCCTGCCTTCAGAGAGCTCCCAGCCCAGGACTCTGCTCATGAAAGGAGCAGGCTTGGGTCTGTCTCAGCATCTGAGAGCAAAGGGTATCAGAAGGCACAGGCCTGAGCGGAGGGGCAGCGTGTGCCCAGCCCTGCCCACCATTCCATCTCAGAGCAAATGCCCACCCCTTGGCCCCCACAGTCCCACGTGCGTGTGCACAGTGCAGACACTTGAGTGCCATGGGATAATCCTCATGCTGGCTTCCAGTCTCCTTGTCTCAGGCCCAGCCATCTGCTCTAGGACGGTGGCCTCACCATGTTTCTCCCACACCTGGCACCGGGATGCTCAAAGGCCAGCATGGAACCACAGGGAGGACAGAATGAAAAGCGAGACCTTCTGCCATAGGCTGCCCAAGGCCTCTCACTGGGCGTTGGCCTGTGTGTGGAAGAGATGGGAACGGTGCTCCCTGCCACTCCAAGGACATCAGGGGCTGAGCAGGTGCTGTGTCAGGGCTGAGTCCTGGGGTGGCCACCTATGCTCTCCCACTGAGCTGGCCACCCTCCCCTGCCCTTCTTTCCTCATACCCGAGAACCCTTCTTGGCCTCAGGAAGACAGTGTGCTCCTGGGACTGGATTCTTACTGCAGAGGGACTGCCAGCCGCCGGGCCCTGTCCTCTGGGGCCCTTCTGCCTTGGGGCTTGGTGACGGGCCTTCTTAGAATAGTGTCAGGGAGCTCTTGAGGGCAGGGGCTTGTCTGTCCTCAGCAGATTGGGAACTCTGAGGACAGAAACGGGTATTGCACCTTAGTCTGAGAGCCCCTTGAGGATGGCATTGCACCCCCTCTTCCCTCCCATCAGGACCCAGTTTCTGGCTGTGAGATGCAGAAGCTGCCCAGTCCTCGGCGCCTAAAGATCTGGGAAGGAGGCTGTGGGATGTGGAGGCCTCAAGGCTGTAGCTGGGGATGCGGGAAAAAGAGAAACTTCCCACCTCCCACGGCGCAGAATCACATCCCCTTAGTGGCTTCCCTCCGCTTCCCCTTCTCCGCAGGGGTGGGGCGGGGATGGGTTTTATAGCCAGGGGTCAGGATTCCACAAGCCTGATAGCCAGTGGAGCTTGTGCCCAGCTTGGGCTCGTGCCCAGCGTGGGCATGAGTAAGGAGGAGGCGGATGTGAGTGTGGGATGGGCCGGCAATTGGGGCGGGCTGGGCTGGTGCCTCTTGGTGGGCTCAAGAGTGAGGCCAGACCTCCTGTATCCTCTTGGGCTGCTGCCTTGTCTGACCCACTCCTGAGCCCGGGGCCAGGGTGGCTCCAGTAACTGGTCTGTCCTCTCACTGCAAGGTGCAGGGAAGTCTCTCCTGTCTGTGAAGTCAGCCCTGATGCTCCTTCCCAGGAGGGAAACAGGGAAGTTTCTGTACCACGTGTCCAGATTCTGCTATACAAAATTCCTCGCTCCTATCGGGTGGTATCTCTGTGTCTGTATCTCCCCTACTTGAGAAAGGACCATCTCATTAATTGGCATGCTTGCCCCCTCCCCTGAAATGGCCACAGGCCTTGGATTCTTCTGGAGCCTTATGGCCTCTAAAAGCTTGATGAGAAGAGAGACCAAGCCTGCTGCTGATGGGCCCAGCCTGGAAGCTGTTATCCTATGATCTGGGAGGAGGCGAGTCCTTACAGCTGGGCATTCTGGCTGGGGTTGAGGAGGGGGATTCGCAGCGCCCCCTGCCACCAGACATGAGCTGAGCTCACTGCCTCTGCCCTGCAGTTGTGACTCAGTGGCTGTGTGGTTTAATGGTAGGTGCCGGGGCATTCCAGTCAGGCGGCTCTGCATTTGAAACCCAGCTCCACCACCTACCTGTATATAAGAGCCTTGGAGAAGTGATGGCAACTGTCTGACCCTCAGTGTCTCCATCTAGCACTTGGAGCTATTGCTATCCACTCCACAGGGCTGTTGTGAGAATTTGTTTACTAATCTGTATAAAACACCCTAACCTACCACCCTGCCCATGGGACTTCCGTGGGCAGCCCGAGAGGAGGTACGTCTACTAAATGACTAGCTCCTCTGGCCACTGTGCCTACCCTCAGTTTTTCAAGATCTTGTTCATTTTAGCTTCTGGCTGCTTTAACTGCTCATCCAAATCTAGACTCAGCTTTGGTGCCACTTTGCCGAGAGAAAGGGGAGAAAGCCTGGCAGCATTAGGAGCTGAGCAGAACCCTTCAAGTGCCCCTCTGCCCAGGAGGAAGCTGACAGTCCCAGTGCCTGCACAGTTTTTTGCTTCCTAGTAAAGACTGCATTATTATGAGCTAATGTCTGTGCTGTCCCTGGAGTGGCCAGGGGAGAAACACCGGGTAATGTGATTATTACAACAGTGACAATAACAACAACAGCACACCAACATGCACACACATTTACGGAGAAGGCCGTGAGTTGAGGGGCTGGCTCCAGGCCAGGGCTGTGGTTAGCACACCAGGGATGGCTGTGGCGCTTGAACACAGTGAGTTTCAGGCTTTTCATGCTCAACTCTCTCTCCCACAGTCCTCCCCCATTGAATAAAAAGCCAACAGGACATATCAATAAATCCTTTCCACTATAGCATAGCAGTGGGTTTGATATAATGTGGTCTTGTGCCTGCCTGGGAGGCCAGTGGGGGAGCTCTCAAAAAGGAAGGCAGTGGGCTCCATCTGTCCTGTGCCCCCATGCCCTTTACTCTTTACTTGCCCACTCAGAACTCCTCCCACCCAGTCATTGCCTACCACCCACCCTTGGGTGACAATGTGAGCCAGGGTACAGGGAGCAATTGCCCTGTGAGAACTCCCCATGGCTCAATCTGATGGTCATAGTGGACCACACCCAGGTACTAGATTTAGGACTAGGTGTCATGATGAGATAATGTCTGTGCTGCTCAGAACCGGCACAAGTGCTAACAGTATGACGTGATTATTGTACTGTAGTGGCTAAAGACCACCTGAGTTTGAATCCTGGGTTTGTCATTCATGTACTGTACAACCTTGAGGCAGTTACCTAACCTGTCTGGGTCTCTGCTTTCTCAGTAGGAAGTGGAGATAATAAAAGTAACCTACTTCTCAGTGCTGGTAAACATGCTTATAATAGTGTGTAGCACCTGGTAAACCCTACGAAGATTTACTCTTTTATAGTCATTCTTTCAACAGAACAATAAGCACCTGGAGTGATTCCCATCCTTGGGGTCTGTTATATGTTAAACTGTCTCCCAAAAAGGATATTGAAATCCCAACCCACAGTACCTATGACTTATTTGAAAATAGGGTCTTTGCAAATGACAATGTTAAGATGTCATCAGGGTGGGCCCTAATCCAGTGTGACTGGTGTCCTTATAAAAAGGGGAAATTTGGACACAGAGACAGACATACGCAGAGGCAAGATGACCTGAAGACAGGGAGAGAACACCATCTACAAGCCAAGGAACACCTGAGGCTACCACAAGCCAGGAGAGAGGCAGGGAACAGATTTTTCCTTCTGGGGAAACAGCCCTCAGAAGGAACCAACTCTGCCAACGTTTTGATTTTGGACTTCTGGCCTTCAGAACTGTGAGACAATAGATTTCCGTTGTTTATGCCACTGAGTTGGGGAATTTTGCTGCAGTAGCCCTAGCAGACTAGTGCAGGATCTGAAGGGGGTATGGTGTGGCCACTGCCCCTCACCGCTGCCCTGAGCTGCTTGTTACCCCCCAGGGACAAACAGTGTCAGAACTGAGCAGACCGGGGTGGCGAGGCTTTGGCTGGCCTCAAGCCTCTGGCATCTGTCTCAGATGGTCCAGGCTCTTGGCCGTGTAGGAGAATGGAGATGCGGCCATCTGTAGGGCCTGGGGCACAGATCACTCACCCCTCACCTCCCACCCTACCTTCCTGCCTCTCACCTCTTTCTTAGCGCACTTCCTACCTGCTCCAGGCAGGAGGAAAAGGAGAAAGGAGGTAACAAATCTCTGGAGAGGACAACCCAAAGCAGGGTTTTGGCCTGAGCATCTCTACCCGTCTTCTCGCCATCTCCTGGAGGCTTAACTGTGATCTCTAAGCGGGAAATGATATGCCTATCTAGGGTGTATCTGTGTGTCTGTGCATGCATGTGAGTGTGGATAGAGAATGTCCTTCATTAAGCTGCTGTGGCCTCATGACCATGACTCATAAACTTACAATCAAGCTCTGCTGGACAGAGGAGACCTGTCCCCAGGGTGGGTGATGCCAGCTTCTGATGTAGCAGCCAGTGCCAAGGCCCTCCGCAGCGCACCTTGGCAGTCTGCCCCGCCTGCTCCCTCTAAAGAACGGTTTGTTCAGTTTCATTTGAGGAAACAGATATGTCTTGAGCATCTCTGTATGTATAGCCCAGGGATACAGTGATGAGGATGGTGCAGGCTTCACCCACAGGGAGCTCATCATTTGTGCTGGGTGGAGGGGTGGGGGGGTGTCTACAACAACTGCGCAAATAATACAAGGTAGAATAAAATGAGCACGGGGGAAGTGCAAGGTGAGAGTCGGAGTGGGAAGAGCGACTCGGAGGAGGAGGGGAGCTGAGCAGCAGCTGGGGAGAGCTGGATGGGGGAGAGCCCAGGGAAGGTTTCATGAAGGAGGTCACTTTTGAGAGGGGCCGCGCAGCAAGAGCCTCGCTGGCAGGGGGAGCAGTGGAAGCAAAGGATTGGAAGCTGGAATGTGCCACGTATGTCCGGGTACACAGAGTCTTCCCCGGTGACCCAAGCACAGGGTCCTCCCTGGAGCAGGCAGGAGTTGAGGCTGGAATGTGACACATCATGGTTGCCCTCACATGCTGGGGTGAGGAGTATCTACAGAACCGAAGTGTAAAAGGGGATCCACTGAGGTCTGCAGGCAGGAGTGCACGGTCGGTTGGACAGGGAGCATTTACAGGATTGAGGAGGCTGATGCAAGTCTGGCAACGTGGGTATGGGGCCTGAGGTGGGAGTAGGAAGGAAACGGTGAAGGGAGAGACATTTCTGTTGGAAAAGTGACAGGATTTGGCAAGCGAGGAAGAGGAGGCGTGGAAGATGAGCCAGAGTGATGGAATAGTGCTGCCATTCAAAGAGAAGTGGGTGGGCGGACGGCACTTCCCTGGCCTGTGGGGGCGCGTGGAGGGGAGGGCCTTGAGTGCCACCTGACTGTGTGCTCGTCAGATGCATGGAGGGCCTGGAATCATGATGAGGGGAGGGGATGCGGTGCTCTCTCGGGCACCGGCTGCACTATCAGCGTTCCCTGGAGAAACAGAACCCTTAGGATTTATATAGACATATAGAAAGATTTACTGTGGGGGATTGGCTCATGCCGTTACGGAGACTGAGAAGACCCATGAGCTGTTGTCTGTAAGCTGGAGGACCAGAAAAGCCAGTGACGTGGTTTCAGTCCAAGCCTGAAGGCCTGAAACCCAGGAGAGACAATGTTGTAAGTCCCAGCCTAAGTCAGAGGCCTGAGAACCAGGAGCCCGCTTTCCAAGGGCAGGGGAAGATGGATGTCTCAGCTCAAGAAGAGAGTGAATTCTCCCCTCCTCTACCTTTTTGCTCTATTCAAGCCTTCAGTGGATTTGATAACGCCCACCTGAATTTGGTGAGGGCGATTGCTATGGTTTGAGTTTGTTTCCACCGAAACTCACGTTGAAATTTGATCTCCGATGTGGTGGTGTTGGAAGGTGGGGCCTAGTGGAAGGTGTGTGGGTCATGGGGTCAGATCCCTCAGGAATGACTTGGTGCTGTTCTTCTGGTAGTGAGTGAGTTCTCACTCTGCTGAGGCTGGATTCGTTCCTGGGAGAGTGAGTTGTTGTAAAGCCAGGGCGCCCATAGGTTTTGTTCCTTCACACGTATCTGCTTCCCCTTTGATCTTTGCCATGTTGTGACACAGCATGAAAAGCCTTCTGCAGAAGCAGAGCAGATGCTGGTGCTATGCTTCTTGAACTTTTCAGCCTGCAGAAGCATGAGCTAAATATACCTCTTTTCTTTCTAAATTACCCAGTCTCAGGTATTCTGTTATAGCAACACAAAATGTACTAAGGCAGCGATTTTCTTTACTCAGTTGGCTGATTCCAATGCTAATCTCTTCTGGATGTACCCTTGCAGATACACCCAGATATAATGTTTTACAGCTATGTGGGCATCCCTTAGCCTAGTCAAGTTCACATGTAAAATTAGCCCTCATGCCAGGGATGGTGGGAACATGGACCAGGTGGTAAGGTGGGATCTGTTAGTGAACATGTGCCACTGGCCTTTCCAGGAACCAGTGATCAGTGTGGGTCTCACCTCCTGGGATCTGAGTGCTCTGTAACTTAGACCTGCTGATGGGGCACAGTGGCTGGGTTCACCAGGGAAATGAGCCCACTCTGATTACTGTGAATGGCAGTTTCCTTGACTGCAGAATTGTTGGTAGTCATGGCTGGTCCAGAGTCTCGCTCTGTTGGAAGGCCACCCACTCTGCATTTTCCTCCAGCACATTGCAGGCATCCCAGGCCATCTTACCTTACGAGCCTTCATTTATATCATTTTCGGAGTTCTATTTCATAAAATTCTAGAATGTCAGGGCTGGAAAGAAGTATAACCATCATCTCCAGCCCTTTCATTTTCAGAGGAAAAAATGGAGGCCCAGAGAGGTGAGGTGACCACCCAGGGTCACATGGCTATTCCATGGCTGATTTAGACCCATCTGAATGGATCGGATTTAGACCTGCCATCTTCTGACTTGAGATACTGTCCCATGGCTCATGTCTTTTCCATGTTACTTCCTCTATTTGTAGATTTCTGGCCACTTCAATGCCAGGAGTGACACATCCATCTCTAGCATTCAGCAAAGTGGACATTTAGTAAGGACTTGTCCCTGAATGAGAGAAGGACAATGACTGGCCTGTGCAAATATCTGTTCAGTTACAGAGTTCTGGGGGCAAGGGCTTAAGGTAATGTTCTCTCTGGGGACCTGTCTGTCCAGGGCTTGTGAGGGGAAGAGGGCTCACTGGCCAGCGGGCCGTTATCTCCCTCACTGCCCCATTAGGGAGCCCAGGAAGAGGAATGAGGAGAGAAGGTGGGAGCCTCTCACTGACTTCCTGAAGATGCAGAGCCACCTGTGGCCTTTTCATGCCTCCTGCCCTGGATCACATGGTGGTGGTGGGGTAGGGGGGAACCTGGTACCTTGGGGATGCCAAGAAATCAGGGGCTCTTGAGCTAGACAGATCTGCTGTGGGGACAGATGGAACTGCAATGCACCTTTGGCTCTCAGCTCTCTCGGGGGAAGGAGCTATTCGTCTGCTCAGGCTGCTGTAACATTTACCAGAGATTGGGGGCATAAACAACAGAAATGTATTTTCTCACAGTTCTGGAGGCTGGAAGTCAGGATCAAGGTGCCAGAGGATTGGGGTCGGATGAGGATTCTCCCTTTGGGTTGCAGATGGCTGCCTTTCGCTGGGTCTTTTCTCTGTGTTCTCACAAAGCGAGAGATATCTCTGGAGCCTACTCTTTTTCCTGTGAGATGAGGGTCCCAATCTTATGACGTCATTTA
The DNA here is from genome assembly GCF_000001405.40 of Homo sapiens. Lineage (NCBI taxonomy): Eukaryota > Metazoa > Chordata > Mammalia > Primates > Hominidae > Homo > Homo sapiens. Next base: position 123,416,848 of record NC_000003.12, on the reverse strand, counting down.
AGCCTAATTACCTCCCTCAAGTCTTCATCGCCAAATACACTCACACTCATGCATACACACACACAAATACACTCCCACCCTCTCTCCTCATTCCTCTTCCTGGGGTCCGTAATGGGGCAGTGAGGGAGATAACTGCTTGCTGGCCAGTGAGCCCTCCTCCCCTCACAAGCCCTGGACAGGGCTTCAACAGAGGAATTTTGGGGGCCATAATTCAGTTCGTGGCAGAGCGAGTTTGTGAATAGTAAGAGCCACGGGTTGGTATTTTCCTCTATCAGGCTGCCTTGTCCCCAGCATGAAAGCCCTATCGGGTAGGAGTTTGCTCAAAATCTTGAGGTCTCTACCAGTTTCTATGAGAGACTTGTTCTGCGTCCTTCAGTGCCTTAGAGCCTCCTCCCTCCTTTCTAGTCAAATCAGAGACAGGGAGGCCCTTTGGGAGGTTGTCCAGGCTGTTCCACTGTTAAGCAGCCTGGTGTCTTCCCCAAGACAAGGGGACAAAATGTTCTGGCTATAAATGTCCTAGGGAAGGAGGTTATTGCCTTTAGCCCCTTTTTGGGGAAGCGTCTGGAAGTAAGTCCTGAGGAATGAAGTCTCAGAAAGAGGGCTGTTGCAGCAGAGGTGACCTGTCCATTCAGACAGGTCCTGGAGGAGAATGGGCCCCACGGAGGGTGAGTGTCATGGCCACCTCAGGCCTCCCACACTACCTGTCCCTTTCTGCTGATTCTCCTTCTCCTTTGCCCTTCCACCTTCTTGGACACCTCACCTGGGGCCTGTACTGTAACCCCTGACCCTAGGTGGGAACTTTATCTTGGATTTTTTGGTATGGAACATTCAAAGTAGAAAAAATAATGAACTACCGTATACCTACCATTCAACCAGCAGTTGTCATGATTTTGCCGCATTGATTTCACTTACTCTTTTTTCTTTTTTTCTTCTTGCTGAAGTATATTAAAGCAAATTCCAGCCATCATGTCCATTTACCCCTATACACCTAGCATGTATTTCTGAAAACAATCTGTACCTGAATTTGATCTTTGCCTCTCTGTGATCCTGGGTCCACTAAAGATGCTCAGTTTCCTCACTGTGAACGACCTCCAAGGGCATGGTGTTTGGGTTAAATGAAGGAGAACTTAAAAAGAAAAACAATGTAGTAAGAAGGCGCACCAGATTAGACCCAGAGGCCTGGGCTTTGTAATTAAACTGCCTTCTCTCTGGTTGGAGCTCCTCCCCAAGGCCACAGAGGCGCTGTGGGACATGCCACCTCCGCTTTCTGGTTGCAGGAAAAGTAATCATTTTCTAAACGGTCCCGCAGACGCTGAAGAGAGGCTCGTTAGTTCTCCCAGGGGCCGCCATCACCCCTGGGAGGACAAGCTCAGAAAGAATCTGGGTCATTTTCTTTTGTGCCATGAAGCCCTCCCCAGGGCTCTGGTGAGAAGTGATCTGATCGGCCGAGGCCACAGGCACACTGACACCTGGCGGGCCCACTCTGGCTCTGGCGTGGAGGTGGTACTAGTGTACCGTGGAGCTGGGGGAGAGGCTGGATAACCCTCTGTCCGGGCATGGCAGAGGGTTCCACCCTGTCCCCTGGTCCCCAGCTGAGCCAAAGGAAGTTTTATGATTCCATCCCATTCCTCTCTAACAAATGCATTTCTCTCCCTCCCTTGGCAACCTAAGCCGTGTTTACAGAAAATATGAGTCTAGAATAAACAGTTCCTATCAGACCCGAGGGCCAGTGGGGGCTGTGGGAGAATCCATGGATCCTCTCCCTGGTGATGTGGGGTGGCTGTGGGCCCTGCTGTAGCTCACCCCAAGGATCTTCTCTCTAGGGACCCAAGGGGCCGCAGTGGTGGAAGCTTTGGAGTGAGCCATATGTTCAAATCCTGCTTCTGGCTATGACTACCTGTGCAACCTTGGGCAGGTTACTTAGCCCCTCAGGGCCCCAGTTTCCTCATCTGTCGATCCTCCAGAGGGTTGCTTTAAAGATGAGCCATCAGGGCCGGGCAGGGTGGCTTGTGCCTGTAATCCCAAGCACTTTGGGAGGCTGAGGTGGGCAGATCACTTGAGGTCAAGAGTTTGAGACCAGCATGGGCAATGTGGTGAAACCCCATCTCTACTAAAAATACAAAAATTAGCCGGGCATGGTGGTGCATGCCTGTAATCCCAGCTACTTGGGAGGCTGAGGCAGGAGAATTGCTTGAACCCAGCAGGCAGAGGTTACAGTGAACCAAGATCATGCCACTGCACTCCAGCCTGGGCGACACAGCCAGACTTTGTCTCAAAAAAAAAAGGTAAGCCATAAGGTCAAGCCCTAGCTTAGAAGTGGTCCTCAGAAATGCTGCTTTCTCTCCCCTGAGTGGGAGCTCCTCATCCCCTGGTGTTTAGTCCTGGACACAGGAAATCACCGGCTGAAGGAACATCTGTATGGTTTCCGAGGAGCATTTGCCATGTGTTAGCTTGTTGGAGTGTCAGCGAAGTGGAAACTATTATCATCCCCATTTTACAGTTTAGAAAAAAAGGCTTAGAGAGGATAAAGGGTCCCACAGAGCTGCACAGTAAGTGTGCAGGTGGGGCGTGGGTGTGGGATGAGCTAGTAGGTGAGATGAGTGTAGAGGGGCTGGCAGGAGGGCCATGCTGGGATTGTCCACTTGGGAGCAGAGAAGGCTGGGGTGGACTGAGGAGTGGTGGCAGGTCTTTGAAGTTTTGGTGTCCCCCAAAGTCATTCTTCATTGACTCATCACAGGCAGATGCCGGGCAGCTTATATGTCTTTAGCCCATGACATAGTGTCCAGACCACCTTCTCAGTCTCTCTCCCTCCTCCCTTCTGCGTTTTATCTGAATCAGGGCTGGCAGGGAACTTCACAGTCATCTCCCCAAATTCTTTCTGCATCGTCCCATCTGAGAGTGAGGCTGAACACACAGGATCACACAGTTCGCAGCTGGGCTGGGGTGCAGTTCCTGGGCCTCACTCTGTCCGTTCTGCAGCCCCCCCACCCCTTTGTCTCCCCAGCTCTCTGCTGCCATTTGCTCCTTCAGGGACAGACACTGGGTTTCATGTCTCTTGCACCCAACATGGTCAGGCTTGTAGAACAAAGCAAAGGCAGGTGAACTGCTTTCCCTGCCCTCACTGAGGAAGAGCAAGAGGGCCTCAAGCTGTAGCCTGAGGGATTTAGGTTAGACTGACAGCAGGCCAGGCAGAGTGACTTGGATGGGCCTGCAGTCTTGTTTCCAAAGGCTGTTAATCGGTTGCTCCCTCTGGTGAGAGCCTCACTGCTCTGGGATTTGTTTGCTGGGATCCTATGCAGCTCTGGATACGGAATCCTCCCCTGACCTGGCCTCTCAACACAGGCTTCAGGTTTCTGAGGGGAGGCCCTCTGCAAGCCAGGTTTTCTGTGATTCTACTGTGGAAATTCTGTCTGGGAGGGGGCATCTCCCTCCCTGCTCAGGCTGGGATCAGAGGCCTCCAGAAATCAACCACCCTTCCTTGGGCCCAGCCCACCCAGGGGCCTGAGCTCATGGCTCAGCCATCTCTCTGGTCAGGGACGGGAAGTGCTCCTGCCTGCTTCAGTTTAGGGTTTGGGGAAATGTTCCGTGTTCCGTGTTTTAGGCACGCTCAGCTCCTGCCTTCCGAAAGGTCACTGCTTAAGAAAACAGCCTGGTCCTTGGCTTGGCCCATCTGCTGGGAGATGGGCTGTGATTCCTCTCCCACGAACTGGCAGAGTTTCCAAGATGAAAATGGGAAAACAGAACAGGGGAGTGAGCCTGGTCCCGTCCCGGAGGAGCCGGCGTCATGAAGCCTGTGTCTGCTGAGGACGGTGAGGTCGTCTCCAGGGGGCTCCGTGACTTCTTAGAGATGTGGATTTAACCAGGAGACAGTGCAGGCTGGCCTGTGCCGCCTGCTCTATCAGGCTGTGCTGGGCATCTGTGCCGGGAGAGGGACGCCGTCACCAGCTGTTCTGACAGGCACGTTCCTGGACGGGGCTATTTAGGGCAGTCATTGAACGAAGCACATAACCATGACTGCCTTTTTTTTTTTTTGTCATTGTTTGTTTGTTTTGTTTTTAGCTTGAGGAAGGATCCAGATGTTTCTAGTTCTGCAGATGTCTTTTTGTGGTAAAGCTGAAGAACAGAGATAGGAAATGAGGGATGGGGGAGTTGGATCCCAGAGGCTTCCACATCACCAGATGACCCTCAATGGGTGCTCAGGTTCCTTCTGCACCAGACCCCCATTAACCCCGACTCCCAGCTCCCCAGCACATCTTCCTCCAAGGTTTTTGCTCTTAGCCTTTCCGAGCTCTATCTGCCACCGCAACACAGAGGCTGTCAGTGCTGTAACTGCTGTCTTCATACGCTTGAAATCTCACTCCCAAACCATCCCTGCAGCCCTGGCCCCTTTGGGAACCCCAGTGTACATGGTTTCCCGGCTTTTGGAGGACACAGTGGTTGCGTTGTCTGGCATCTATTCAGAGTTGGGGGAGAGCCCGCAGGGACGTCCTATTGGGTCCTTTCTCTGTTACTGTCTGTTCTTACTTCTCCCACCACACCCTGTCTCCTGTTGGGGCGAATACCTTCTCTAAGGGCAGCCTGGTGGCAGGAATCTGCAGTAGGACACAGGGCCCCCAGGCCATGGCTAGAGAGGCCTATGAGGCAAAGTGTCCTCTTTCCTGCCGCAGCGTGCCCCTTGTGGTCAGGAAGCCTCGAGGTCTAGCTTCGTTCCCTCCTGCTGTCTCTTCCCATCCTCCCCTATGTGGAGGAAGGTTTTATGAGTGGGGGCTTGTTGGCACCTTCTCAAAAGGAGAGGGCAGGCATCCTGAGCTCCTGGATGCCGGCAGAGCCTAGGGTAGGATAGTTCAGATGCCTGTCTGGGGAGAGGGCATGTTCCAAAGGTGGAGTTCTGTGTGGGTGGGCTTGGTACCTGGGCCCACAGGCTGCGGGGATGGACACTGGGCTATGCGGGGGCAGGGGATGGGTGACAGGGCCACAGTGAGTCCACCTGGGACTCTGTTGTGCTGTCAACGGTGGACAGCCCCACGTGGGCCTGCTCACCTGTATTGACATGTCAGCTCAGGTGTCCCATTAGGTTAAGCTGTGAGCCCAGAGGCTTTGGTCCCAGGGCCACCCTGGTCACCAGGCTGTGAGGACAGGAGCAACTGTTGCCCCACCCTGCTTTGCCTCTGGAACGAGTCCTGGGGTTGGATTGGGGGTGCTGGGCCTGGCACTCTGTGGGAGCTTGGACTTAAAACATGTTGCTGGCTGGGGGTTGGGGATAAGAGGCAGGGGAAGGAGAAAGATAGGCACTGGGATCCTGGGCCAGGCTTAGGCCTTTGTCCTTTGTCCCCTCAGGCTGAGTCAGCATCTGTTGTCTCAGGAGTTTCTGTCTCAGTTCAGGCACTATGAGTGTTACCTCCCCTAGGTGCCGAGGACAGGCCCCCAGCCCGGTGATCTAACTCCTTAGTCAGTGATCGGTGAGGCCTGTCAGGGGTCTGCTCCCTGCTTATTTGAGGCTCTGGTTTCCCTTCTGAACTGAAGGGAATCCAGTCCACTTGCCAGACACTTGTTTTGCTCTTATACTTGCTCAGCCCTCTGAGTGGACCCCAATGGTGGATGGCAGGCTCTCCTCGAAGCAGGCACTAGTACGCCCTTGACTGTGGATTCCAGGAGGCCCAGGGAAACTGCAATGGAAGAGGTTGGTGGAGGCACAGGGCAAGGAAGAAGAGCTTTCTGGCAGACTGAAACAGGAGGCTCATGGAGGGAACGGGTTAGGCTTGGTAGTAGAGGGCATATTTGACAAACCTGAGTGATTTGGTATAGCTGCTGCTTTGGAGATAAGTGGGTGCTGGAATGGCTAGTGCTAAGGAATTTAGGCCGTATCCAGTAGGTGATAGCTATTTAAGTAGTTTGAATAAGGATGGGGTGAGATGGCTCACGTCTGTAATCCCAGCACTTTGGGAGGCCCAGGCAGAAGGATCACTTGAGGCCAGGAGATTGAGAGCAGCCTGGGCAACATAGTGAGACTGCATCTCTACAAAAAATGAAAAAGTTAGCCCAGCAAGGTGATACATGCCTGTAGTCCTAGCTACTCAAGAGGCTGAGGTGGGAGGATCGCTTGAGCTCAGGAGTTCGAGGCTGCAGTAAGCTATGATTGCACCACTGCACTCCAGCCTGGGCGACAGAGCTAGTGAGATTCTACCTCCAAAAAAAAAAGAATGGATGTGATGGTGATTAATCTAAGAGCTGCCATTGTTGAGCCTTTATTTTATGTCCTTTATGTGTCCTGTTAGATTTCATTCTTACTGCAGCTTTCTAAGGTGGACGTTATGTTGGTTTTCACCTGGTCATTCCAAAGGCAGACAGAGTGCAGGATGTGGCCAAGGGTGTTGGAATAATAGGAGATTAGCCCTTCCCCAACAGGCAGTTCACCTTGGGATATGGCTCTACCATTCCTACTTATGCCTGGGAGGTACGGGGTGGCCCCAGGCTGCTGTGTTGAGGAGGAGGAGGAGGAATTGGGGGATAAGGGTTGGGGGAGGAGGAGGAGGGGGATGGAACTCTGCCAAGACAGAGCTGCCCTGGAGGGAGTCTTTGTGGGCTGTTTCCTGAGGAGTTCTACAAGGGAAGCTTCCAGTCACTCTGCCATCCTTAAGGGTGATGAGCTGTGTTCCAGCCCCCATCCTTCCCTCCCTTTCTCATTCTCCTAGTTCTGGTGGAGGCCCTGAGGGCAGATGGGGGCCTCTCACTGGGTTGACCGGATCCAGCACCTGCTCATGTGGGAGAGCAGAGGGACCTCAGGGCTATGGGGCCACACTGCCTCAGGGAACACAGGTCTCAGTTGGGGAAGTGGGTGTGGGAGGACCTGTAGAAAAAGAGATTTATTACTGCTCTTTCCCTGCCAGCTGCGTGTTTGCCTTTCCCAGGTCAGTGGGCTGGTGACGAGAGAGGGCAAGTTAATTTATATCCAGGTGATAGATTAGCTCCTCTAACCACAGGGAACTTTCTCAGCTCATCCAACTGGGGCTTGGAGGGTGGGAGGGGCCGGTGAGTGAGGGAATGTCTCTGGGGCAGTTTCTACCTTCTGCCCGGCCTCTGTTAAGGAAGCAGGTGAGGTGCAAGAGGGGCATCTCAACATGAGTGGGCATCTTAACCTCCTGGAGAGCTTGCTGGGCTCCCAGAGTTTCTGAGTCACAAGGTCAGAGGTGGAGCCCAATAATTTGCATGTCTAGCTGCTTCCTGGGTGATGCTGCAGCTGCTCCTGCTCTGGATATCCCACTTGGAGAACCACTGTGCTAGATAATCAGTTGAGGATTTTTGGTGGTGCTTCCCTTACCTATCTGTGCTGCTTGGACAGGACTATTAGCAGGAACACATCCTTTCCACCTGTGAAAGCTGCATCCCACCTTTAGACCCTGACTCCAAGGATACCTTCTCCAGTGGCCACCCTGAGAACTAGCATGTGCTGGGCCGTCTGTCCTTTTTCCCCACATGCTACCTGGTTTCATGGCCTGCGACTGTACACACCTGGAGTATTGGGACTCACTCTTACCAATCCCTGGGGGCCCCCATGGCACCTAGCACAGCCCCTAGCACATAGAGGAACTAGGTGTTGAGTGGATATAGTTAAAGCAGACCCTTATAAGGGTTAAACTTTTCTAAAAACCCAAGGTCAGATGGGGAGCAGATTTTATAAAGACTTTCCAGGCTGGTTATAGGCAGAGCCAGATCAAGAGCCTGGCTGCCTGTATAGATAATTTTATAGAAAATATTTCATAAGCTTAAAACACCAGCTAGCTCTCTAAATCTTTTCTATACTTTATCTACAGAGATACATTTTTATGTAAGTAAATGTGGTTTGTTATAGCTATTTTTATTTTATTTTATTTTTTGAGTTAGAGTCTCACTCTGTTGCCCAGGCTGGAGTGCAGTGGCAGGACCTCGGCTCACTGCAACCTCTGCCTCCTGGGTTCAAACGATTCTCCTGTCTCAGCCTCCCTAGTAGCTGGATTACAGCCACCTGCCACCACACCTGGCTAATTTTTGTATTTTTGGTAGAGATGGGGTTTCACCATGTTGGCCAGGCTGATCTTGAATTCCTACCCTCAGGTGATCCACCCACTCGGCCTCCCAAAGTGCTGAGATTACAGGAGTGAGCCACCATGCCCGGCCGAGTACAGCTAGAACTTTGTGTCTGCTTTTTTTTTTTTTTAGATGCAATCTTGCTCTGTCGCCCAGGCTGGAGTGCAGTGGCGCCATCTCGGCTCACTGCAACCTGCGCCTCCTGGGTTCAAGTGATTCTTCCGCCTCAGCCTGTCGAGTAGCTGGGACTACAGGCGCATGCCACTGTGCCCAGCTAATTTTTGTATTTTTAGTAGAGATGGGGTTTCACCATATTGGGCTGGCTGGTCTCGAACTCCTGACCTCGTGATCCGCCCACCTCGGCCTCCCAAAGTGCTTGGATTACAGGCGTGAGCCACCGTGCCCGGCCAACGTCTGCCTTTAAAAAAAAAAAAAAAAACAAAAAACGTAACATTTGTATGCTAATTTTCTTGCTGAGTGTACAAATGAATGTCTTTTGTGTGCTGTTCCTACATTATCTCACTCGATTCTCATAACGACACTGAAAATACGTGTTACGACCATGTTCATGCGGTAGAGCATCCCTTGGAAGTGATGTTCCATGATTTGCTTAATGTGTCCCAGGCATCAAACATGGAACTGGTGTCTAGATTTTTCACCGTAGGTCCAGGGCTCTTTGTATTCTCTGAGACCACCTCTGATATTTCTTTTTATGTGGCCACTGTACATAATTCTGTACATAATTGATGCGTTTTCTAAAAAACCACGCTTTAAAAAATTGAGATGAAATTCAATTTTCCACCTCTGTCTATCCCAAACATTTTTGTCAGCCCCAAAGAAAACCCAATACCCATTAGTAGTCACTCCGAATTTCCTCCTCCCCTCAGCCCCTGGCAACCACTAGTCTGCTTAATGTCTGTATGGATTTACCTATTCTGGATATGTCCTATAAGTGGAATCATAACAATATGTATCTTTTTGTGTCTGACTTCTTTCACTTTGCAACTTTTTTTTTTTTTGAGACAGGGTCTCACTCTGTTGCCCAGGCTGCAGTGCAGTGGAATGATCATATAATAGCTCACAGTAGCCTTTATCTCCCTGGCTTAAGCAATCCTCCAACCTCAGACTCCCTAGTAGCTGAGACTGCAGGTGCATACCACCGTGCCCAGCTAATTTTTTTTTTTTTTTTTTTTTTAGTAGAGATAGGGTCTCACTATGTTGCCCAGGCTGGTCTTAACCTTCTGAGCTCAAGCGATACCTCCTGCTTTGGCCTCCCAAAGTGCTGAGATGATAGGGATGAGCCACTATACCTGGCATTTGCAAAATATTTTTCAGGTTCATCCACATTGTAGTATGAATCAGTACTTTATTCGTGTTTTATGGATGAATAATATTCCATTTTATAGCTAGAGCACATTTCATTTATCTGATCCCATTCTTTTTGATGACCAGAGAAATCCAAGTGCTACTGCTGGTTGCTGAAGTGTGATGCATGTTTAAGAAGAGAGGGCATCTCAGGAGAGGGGTGTGCACTGATGGCGATGGCATGGCCTGTGGGGAGGCTGAGAGCAGTAGGGTGTCTGGAGAAGGGAGAGTTGATGGTTAGAGCTGGGGCTGGGTATGTGGCCTTGAGGGACCCAGAGGTCAGAGTGGGAGGATAAAGCTTGGCCAGGAGGGGCAGCTGAGGGGGTATCACGTTCCTAGAATAGAGGAGCAGCCAGTTCAGGGAAATGTGGTGGCTGAACTCCAAAGATGTCTGCAGGTCTGGGTGTGGACGGTTTCAAAGCGAGGCATTTTGGTCCAAAACCAAGGAGTGACCTGGTGCCCAGATGGAAAAGGTCCTGGATTCCCATAGGAGCAGGAGCAGTGGCGGCGGCTTGGCCTGCAGGGTGGGTGTGCTAGTGGCAGCCTGGCCAAGGAAGGCAGTGGCGTGTTCTGGAGGAGAGCCAGCTCAAGTGGAGAGGGCCCAGGCACTGTTGAGAGGGCCTTATTAGGAGTCCAGCTGGGTGGAGTCATGGGAGTGCAGACTTGCTCAACCCCGGTCGGCCAAGCGTCCTTGTCCCTCCCATCATTACAACAGAGCCAGTGCTCATTAAGCCATTATTTGTGCCATTTTGAGTGACCATGGGAGAAATGGAAAGGGAATAACCTTGAGTCCCAAGAGCCCAATTTCAGGAGGAAAGAAAAAAATCCCTTTCCTCTCCTCTTCACTCTCTCCAACTGAAATGAAAACGCCGCTTTGCTGATCAGGGGCACCAGACAATAATCTCTGTGACTGCCTGGGGAGCCCTGCATGTGGGTATTTTAAACCGTAGGTTTTATTATTGTTCAGGTATGGTGTGGCCAACAGATCGGGAGACAACCACCGTGGAAAAGATAGTTTGTTACTCATGGCTCCCAAGAGGAGGGCACATGCCATGCCATGCCATGCGGGGGCCACACGGGGAAATGCCAGGGTCAGTCAGGAGGCAGAGGGAGCCAGGGAGAAATGTGGGCAAGAGCCTTTATTGTGGTTTCCAGGGAAGGAACAGAGAGGCGGGGTCAGCAGGTTTAGGATTGGCAGTTTGAATAACTACAGCAGGCCCTGGAGCCTAGAGGCTGTCTCTGGTTGTTCAGTACCTGACCCTGGGGTGATTAGGGTAGGAAAGTAATGGCCTTGAGTATAAGAACCCAATAAAGAAGGTGGTTGGGAGTATGGCCTCTGGATTGGTTGGTTTGCATATGAAAGGTGCACTCACAAGCAAGTCATTTACTGTCTCTAGGAATTGGCTAGGCCTGGGAAGAGCAGTCGGTCCCTCCAGGGTCAGCGAGACCCCAGATTTCAAAGTATCAGAGATGAAAAATAAAAAGTGCTGGGTGTGGTGGCTCACACCTGTAATCCCAGCACTTTGGGAGGCCAAGGCAGGCAGATCGCTTGAGGCCAGTAGTTTTAGACCAGCCTGGCCAACATCGTGAAACCCCATCTCTACTAAAGATACAAAAACCAGCCCGGCCTGGTGGCAGGTGCCTGTAGTCCCAGCTACTTGGGAGGCTGAGACACAAGAATTGCTTGAACCTGGGAGGTGGAGGTTGCAGTGAGCCAAGATGGCGCCACCGCACTCTGGCCTGGACGACAAAGCGAGCCTCTGACTCAAAATAAATAAAATAAAATAAAATGGAGTAAAATAAAATAAAATAAATAAAATAAAATGGCATGATGGTCTAGTGGGGAAGGCCACGGGCCTTGCATTTGGTATGGCCCTGCTCAGGCCTGGCAGGAGGCACCTCTCCCCTCCTGTCCTGCTCCCTCCTCACCTCTCACAGATCTCTCAGGTCCTAAAGGAGAGAACCAAGTTGGTGTTCAGTCCTCTCTGTGCCGGTGTTCTGGGTCTGGAAGCATTTGCATTCCACACAAGGGAAGAATTCTGACGTGGAAACCCTGCAGCCTGACATGCCTTGTCCGTGCTTCTCCATCCTGTGCTCTAGACTGGTGCTCAGAGCCTGGCCATGCAGCCAAGGGAGTCCGCGGGGCAAGGCTGCTGCAGCCTGGCGGAGGGCTGGAGTCCCTTGGCATGAAAACCAGAGCCACAGCATGAGAGAGGACAGGACTGGGGAGCCTGTGCTGCTTGGCCTCGCCGGCCTTCGCTGAGCTGCTCTGTTTTCAGGGCTGCTCCAGCAGGTACTGCAGCAGCACGGTGACAGGTGGCACTTCCAGCAGCTGTCGCAGGCTCTTTCCTCTGCCCTGCCCTTCTGGCATCGCCCTACCATTCCAGCAGCACTGGTGAAACAAGGGGGGCAGGTTTGTCAGAAAACTGAGGCCCAGAGTTAGGTGCTGAGACCCCAAGATAAACACACTGATCAGACCACACTGGTGAGGTCTCTTTTTCAGAGCCAGTTGAAGATGGGGTCTGAATAGATAGAATAAAACAGAAATGTGTGTTTCAGCAGAGAGGTCTCCTGCCCAGATGTGTCCACATTTGGCTTGACTCCTCCAGTCTGTTTTCCCTGCTGGCCAAGGTAGTGAGCCCTGGCCTTGTGATTTTTCCCATCAGGCTCCACCTAATCCAAAAATTCTCGAGTGCTGAACTCAGAGTGGACCCACAACACCCTCAGAGCCCCTGCGGCTGGGAGCTCTTGTCTGAGAAGATGGAGCCTCCCACTTCTTTCCCCAGTGGCCTTCCCACTCAGGAGGCCTGTGCTAGTGTTTATTCTGGGCATAGTGCACATTCTTCTCTCTGGAACACAGCTGGAAAGATGGGGCAAGGCAGAAGCTGGGCCTCAGACACAGGCAGGGGACATGGGCCGACTGCCCACCTCCTGGCCCCTGACCATGGTGGAGTGGGAGGTCTGGATGGAGCAGTGAGAAGGTAAGGGCTGAAGATGCTGCCAGGAGGGCCTCTGCTTAGTGTTCTGAACTGACCGGTGGCTTGAGGGGTTACCTTGCTCACCCACTGTGTCTGGCAAGGGTGGTGTTTGTCCAAGGTCGGAAAGCTCGGTGAAGAGGGAACTGTCTCTTTTTTGAGTCTTATGTTCTCAGCACTCGGGGTGCTTGTCAACCAGCCTTTTGGTCTGCATTTGAAAGTCCCCTTCCAGAGCCTCGAGGTAATGTGACATTGTAACTCAGACACAGTGCTGACTGTGTGGCCTTCGCTGGTGCTTTGTAATCGGCTGTTCTGCTTTGTTAAATGTTTCCTGGGGGGCATATCTTGATCTTCTTCACTGGATTTCAGGTTCTTCAAGGGAAGAGAAGTGGGTCTTACTCCTTTCTTGTAAACTAACACTTTGTAAATCAAAATGTTTGCTATAGTCAGGAAGATGAACACCTGTGTGTAGCTGGCTGTAGTCAGAATAGCATGTAAGGAAGGCTACAGGAGAGAGACAGAGAATTCCCTTCTGTCTGGAGAGAGCAGAGAAGGTCCAGAGGATGGATATGGATTCCAGAGAGGGATGAGATTGAGAGCCAAAGGGATAGAAGAGTGTGACAAAGACATACAGGAAGGAGGGACCCGGGGTCCATGCAGGGCGGATGTGTGAGGAGCAGCTCCTGGTGGGCTGGGAAAGCCCAACTCAGGAGTTCATTCTTAATTTCCTAGACAGCAGGGACCCTCCAGGAGTTTTTGAGTGATGTGGCTGATTGATTCTCACGGCAGTGGTGTTGAGGGGGATTGGGAGGAGAGGGCAGCATTCCTAGAGGGATGGACCCAGGGACTGATTGCGCACCTCACTTGTTCACTCAACAATGCTCCCTGAGTTTTTCCTCTTAGCCATCCTCTCACATGGGTGTTATTGCCATCCCCTCTTACTGGTGAGGAAAGCAGGCCCAGGCAACACAGGCCGTTGGTGGTGGAGCCACAGCTTGAATGAACCCAGGGCTTTCTGGCTCTAAACATGTAATCTGTACTCTTTTTTTTTTTTTTTTTTTTTTGAGACAGGGTCTCGCTCTGTTGCCTAGGCTGGCATGTAGTGGTTGGTGCAATCATGGCTCACTGCAGCCTCATCTTCCCAGGTTCAAGGAATCCCACCTCAGCCTCCTAGGTAGCTGAGACCACAGATGTGTGCCACTACACTTGGCTAGTTTTTGTATCTTTTGTAGAGATGGGGTTTCCCCATATTGCCCAGGCTGGTCCCCAACACTTGAGCTCAAGGGATCTGCCTGCCGCGGCCCCCCGAAATGCTGGGAGTACAGGCGTGAGCCACCGTGTCTGGCCAATCTGTGCTCTAAGTGCTGCTCAAGACATTGCAAGATGCAGAGGACAGATGGGGAGACACTGGTGAAGACATCTTTTGATTTCCTTGCCATCACACAGTGTTGAGGAATGCTTTACTGCTTTCCTTTTTTTCTTTTTAAATCACCAATCTCTAATTATATAATAAATATAACATAAATACATCTTCCCTGCGAAAAAGAAGAAATTGTAGACACGACTAGGGCTCCTTTTTTTTTTTTTTTCCTGAGACTGAGTCTCACTCTGTTGCCCAGGCTGGAGTGCAGTGGCGCGATCTCGGCTCACTGCAAGCTCCGCCTCCCGGGTTCACGCCATTCTCCTGCCTCTGCCTCCCGAGTAGCTGGGACTACAGGCACCCACCACCACGCCTGACTAATTTTTTTTTGTATTTTTAGTAGAGACGGGGTTTCACCGTGTTAGCCAGGATGGTCTCAATCTCCTGACCTCGTGATCCACCCGTCTCAGCCTCCCAAAGTGCTGGGATTACAGGCGTGAGCCACCACGCCCAGCCGACTAGGGCTCCTTTAAACATTTTC